>NC_000002.12:45038837-45341867 GCF_000001405.40 Homo sapiens
AGAGGTTTTAAGTTCTTGAGGACACAGGCTAAGGGAGAAGAAGGAGGAATGGAGGGTGGAAGGTTGCCTATAGTGAAGGAGGCAAACCCAGAGAAAAAAGAGTGTAGAGACACGGAGGGAAGGGGTTCAGGGTTCTTACCCTCCAGAAAAGCGGGAAGGGGTGTTGGGGCACAGAGATAAGGGATTGAGGCACAGAGATAAGAGGTCGGGGTGTGGAAATAAGGGATTGGGGCACAGAGATAAGAGGTCGGGGTGTGGAAATAAGGGATTGGGGCACAGAGATAAGAGGTTGGGGTGTGGAAATAAGGGATTGGGGGTTCTTGCCCCCTAGAAAAGTGGGGCTTGTCACTAAGGGTGAAGGAGAAGGGGTTGAGGGGTACTTGCTCCTCCCCCAGAAAAGCAGAGAAGGGGTAGAGACACGGAGAGAAGGGGTTGGGGTACTTGCCCCTCCTCCAGAAAAGCAGGACTTGCCACTAAGGGTGAAGGACCAAGGCAGGCGTCCCTGCATGGTCTGACACCTTTGAAACGTGGTTGAATAATTAGGTGTCCCTGCAATGATTAAACACCAAGGGAAGCCTGCCTTCCCAGTCCGTGACCGGCGCCGGAGTTTTGGGTCCAAGGATAAAACGTGTCTCCTTTGTCTCTACCAGAAAATGAAAGGAATTGAAATTAAGAGAAGGGAGAGATTGAAGTGTGGCGCCAAGATTGAAAGGAGGAAGAGGTTGAGGGATAGTGAGGGAAGTTGGAGAAGAGAGTAAAAAGAGGCCGCTTACCGGATTTGAAATTGGTGAGATGTTTCTTGGGCTGGTCGGTCTGAGGACCTGAGGTCGTACGTGGATCTTTCTCACGGAGCAAAGAGCAGGAGGACAGGGGATTGATCTCCTAAGGGAGGTCCCCCGATCCGAGTCACGGCACCAAATTTCATGCGCGTCCGTGTGAAGAGACCAGCAAACAGGCTTTGTGTGAGCAACATAGCTGTTTATTTCACCTGGGTGCAGGTGGGCCGAGTCCGAAAAGAGAGTTAGCAAAGGGTGGTGGATTATCATTAGTTCTTATAGGTTTTGGGATAGGTGGTGAAGTTAAGAGCAATGTTGTGCAGGCAGGGGTGGATCTCAGTACATTCTCAAGGGTGGGGGAGATTACAAAGTACATTAATCAGTTAGGGTGGGGCAGGAACAAATCACATTGGTGGAGTGTCATCAGTTAAGGCTATTTTTACTTCTTTTGTGGATCTTCAGTTACTTCAGGCCATCTGGATGTATACGTGCAAGTCACAGGGGATGTGATGGCTTGGCTTGGGCTCAGAGGCCTGACAATCTTTGTCTCCGCTCGTGCCCATGACCTGCTGGCCAAGCTCACTGACCTTGGGAGTACACCAAATCAAGCTGGAATAGTCTTTTTTTCCCCAGGAGTTTTGTAACTTTGATTCACTGAAGCCATAAGTTGGCACCAGGTGCCCTGGAAAGTCCACAAATCCTGCTGCTCAGGCCTCACTGCCCTGCTTCCTTTTCACCTGGGGTGCAGCTTTTTATTGCATTCTGATAGTTCTTCTAGAAATCGTCTAGTAAATATAAAACATTCTCCTTGCCTTCTGGATTGTTTCTTATTTATTTAGCCAGCAGCTGTTGGTGTCCAGTACTAGTGACTACAATCACCTTAACCAATACCAGCCACAATTGAAGCATGGCTTAGTGCTGAAGAGGCCAAGCCTGCACTTGAATCTTGCCATCACACTCACCAGCTGTGTGACTTTGGGCACATCACTTTTTCTCTGAGTCCCAGTCTCCTTATCAAAATGAGGAAAATAAGCCCCAATGCATAGATTAATTGTGTGGATTTTCTGAGATAATCTATGCTTGGCATGCATTACATTCTGAAAAAAACAAAACAAAACAAAACAAAACGATTAGCTGCTGTTATATTATTATTTGAGTTTAAAGGGTTGCAAGCAGGCTCCCTGGAACTGGGAGCTCCCATTTACCATGCTTGGTGTAGCACACTGATAACAAACACAGATGATAAAGGGGGCTAGACTGATTTTTTAAGTGGCCTTTTGACATGCAGTGGAAGGCACTTGACCTCTGACAGCAGATTAATTTCTAGAACAGAGTCCCAGGCTTGGTGTCCCTTCTGGATTATCCAGCTATTTACATCACAAAGGGGAGTCATGTGGGTGTGCCAGCTCTGTGGATTGGAGCAGAGTCTGAACTGATGAGGTCAATGTTTGAGCATACAAACTGAAGAAGTTCTTTCCAGGCCATAGACTGCATACCCTTTTTAGCCATCCAGTATGTGCAGTGAGGATGCAGTCAATGGCCTGGAAGAGTATTTCTCACCTGGGGGAGAGTGTGGTTGGCTCCATGGAACCCCTTGCCACTGCTGGAAAGAGTCCAGAATGTTTGCTCCTAGCTGAGTGTTTGGCAGGGGTTGTTAGTCCACTGGGGTTTCAGGTACTGAGGTGTCTGGGGTATGAGACTTGGAGATAGTGTCAGAGAATTTTGCTGCTGGTAATAAAATAAAACTCCAAGTAGATTTAGCTCTGGAAGGGCTTTCTTGATGTGGGAAAAACAACTGGGACCAAATGGCCCTTGTGTGTCAATGCTAGTCATTCTTGGGGCTTGCCACTACCCACCCCACTGCCACCCCTTGGCTCCCACTACCTTCTTAGGCCCAGTAGCTGAGGTTGCTATTTTATTCTTTTTTTTCCTCTTTTTCTGGGACAGGGTCTTGCTCTGTTGCTCAGGCTGGAGTGCAGTGACACGATCATGGCTCATTGCAGCTTGGAACTCTGGGCCTCAAATGATGTTCCCATGGCAGCCTCCTGAGTAGCTGGGACTACAGGTGTGTGCTACCGTGCCTGGCTTCTTTTTTTTTTTTTTTTTGAGTAGAGACAGGATCTTACTATGCTGCTCAGGCTGATCTCAAACTCCTGGGCTCAAGCAATCCTCTCGCTTTGGCCTCCCAATGTGCTGGGATTACAGGCATGCCCCACCGCACCCAGCCTGTGGCTGCGCTTTCAATGCCCCAGTCCAACTGGGCACAAACCCTTTGTCTTATCTCCCTTTAGCTCAGATGTGGCAGCTGGAATTTCTCAAAATCTGGAAATCTTAAGGGAGGACCCAGAAAATAAGAGTAGAAGAAGAGTAAAAACCAGGCTGGCTTCAAGAGAACAGAGACCTCCTGCCCACCTGTTTTATTCCCAGAGGGTCCCAAGAAGAGATTTATTTCTCCCTTCTTGTCCCAAAGGGTTGGGCCACCTCTGCAGGCACTTGCTGGCTTTCCTTCTTAGCTTCCTCTGGGCTTTCTCCAGGGAGTGGGCGCTAAATCACCATCCCTACCCAGGTAGCCTCTCCTACACAGCTTAGCCCTCCTTAGTTCTCCCTTAATATGCAAGGCTGGAAGGACCCCAGGAAAAACCTCAGGTCTTCAGAGGAGGCTTTGTCTGCCACAGACTGGAAGCAATGCCGGCTTCATGCAGGTCTGCAGTTGAGGCAGCAACTATCTAAGTGTTACCCACCAAGTCCAGAGGGCTGTTTTCTCACAGAGGTTTTAGGTACATGTTTCTTTCATTGGAAAACTAAAATTCAAATGTGGTTAAATGACATGCCCAAGGTCACTGATTGATTCTGAAATTACGGTTCAATTCATGTCCCCTGATGGCAAGCCTTGTTCTCTTTACCTTATACACACACCCTGAGATTGTATTGTTTCATGCCTGCCTTCCCCACTTCTCTCTCCTCTCCTCCCCCAGAATTCACTGTCCCATGACCAAAGTCCTTGGAGCTATTTTGATTTACAGATGAAGGAAACATTTACAGAAACTCAGTGGACACTCAATAAGTCTCAGTTGAATGACATTGACAGAAAGAGTTGTTGATAATCGTAGAGATAATAATGCAACTAAATGATCCATTTTAAAGGGGAAAAAGTCTTTCTGAAAAGGAATAGACAGCAGTGATTTAAAATCTGATGACTCTGTGGTCCCAGGGTAATTTTTCATGGCGTTACATTCTGGCTTCCACAGTGCTTTTGGTAAGGGGACATACCTATTTCACAAGAGTGGAGGATAACATAATAATTAATATTAAACATTTTTCTTTGAAGGTTCTGCAATTGAGTAACAAAAACCAGCAAAGCTTTAGTATGAGAAGCCAGGGAATCATGGCCATAGGAATAACATTCATATTAAATTGATTTAAATGACAGCCTCAAATACAATGCGATTAAAAGAAATACAACAAACATGTGGTGGAGTTTAGAGCATCTGGGTCTGTTTAAATTGCTCTTGTTTTTCAAGATCAAGGGTATTATTGATAAAAACAAAAATCTTTGTAATCACTAAATTTAATCCAACTAACGATGATGAGAAGACCGTTGTAAACATGAAACATAACTTGGGAACTAAATCTTACATATTTTCCTTTTTGGGAAAGGCATGCTTTCAGTCACTTGCACTGGAGAACGCTGCAGGACCAGCAAGGCAGGGTTTATGGGCTAATCAGTTGCCAGAGAGACAGCCCCAACCAGCCGGCACTTCAGAAGGTTGGAACTGTTAGCCACAGCAACGCTGAACAGCAGCAGGGAATTACCTCTGGTCTCATAAAACCTGTAGGAGGAAAAGAAGCAATTGTGCATCTTCCTTCCTTCCTTCCTTCCTCCCTCCCTCCCTCCCTCCCTCCCTCCCTCCCTCCCTCTGTCCCTCCGTCCCTCCCTCTCTGCTTTCTTCCTTCCTTACTGTCTCTTCTTTCTTCCTTTCCTTCCTTACTCTCTCTTCTTCCTTTCCTTTCTCTTTCCTTTCCATTTGCTGAGGCTGGGCTCACATGCTCCTACTGCTTCAGCCTGCCGAGTAGCTGGGACTATAGGCATGCACCACCACACCCAGCTTCAACCTCAGTATTTCCTACATTTTTCCTTTGCATCCACAGCAAATCTGACCAGTCTTTTCTGAACCTCATATCCCAACACGACCACAACTTCCCTGAAACTTCAAAGCATTGTGTTTGCTCCTCTTTGACACACACATCTGTTCAGCTTTGTACTGACTTAGTTGTGTTTCTTACATCCTATTTAGATAATACCCTCCTTGAAGTCAAGGGCTTTCTTACTCTTTCTTTACTTTTTACCTCTGCAAATCTTGCACAGGGTCTCACAGTGATAAGTGCTCAAATTGCACACTTGTTGGATTAACTTGGATACCAGACTCCAAGTGCAATGCATTGAGATGAGCTGAACTGGTCCCTGCCACTGCTTCTGGTTTGGGGGTCCCCATTAGACCTGGCTCCCAATCTCTGGAGAGGCCTGAGGAACAGGAAGATGAACCTTAGGTTCTGTTGGTTGTAAGAAACAGAGACTCACTCAAGTAACTACAGGAGAAGGGAGGATGGCCCAGACCAGAATGTGATGTAGAACCAAGGAAGCTGGCATAGAGTTTTCTCCCATAGGTGGCCTGGTCTATTTGTATCCCCATGTTTCTGCTGCTTTTTGTGTGTTTTTTCCATTCTCCTTCTGGTAATTCTTTGAGTCTAGCTTCTGTTTACTTATAATTTCTGTTCCTATGTAACTTTGGCTTTTACTAGATTATCATGGCTTCTCTGGTTTCTTCATCCATTACAAATGTTCTGTTTTAGCCTCTTTGGTGATTACATCCTTCACTTGGCATACCTTGGTTCAAATGCCTTGGAAAGAGACTAGGATGGGCACAGCTCATCTTTGGGATTGACTGCCCTTGATCTAGGTGTCTGCCTCTGGTCCAATCAGCAATTCCAGGGCTCAAGATGTGGAAAGGGCAGGTCATTCATTGCAAAACCATAGCTCCTTAAAGATTATGCATAACACAAGTAACTTCTGTCAGAACAGCATTGAAGGTGTGGCAGGCATTCTGAGGCTGGGTCTGTCCAGTTTGGGGATATCCTCCAGGGCTGTCTTTTGCTGCTATGTTGGGAACCAGAGCACAAGTAAATGCAGGAATGGTCAAGAGAAACAATCTTCTAGTTGTCCGGAATCTCCATCATCTCACAACGTCACATCTTCCTTTCCCCAATACACACCCTCACCAGAGTGTTTCCTGACATGAGATGTGTAAAGAGGGGCAAGATGGAAGAAAATCAGCAAACCAAGCAGTCTTAATATTAATGTGAGGAAGCGCTGTGAATTTTACAAGTGAGAACATCAGTCTCCACTAGGAAGATCACAAGGAGAGAAAAAGAAGATAGACTGAGCGGTGAACTTAATACCCAGCCAATTCAGAGGGTGAGAGAAGCCAGGCCCTCAGGATGCTGACAGGAGAATCTAATAAAATGGCAATTGATGTAATCAAGAGTAACTACAGCTTTAGATGTGAGAATGAATTTTAAAAGGCTGAGTACTGATTTTCCAACACTAGTACAGTGTTGACCAACAGAAGGGACACCATCCTAGCCTTTCCATTTGCAGCTTCAAGTGAATTTCATAAATTACCAATGAATTTCTCCTTTTTGCAATGCCTGAATTTTCTCTGGATATGTATACGGAGATACTTTAAAAGAAAAAAGCCAACAGTTATAGATCAACCTTTATTCTGTATTTAGAAGCAACTGCAAAGTCCTTCCTTCCATTCTTCCTTCCTTCTTCCTCTCCTCCCTTATTCTTTTTCCTTTCTTCATTACTTCTTTCCTTCCTCCAATATTTGTGAACATCCTTTTTGTGTAAGTCATAGTATGCATAAATAGAATTTTTATTCAATAGCATAAGAAATACAAATATATACAGTAGTACAACAAATCCAACATTTATTAAAGGCTTTCTGTGTCCTAGGTGCTATTCTAAGCTCCTAACATATATCAGTTAATCCTCTCAACGGCCTTAAATGTGGGTACTAATATTATCCTCTCTTGTAAAAAAAAAAAAAAAAAAGAAAAAGAAAAAGGAGTAAGTGGATCAATGACTTTCTCAAGATCATTGTCTTAATCTGATAGAGCTACCATAACAAAATACCATAGACTATGTGGCTTAAACCACAGGCATTTATTTCTGACAGTTCTGGAAGCTGAGGAGTCCAAGATCAAGTGTAGCTGATTCGGTTCCTGATAAGGACTCCCTTCCTGGTTTGCAGACAGCTGCCTTCTAATGCCATGTTTACATAAACTTTCCTCAGCGAGTGATCTCTCTCTCTCTACTTACAAGGCAACTAATCCCATATTGACCGCCCCACCCTCATGACTTAATTTAATCCTAATTACCTCCCAAAGGCCTCATCTTCAATGCTGTCACAATGGAGGTTAGGACTTCAGCATATAAATTTGGGAGGGAGGACACCAACATTAAGTCTCTAACAATCATACAGTCAGAAAAGTGGAAAAAAAGTAATCAGCTTCAATGTTAGTAGAACCATAAGCAGTGTGAGTGGACCACTCAGGCCATTGTGGGATGTAGAAGGAGAGGAGCTCAGGGGGAAGGAGAAAGAGGAGGAAGAGCCTGCATGTCTGCTCACAGCTGACCCAGAATTGCTTTCTGGAGGGAGAAGTTTCAGGAGGAGGGTACGGGAGAATAGTCTACCACAAGCACAGGCCATTAAGGAATGTGGAGGCTGTTAGGTTCAAGCCCTGAACTTGAGTCCTGCCTTTACTACTTCCCACCTGAATATCCTTGGGCAAGTCTTTTATCCTGTCTTTCCACAGTTGTGTAGACCATTTGAGGAGGCATCTTGTATACTGTGAAAAGCCATTTGGATATTTCATTTGAAATGGCCATAGCCAGGGGAGACATGATTTGAGCAAAACTGATGTCTGTAGCAGTGGCCAGCTCTTCTTGGTCTGCACTGTAAGCACAGGCCTGGACCACAGTCCTCAACCAAACTGTGTCTACTTGTGTCGACCTGTTCCCTTTGATAAAGCTGAGTCCCCATAGGTCGTGGGGCCTGGACCAGCCACTGGAGGAACACTCAGGAAGAGAGAAGCCAATGGGCTTCCTCAGGAGAATTTGCTCCAGGACTGTTACCATTTTTCCCAGACTAGTGACTTCTAGGCCTTCTTAAGAAATTAGTGAAGCAAGCCTGCTTGTGGCAAGATAAAAGAGAAGGGAAGACAGTCACAAAGAACCACATATTCTATAATTCCATTTACACAGAATAGGCAAATCCATAGAGACAGAAAACTAATTTGTGGTTACCAGAAGCTGGGGGAGAGAGGGAGTGATTGCTGTGGGTATGGGGTTTCTTTTTGGAGTGATGAAAATATTCTGGAATGCGATTGTGGTGATGGTTGCACAACCTTGTGAATATACTAAAAAGGATTGAACATAGGGTCTGTAAAAAGATGAATTTTATGGTATATAAATTAAATCACAATTTTATAAAAGTTAAGAGAGGAGGCCCCCAGCAAGGTTCCTATTGTTGTGGGAGATTTCCTTATTGTGGATGTCCCTCTGAGTGGAGGGGACACCACAGGGTCCCAGAGCTTCAAAGAAGGTAACCCTCTGCAGGGTATGATGGGGGCAACTCTGAGGGGGATTCACAGACAGGTCCCTGGCACAGATGGCCCGTGGGAAGAGAGGCAGATAGGCCTGAGGTCAGGTCCTCCCTGAGCAACAGTCCCCAGAAGACCAAAGTGATGTCAGCGTGGCAGAGGGCACACGGGGTGGGGGGAATTCCTGCCTCTGAAAGTCCACCCCAAGCACTTTAAGATGGTCATTGGAAGAGGAAACCATGACCCAGACTGGGCACATAGCTTGTGGTTTGGTGGGAGGAAGGGCACTGTGCTCGTGTCAACCCCAGTCTAGCATGGAGGTCTTGAAAGGCTGCCTGGATGCTTTGCAGCTTTGCTTGTGGCTTTACCTCCAGCACATGCACACCCTCTCCTCCCTTTAGTGGAGGTCTTGGGAGGATAATTTTTGCATTTTTTTTAAAAGGAAATATAGCAAGTATTCATCTTGATCTGCGAACTCAGGTACACACACACACAGAAATCACTTTATATATTTTCTTTAAATCAGCTTAATTCCAACTCTAAACCCTCATCCTGTGGGCTGGTGGGAAATCCATTATGGGCTCCACCTACCACCTGGCCTTGGGCAGCACTAGGATCTAGGAAGTTTATGTGGTGTCTGGAGAAAAGGAAGTGCCTCCACCCCTTAGTGAATCAAACTCCAGGCATGAGTGTTCCCTTGAAATCTCACGGCATGGGCCAGGGGTCTTGGATGGGGCAGGGACTCTCTCAGTTTTCCCTGCTGAGGGCTTACCACCTCCCTAGGAAGCTGCCCTGAGCTATGTGGGAGACCCTGCTCCCGCAAGGCACACCATGGCCTGTTTTATCCATTAGATACTAAAGCCCAAGAGCTTTGCAACGGCTTAGAAAATGTCTGATCATTGGAAGAAAGTCCATGGGCTTCAAAATTTAAAAAGAGAACTGCAAAATGGAAATAAACACATGCTTAATTGTGTTTACGAAATCTAATACTGTCATCTTCATTAATTGTTAAACTTAATATTCTTGAAAACATCATTCTATTTGAAAACAATTTGCTGGTTTATCTCACTTTGCAAGAATTTCTGAGTATAATAATGTTGGCTAAGGGGTCATTCTTGGTCAGGAAAAAAGAAAAGCAACACCAGGGAACAACTTCTGGAATAATGAAGAAATGATATTCAAACTATGCCAGGTTTCTTAAAGCAGGGCTTCTCAAATACTAATACGTGCCCATGAGTCACCACCTGGGGGTCAAGTTAAAATGCAGATTTGGATTCAGTAAGTAGCAGGTGAGGTAAAGCTGATACTGGTAGTCTCCAGACCACAGTTTGTTTAGCCAAGTTCAAAAACATGCTTTCATTTACTGCTTTTATTCAAGAATGTCAGTACTTTCAGCTGACCTGATGGTTAAGCAGAGTCCTCTGGCCCCATTAGATAATGGCACTTAGATACTGACCCCTCTTTCCACTGGGGTCTCACTGATCTTCTGTGTCAGCATGCTTATTCCAGCTCCCAGGCCTTTGCTCCGGCCATTTCTCTGCCTGTAATGAATGCCTCTCCCTTCTAATCTCTGCCAAGTGAGATCCCATCTACCCTTCAGTATCCAACTCTACTGCTTCCTCTATGAAATTTGCCCCAAACTTGCAGCCAGTATTGCTCCCGTCCTTCCCTGAATTCAGTATTTGTAACCCTCAGTTTGGCTCTGATTATACACTCCGTCCTGGTTTTAGATAACCTTTCTGAAGATATCTGTCTTATTTCTCTGACTAAGGTGTGAGGCCCTGGTGGACAGTGTTAATGTTTCCCACTTTTTCTGCAGTCTAGACGTGGCCCTGCCATTTATTTGCCACATGATCTTAGAAAAATCACTTCCCTTCTCTTGGGTCCTTCATTTGTAAAATGAGTCAAACTAACTTGAGACCTCTGAAGGTCTGTCTGCCTCTAAAATTCCTTGGTTCCATGTGGTTCTGACTGCTACACGTTGCCTAGGACATGGTTGACGTTCAAGAACACACCTAGTAGATTTAATTAAGCTGAAATTTCCAGCAAGGAAAAGCTTTATGTCTCCAGAGAGGCCCGGGATGAATGGCCCTGGGCAAGGCAACACATCATGGCGCAGGAGGGGCTCCTCCTTCCCCATGCCTCCCCCACTTCTCCTAGGTCTGTCCTTGGCATCTGGAATTCGCCATTTCTTCTCAGTACCAGGCCTTCCCTCCTTGCATTCTTTACCAGGAACACAAAGAAAACAAAATATGATGAGGGAAATGTGGGCCCAGGGGTGTGAGAAAGGGGAGAGGGGGAAAGGAAGAGGGGTGGGGAAGGGGAGGACAAGAACAGAACCCGAGGTCATAATCTGGAGGAATCAGACGTTTCAGAAATCATCTGTCACAGCACCCCGGCCACCAGAAGATGTAAATAAATTAAGGTGGTAATTCCATCTCAGATTTGCAGTGATGTGAACAGCCCTTCCAAGCCCGGCTCTCACGGTGTGTGATGTCACCCACATGCCTTGATGGAATTAGAGCCCTAATTTATTTATGGTTGGGGATACGCTATTCCTTATGGCATTGCAATTGTCTTTATTTTATAGGCTGCTTGAAGCAATTTAATATGGTTCGATCCCACAGAGGATGCATACCGACAGAAACTCAACAAGTGAGAGCTGGCTTGCTGAGGGCACCACAGCACCCCCGCCTTGTAGACAGCCTGCTGCCCAGGGCTGTGGCGGGTCTGCCAGAACCAGGGGTTTTCTTCTCATCTCCCTCAGGGAGCAGGGAGCTCTCCCGTGTGATAATGAGCAGCAGTCGCAGTGGCGGCGTTCTTCACAGAGACCTGGCCAGGGCACCTCTTGGAAACCAACCCCCGGCGGGATCAAAGAGGGTCAAACTTCAAGAGGATGACTCCAGGTTCACGGTTGAAGCGGGTCTTTGTTCAAACTATTCCACACCTGAAAAGAGGACCCTAGAGCAAGAAGCGCTGTGGAATAGTGTAAGAATTTGGAGTCAGGAGTCCTGGGTGCAAGTCTTGATTTTGCCACTGTGTTGTCCTGTGCAACTCACTCCACTAAACCTCAGTCCTTATGGGTAAAATGAAAATAATATTATCTACTGCAGAAGGTTGTTGGGATGTCCAGATAACAATGTAGTAAAGTGTTGGTCATCTCTGAGTGCTGCATAGACAGATGGTAGCTTCAGCCTAGGGAGGCAAGTGTGAATGACCTCCTTGTAACACAATCTCACCTCTGGAAGCTCCTGAACTCCCAAGGAAACCCAAACTCAAGACAACGAAGTCCCCTACTGCTACCCTGCATCCCTCGCCCCTGAACCCACGGTCATGATGGGGACTGACTGAGTCCTGACACTGGACTTCTCCCGGCTACAATGCAGGGGGACCTTAGATTCTTTATGGGCCAGGGTTCTCTCCTCCTTTGTAACCTCTCCTTCCACCCCTCTTCCAATAAAACGTAGAAGTAGCGCATGTTTTATTTATTTCGTGGTTTCATACCTTAATTTGTCTTTCTTGAGTGCACCGAAAACACTCATTATGTCTTGGAGAAACACTTCTTTTTAGGCTCCAAGTTTCTAGAATATTCTGAGGTCTCACTGGAGGAAGAAATAATGAAGTGCAGTAAGAACTGTACACTGACAGTTAGAAAACCTACTACATCCTAATTACTATGGGCTGTGGCTATTTAAAGAAATAGTCAAATGAAAAATAAACAAGTAAATAAAGATTACACAACTGTCCGCCTTAGCATACACAGCAATTTCTTCACCTATGAAATGAGAAGTTTTGACCAAATGACTCTGACAGGATAATATTCTTTAGATCTGTAGTGTATTCTATCATAGGCAAATATGTTATATAGGGTCCACTATCTGTAGCAGACACCATTAATTTTTTTTATTGTACTTTAATTCTGGGATACATGTGCAGAACGTGCAGGTTTGTTACATAGGAATACGTGGGCCATGGTGGTTTGCTGCACCTATCAACCCGTCATCTAGGTTTTAAGCCCCACGTGCATTAGGTATTTGTCCTAATGCTCTCCCTCCCTTTGCCTCCCACCTCCCGACAGGCCCTGGACACCACTAATTAACCACGGCACTGTTCTCCTCTGCTTCAAACAATCCCTTCCCAAATCATATTACCACATGAGATGAAGCCCATTTGCCACCCAGGTGTACTCATTCAGTCATCAAGCTATTGTTTAATAACCTTCGTTTTTTCTTCTTTAAACAATTCATTTTTCCATCTCCCCTATTTCCTTACTTTCCCCATGACCATTACCCTGAGGGAAGTTCCATAAGAAAAATACAAAGTTCAGTGGATAAAAATATTTTTGGATGAAGAATGAGGAATGGCATTATGGAAAACGTGGCTCTTGAAATATGATTATTTAAACAATACTAATAACCACTTCCATGTAGCAGAGGGCCTGCCCCATGCCAGGTATTGAGTCTGCCCTTGAACTTACCAAGGCTGACAACAACACTTTCAGGTACAGTACTTGTTATTTTTTCTATCTTACAGATAAAGAAGCTGAGACTCGGAGGAGTTAAATCACTTGCACAGGCCAGGCACAGTGGCTCATGCCTGTAATCCCAGCACTTTGGGAGGCCAAGGCAGGAGGATCACCAGAGATTAAGAGTTCAAGACCAGCCTGACCAATATGGTGAAACTCCGTCTCTACTAAAAATACAAAAATTAGCCAGGTGTGGTGGTATGTGCCTGTAGTCCCAGCCATTTGGGAGGCTGAGCTAGGAGAACTGCTTGAGCCCGGAAGGCAGAGGTTGCAGTGAACTGAGATCATGCCACTGCACTCCAGCCTGGGTGATAGAAGCGAGACTCCATCTCAAAAAAAAATCACTTGCTCAGGGTCACACAGCATGTGAGCGTCAGAGCTGGGACCCATCTTTGAAGCCCATGGTGGATTTTCAACGTAGAAGTAGAGGGAAGGGCAGAAGAGGACATAGAAAAAGGAAAGTATTTAACTGTTAATTTATTTCTCTTTCAATTTTTATTTTAGGTTCAGCGGGTACATGTGCAGGTTTGTTATATGGCTATATTGTGTGCCACTGAGGCTTGATGTATGAATGATCCTATCACCCAGGGAGTGAGCATAGCGCACGATAGGTGGTTTTTCAACCCTTGCCCCCTCCCATCCTCTCCTCTCTGGGAGTTCCCAGTGTCTATTGCTCCCATCCTTATGTCCATGTGTGCTCAGTGTTTAGCTCCCACTTGTAAGTGAGAACATGCGGCATTTGGTTTTCTGGTCCTGTGTTAATTCACTTAGGATAATGGCCTCTAGCTGTATTCATGTTCCTGCAAGGGACATGATTTTTTTTTTTTTAATCACACACACACACACACACACACACACACACACATGCACTATCTTTATCCAGTACATCACTGATGGGCATCTGGGTTGATTCCATGTCTTTGCTATTGTGAATGCTGTTGCAAGTGAATGTGTCTTTTGGTAGAACTAGGTAACTGTTTAAAACATACTGTAATTAATATGCCGTTGGTCCATGCATAATGAGATGAGCACACAGGATAACTGGCCCATTTGAAAGTAGACGTGTGTATCCCAGAGCAGAGAGAGCCACCTAAGGTCATTGAGTACTCACCTAGGCCATGAAGAAGAAGCAAGGAATCCACAAGGAAACTTCTGTAGACTGGAAGCCCAGTGCCTCAACTTCTGCATTCTTGCTACAGAAGGGGGCAGGCCTCAATGCAGGGCTCGTGTGCTGCCTCTGCTAGATGGGTTTGAGGACCAGCAATGGCCAGATGGGCAGGTTCCAGGATGGAAAAAAGGCCCACCATTTCAGGATGCAAAGAAGGATCCTGCCTCTTTGTGGTCAGAGTAGAGAATAGAATGCAGAGAGGTTGGTGGTGTTCTGATGGAACCAGGGATGTGCTAGCTTTAGTAATGTCATTCTCTGATCTCTCCAGGTCAGAAGCTGAGAGGGGTGTCTCATTCAATGGCCCCATAAAGTCCAGCTACTAAGAGGTGAGTTGGTGTGACCAGGTCAGGCTGAGCCAAGTTAGTGGGAGGTAGAGCCTGTTCTGCAAAGTAATTTCCTGAGGCAACTCTGAACATTGTGGGCAGGGGCTGAGGGATAAAGGAGAGTGTGAAATTCCATTGGGAAATGACTGAGCAGGACGACCCCCATAGTGTTCTCTTCCAAATGCCTGAGGGGACAGGGGTGGGGGGGGCAGGGGTGAGTGGTCCCATGAGCAGAGGGTAAAGAAATTGGAGGCTGCTTCCAAACATGTCACTAAGAGCATTTTAGGGTCTTCTGCATGAGGGGCAGAGTCAGAAAATGGCTCATGAATGGCTGACCAGTGTGGATGACTGGCCAGTGGTTGTCTGACATGATGGCTGGTACCCTCCTCTGGGGAAGATGAGAATAAATGGCTTATGTTCCAGTGAAAGAGATTTGAGAGGTATCCTGAGGGTGAGAAGCCTTGTTCCCTGAGGACTCCCCACCCTGGCTCGAGTTTCTGAGGGGCTGCACGCCCCCATCCCTTGAGTAGAACACAAGCATGGACTTTTTTTTTTCCAGGTAGATTTCAGGCCTCTCGAAGGACCTCAGCCCCAAGTCTCTCTTGACTTGGAGATGTGGCAGACCTCGGGTCCATTTCTCTTTCCCACCCCACCCACCCATGCCCTTCCCGTTATTCCTGTGTCCAGGCCCTCCTTGCTGGCCAGCGCTCTCCAGGTAGACATGCCTGCAGGTCTAGCCACTCTGAAGGTTGCTTTGTGTTCACTCTGCACAGAATTCCTGTCTCTTTGCTCATTTATTTGGGATTTATTGAGCATGTCTGCTGTGTTCCATCAGGCAGGCATGTCGTGTGGGCACCCTCGTGTGACACAGGGGGAAGAACAGCCAGAGTGATTGCTTTAAAACTTGAGTCAGATCAAGCCATTCCGCACCCCCGACTCCCAAATTCCCCCACCCCTGCAATCATCTCATGCAGAGCAAAAGCCAGAGTCCTTAGGCGCCTGCGAAGCTTTGCACTCTGTGATCACTCCTGCCCTGCATAGCCTCCCCGACCTCCCCACAGTGTCTCCTCACTCTGCTCAGGCCACACTGGCCTTCTCAGTGTTTCTGCAACTTGCCAGGCACTTCCTTGCCTAAGGGCCTTTGCACCTGAGCCACATCGCTCATCCTTTCACCTCCTCAAGGCCTTTGCTCATATGCCGCCTTCCTAGAAGACCTTCCCAGCCACTGTTGTCAAAAAGTCTCCCCCAAAACCCCTTTTCTTCTAACACTCGCTTCCTTCCTTCTAACACCCCCTTCCCTGCTTTAGTTTTCTCTGTAGCACTTTTCAGCATGTGATGTGCTATATGTTTTTGCTTACTTAATTTGCTGATTGCCTGCATCATGCCACTAGATGTGAGCCACATGAGGGCAGAGATTATTGCCTGTTTTCGTTCAGTACAACAGTTGTTGAGCTGTATAACTAGTTGTTGAGCTGGAGACTTCGGCTGTGATCCTGAATAAGGCATTAACTAACGATGTGTTATTGGGCCAATCAGTTCCCCTCCCTGGGCCTCATTTTAAAATGACACATGGAATAGGTAACTCCCCTGCGTTCCTTCCCACTACAGGGTTGGTCCTGTGAGAAGCCACAGAAAGCCCTTGTCTTTAGGGAACCTGGAATCTGACTAAAGAAGCTCAAGACAGAACATACTAGTCTGTAAATGTGTTGCACAGACATTGAATGTCAGGGTGGGGTGGGTGGGGGGCGGCGGTGAGCTGGGGAGGCCAGTGAGCTGGGGGCTAGGGGCTCAGGGCTCAGGCCAAATCGCACAGAAGCCTCTGATTGGGAGCCAGGTCAGACTCTGACTTGTGCTTGTGAGCTCTTCCCCAGGCCCACAGCCATCGGTGGCCTCTCCCGCTTCTCACAGTTGGGCGAGGGGCCCAGGTTGGGTGATGGGGGAGTTGAGAGAGGGAGCTGCCTGCTCAGAGACCCCACCCTTCATGAGTGCCAATGGCTTCCCTGCCTCTTTCGGCCACAGAGATGCTAACCTGCAGGCCCCAGTGGTGGCTCAGCCCACATCTTGAACTCATTTTCCAGCATGAGGGTGTCTGGTTTTATGTCACAGTCCAAGGCACGTGTTTACTCAGCTTCTCTGCTCCCCAGCCCAAGGAGAGATAACTGAACTTGATGGATAACCACTAATTGGATCATTACCTTCATTTCGAAATGATTGCTCCTAGCCACTGGGGGCATTAGTTCCAAGCTGGGGCCCTGCAATCCGGCATGCTCCATCAGCCCAGACCCCAGCAGGATTGTAACCCCACAAGGGCTCACAGCTGTGCTCCTGTCTAACTATAACCTCTAACCAGCCCCCTCCCTACGCTCTCCCAACTCAGTGTCCAGCTGGTCATTGTGCACCTTGCCCCCACCGACTCTCTCCTCTGGAGTGCCCTCTCTGTTGCCAGGGCTCCCAGGAACACCAGTTCCCACCACACCCTCCTCTCTGGCTACCTCTCTGTTCTCTGATTGTCTGATAGGCGTATAGTTTGCCTCTCCAGACAGAGAACAGGGTCCTTGAAGGCAGGGCAACCTCTCTTCTTCCAGATGCTCCTTGTATTGCTGACACTGGGCTGGGCACACAGTGGTGGCTGTTGGTTGATTGATGTTATGAGGCAGGAGGGAAGGGCCGGAAGGGAGTGCGATTGATTCCAGCTGAAAATGGGGAGGCAGGGGCAGGCAGAGGGTAATGATGACTCGGGGTGGGGGCAGGTGGGTCAGGAGCTCCGAAGGACCCACCCCCACCCCCACCCCCACCCTACCCTTGTGACTCTGACCTGGGAGCCTGAGTTTAAAAAAAATAGTTTATAGAAGAATCCCTCTGAGAGTGGTTAAATAAATTACCATAACTCCTGAGATGAAATATTACAGCCATTAAAAATGTCTCGAAGGATATTTAATGATCACACTAAATGAGTGAAAAAAAGTTACAAAAAGTAATGCACAATATGATTCCATTCAAAGATGTTGCTAAACACACTTATAGACAAATAGCAGGTGGTATTTATTGAGCTCTTACTGCAAGCCCTGCATTGTGCCACGGGTGTCCTGCGTATCATCTCATGCAGTCTTCATATCAATCCCAGGAGCTGGGTTGTTTCTTTATCCCCATTTTACATGCGTGGAAACTGAGGCCCAGAAGTGAGGTGATTTTCCCAAGGTCATACAGCATAATCGGTCTCCCTTAGTGCTGAAGTTTGGACAGGTTAAAGTCTTTGAGCTCTGAACTTCTTATGCTGTCAGGAGGTCCCTTAGGCAAGAGGAATCAGGTCAAAACGGTGTCAAAACCATGTGGTAGGGAGAGTAGCCAGAGGGCATGTGCACCTGCTCTGTGCGCTGAGGGCCCTGGAGCCCAAGACCACATTTTTCAACATTTCCCACCAAGGGCTACCAGGGAGAGCTCGAGCAGTGAAACAACCTCCTGGAGAAAGGGCATGCTTACCCCAAACAGTGTTATCCTGGGGTTAAACAGTGTTATTGACTGGGGGTAGGGAGATTGGGGCAGGGAGATGGAGTCTGTTCTGTGTTCTGGCCTTCCATGGCCTCCTGAGATGTTGCATAAATCTGGCCATCCTGGGACTGGGAGGTGGGACAGGGGTGGGGTGATGAGGGTGGGGAAGTGTCATCTGAGGGAGAGGGTCAGAGAGTCCACTTACAGTTTTCCAGGCAGCTCCCTGACTTTGAAGAGGGACATTGGGATGAAAAATAAAGCTACAGTATCCCTGCACTCACAGTGCCTGCTGCTGCTGATGGTGGGGTTTGGTAGCACAGTGGATCCTTGAACATCAGGGTTTGAACTGCATGGGTCCAATCATATGCAATTTTTTTAACCAAACATGAATGGAAAACATTGTATTCAAGGGATGTGAAACCTGTGTATATGAAGGGCTGACTTTCTGTACACTTGGGTTCCACAGGGCTGACTGCAGGTCTTGAGTATGTGTGAATTTTGTTATATGTGGGAGTCCTGGAACCCATCCCCCACACATACTGAGGGACAACTATATGAATCAGCCTGTCTTGATTGCCTACTAATTGAGTATCTGGTGTGTGTGTGTGTGTGTGTGTGTGTACCTGTGTGTGGGCACATGTTTGTGTGTGTGTGTTTGAGGCATGAAGAGAAGGCATGACTCCACTCTGGGAATAAGACTGATCCAGGAGGGAACTGTTCACAGTAAACTTGAAAGGCTGGATGCCACACTCTGTTACAAGCAAGGGAGACAAGAGCTGCTTATCTGCCTAAACTCATGTTGAAATTTAATTGCTATAGTAACACTGTTAAGAGGTGGAACATTTAAGATGTGATTAAGTCATGAGGGATCTGACCTCTTGGGTGGGATTAATGTCTTTATAAAAGGGCAAGTTCAGCCCCCTTTTTCCTCTTTGCTCTTCTGCCTTCCACCATGCGAGGATGCAGTGTTTGAGGCACCATCTTAGAGTCAGAATTGCCAACCCTGCTGGTGGCTTGATCTTGGACTTCCCAGACTCCAGAACTGTGAGCCAATAGTTTCTGTTCATTATAAATTACCCAGTCTTGAATTTTTTTCTTAGAGCAACACGAAACAGACTAAGACATGTGCCCTCAGATGTAGAAGGATATGTTGTGAAGACTGACATAAGTTTGAATACTGGGCAAATTGGCCAACTCCTTCCACTGAGTTACTCGCCTTCCACCTCTCCCCACCTCCTCTCTTCTTTTTTATTCCCCTCTTCCCTCAACTTCAACCTATGGGGAAGCAGTCCTCTTATTCTGCCCTGTACATGGTGTTGTTTTTCTTTTGGGGGAGGCCTCAGGGAGGGCCTAGGGAAACTGGGAGGTGGCATTTGCTTGTATTGAACACCTACTATGGGCAGGCCTTTGTGTTAGGCATGCCTGTGGGGGACAGAAGGTGAGTAAGTCATGGTCCTGGTCTTCATGGAGCTCATGAGTGGCACAGCAGAACCACAAGGCTTAAGGTGATGGAGTGTAGGGCTTGTGGGTAGGTGTGGGGAGGACTCAGAGATGGCAATAAGGCCCCACGCCTGGGGACTGAGTGCCTGAGCAGGGGTAGGGAGTTTGGTGGATGGGGGACAAGGATGAGGATAAGATGATGATTTTGGGGAAAGTGGGTCAGGGTTTGCCTAGGCTGACTTTTGAGGGTGAGCAAGCATCACCCATGGTTAGGCAAAACAAGATGGCAATAAAAACTTCTGTCCAAGCCCCTGGAATGCTTAATGTTTCTCATGGACCCTGGTATGGTCTGGCCAGGTAAGGATGCAGTCTGACATCTATTAATAACTAATCCTCTGCTTCCCCTGCCCCATCCTTCCCTGATATCTGACCGTCTACCCTGGAATTCTTCAGTTATTTACCATGGGGCCCTGTGGGAAGCATCCAGAATGCCAGCACACCCAGGATGCCCACCCAGGTGGGGTGCTGAGAGCAGCGGGAGGCTCTGTGGACTGACCTAGTAGTGGTCTTTGCTCTTCCCCACTGAGGAGTTGCCCCCTGGGTGTGAGGAGAATGAACATGGAATGGCTCAGCCTAAACAGGTCTGATTTCGATGGCCCCTTGGGCCCATTTGATGTGGCCCAGTGCTGAGTAGTGCCCACTTCCTCATGTCCTCTGACATGGCCTGCCCTTCTGGATCCTGGGTTTTTTCCCCTCGTCCTGACATTGCCTTCCTCCTTTCCTCAGAAATCTTGCGCCCAGGAAGAATTAGTTCATTTCTGGAGTAGGCCCCATGGACTTTGTATACAAACTTTGATGATAGCTTCTCTGAATTCTCCAGCCTGTTTCAGCTGCAGAAAACCAGTCACTTCCAGTTTCCATACTCTCCTTCAGGCAGCATAGTCCCCCCTCTGTTAAGTGGTCCCCTTAACATTGCTTTACTGGGATGATCCTAATTTTTGGCATGACTCTAACCTTGTTGACCAAGGTGCCAGTTCCCCATTACACAAAGTCTCTTTAGCCCTTTTCTCTCCCTCTCCCAGCTCTTTCTTGGTACCCATCTGGAGAAAGGAGGGAAAAACACTCAATATATGTCAGACAATGAGCTGGGTGTTTGACCATTTTTTTTTTCTCATTTAAGCCTCTCAATATCTCTCCTATGTATTGTTATGCTTTTTCACATAGAGAAGGAATCTGAGTTTCAGACAGGTTATCTCAGTTTCCCAGGATCTTAAGGGTGGTGAGACCAAGCAGGATTAGAAACGCATCTCTCCAGCTCCAGAGTTTCTGCTTGTTTTTTTTTTTTTTTTATTATACTTCAACTTTTAGGGTACATGTGCACATTGTGCAGGTTAGTTACATATGTATACATGTGCCATACTGGTGCGCTGCACCCACTAACTCGTCATCTAGCATTAGGTATATCTCCCAGTGCTATCCCTCCTCCCTCCCCCCACCCCACCACAGTCCCCAGAGTGTGATATTCCCCTTCCTGTGTCCATGTGATCTCATTGTTCAATTCCCACCTATGAGTGAGAATATGCGGTGTTTGGTTTTTTGTTCTTGCGATAGTTTACTGAGAATGATGATTTCCAATTTCATCCATGTCCCTACAAAGGACATGAACTCATCATTTTTTATGGCTGCATAGTATTCCATGGTGTATATGTGCCACATTTTCTTAATCCAGTCTATCATTGTTGGACATTTGGGTTGGTTCCAAGTCTTTGCTATTGTGAATAATGCCGCAATAAACATACGTGTGCATGTGTCTTTATAGCAGCAAGATTTATAGTCCTTTGGGTATATACCCAGAAATGGGATGGCTGGGTCAAATGGTATTTCTAGTTCTAGATCCCTGAGGAATCGCCACACTGACTTCCACAAGGGTTGAACTAGCTTACAGTCCCACCAACAGTGTAAAAGTGTTCCTATTTCTCCACATCCTCTCCAGCACCTGTTGTTTCCTGACTTTTTAATGATTGCCATTCTAACTGGTGTGAGATGGTATCTCATTGTGGTTTTGATTTGCATTTCTCTGATGGCCAGTGATGATGAGCATTTTTTCATGTGGTTTTTGGCTGCATAAATGTCTTCTCTTGAGAAGTGTCTGTTCATGTCCTTTGCCCACTTTTTGATGGGGTTGTTTTTTTTTCGTAAATTTGTTTGAGTTCATTGTAGATTCTGGATATTAGCCCTTTGTCAGATGAGTAGGTTGCGAAAATTTTCTCCCATTTTGTAGGTTGCCTGTTCACTCTGATGGTAGTTTCTTTTGCTGTGCAGAAGCTCTTTAGTTTAATTAGATCCCATTTGTCAATTTTGGCTTTTGTTGCCATTGCTGTTGGTGTTTTGGACATGAAGTCCTTGCCCATGCCTATGTCCTGAATGGTGATGCCTAGGTTTTCTTCTAGGGTTTTTATGGTTTTAGGTCTAACGTTTAAGTCTTTAATCCATCTTGAATTGATTTTTGTATAAGGTGTAAGGAGGGGATCCAGTTTCAGCTTTCTACATATGGCTAGCCAGTTTTCCCAGCACCATTTATTAAATAGGGAATCCTTTCCCCATTGCTTGTTTTTCTCGGGTTTGTCAAAGATCAGACAGTTGTAGATATGCGGCGTTATTTCTGAGGGCTCTGTTCTGTTCCATTGATCTATATCTCTGTTTTGGTACCAGTACCATGCTGTTTTGGTTACTGTAGCCTTGTAGTATAGTTTGAAGTCAGGTAGTGTGATGCCTCCAGCTTTGTTCTTTTGGCTTAGGGTTGCCTTGGCGATGCGGGCTCTTTTTTGGTTCCATATGAACTTTAAAGTAGTTTTTTCCAATTCTGTGAAGAAAGTCATTGGTAGCTTGATGGGGATGGCATTGAATCTGTAAATTACCTTGGGCAGTATGGCCATTTTCACGATATTGATTCTTCCTACCCATGAGCATGGAATGTTCTTCCATTTGTTTGTATCCTCTTTTATTTCCTTGAGCAGTGGTTTGTAGTTCTCCTTGAAGAGGTCCTTCACATCCCTTGTAAGTTGGATTCCTAGGTATTTTCTTCTCTTTGAAGCAATTGTGAATGGGAGTTCACTCATGATTTGGCTCTCTGTTTGTCTGTTATTGGTGTATAAGAATGCTTGTGATTTTTGTACATTGATTTTGTATCCTGAGACTTTGCTGAAGTTGCTTATCAGCTTAAGGAGATTTTGGGCTGAGACAATGGGGTTTTCTAGATATACAATCATGTCGTCTGCAAACAGGGACAATTTGACTTCCTCTTTTCCTAATTGAATACCCTTTATTTCCTTCTCCTGCCTAATTGCCCTGTCCAGAACTTCCAACACTATGTTGAATAGGAGTGGTGAGAGAGGGCATCCCTGTCTTGTGCCAGTTTTCAAAGGGAATGCTTCCAGTTTTTGCCCATTCAGTATGATATTGGCTGTGGGTTTGTCATAGATAGCTCTTATTATTTTGAAATACGTCCCATCAATACCTAATTTATTGAGAGTTTTTAGCATGAAGGGTTGTTGAATTTTGTCAAAGGCTTTTTCTGCATCTATTGAGATAATCATGTGGTTTTTGTCTTTGGCTCTGTTTATATGCTGGATTACATTTATTGATTTGCATATATTGAACCAGCCTTGCATCCCAGGGATGAAGCCCACTTGACCATGGTGGATAAGCTTTTTGATGTGCTGCTGGATTCGTTTTGCCAGTATTTTATTGAGGATTTTTGCATCAATGTTCATCAAGGAGATTGGTCTAAAATTCTCTTTTTTGGTTGTGTCTCTGCCCGGCTTTGGTATCAGAATGATGCTGGCCTCATAAAATGAGTTAGGGAGGATTCCCTCTTTTTCTATTGATTGGAATAGTTTCAGAAGGAATGGTACCAGTTCCTCCTTGTACCTCTGATAGAATTCAGCTGTGAATCTCTCTGGTCCTGGACTCTTTTTGGTTGGTAAACTATTGGATTATTGCCACAATTTCAGCTCCTGTTATTGGTCTATTCAGAGATTCAACTTCTTCCTGGTTTAGTCTTGGGAGAGTGTATGTGTTGAGGAATTCATCCATTTCTTCTAGATTTTCTAGTTTATTTGCGTAGAGGTGTTTGTAGTATTCTCTGATGGTAGTTTGTATTTCTGTGGGATCGGTGGTGATATCCCCTTTATCATTTTTTATTGCGTCTATTTGATTCTTCTTTTTTTCTTTATTAGTCTTGCTAGCGGTCTATCAATTTTGTTGATCCTTTCAAAAAACCAGCTCCTGGATTCATTAATTTTTTGAAGGGGTTTTTGTGTCTCTATTTCCTTCAGTTCTGCTCTGATTTTAGTTATTTCTTGCCTTCTGCTAGTTTTTGAATGTGTTTGCTCTTGCTTTTCTAGTTCTTTTAATTGTGATGTTAGGGTGTCAATTTTGGATCTTTCCTGCTGTCTCTTGTGGGCATTTAGTGCTATAAATTTCCCTCTACACACTGCTTTGAATGCGTCCCAGAGATTCTGGTATGTTGTGTCTTTGTTCTCGTTGGTTTCAAAGAACAACTTTATTTCTGCCTTCATTTCGTTATGTATCCAGTAGTCATTCAGGAGCAGATTGTTCAGTTTCCATGTAGTTGAGCGGTTTTGAGTGAGATTCTTAATCCTGAGTTCTAGTTTGATTGCACTGTGGTCTGAGAGATAGTTCGTTATAATTTCTGTTCTTTTACATTTGCTGAGGAGAGCTTTACTTCCAAGTATGTGGTCAATTTTGGAATAGGTGTGGTGTGGTGCTGAAAAAAATGTATATTCTGTTGATTTGGGGTGGAGAGTTCTGTAGATGTCTATTAGGTCCGCTTGGTGCAGAGCTGAGTTCAATTCCTGGGTATCCTTGTTGACTTTCTGTCTCGTTGATCTGTCTAATGTTGACAGTGGGGTGTTAAAGTCTCCCATTATTAATGTGTGGGAGTCTAAGTCTCTTTGTAGGTCACTGAGGACTTGCTTTATGAATCTGGGTGCTCCTGTATTGGGTGCATATATATTTAGGATAGTTAGCTCTTCTTGTTGAATTGATCCCTTTACCATTATGTAATGGCCTTCTTTGTCTCTTTTGATCTTTGTTGGTTGAAAGTCTGTTTTATCAGAGACTAGGATTGCAACCCCTGCCTTTTTTTGTTTTCCATTTGCTTGGTAGATCTTCCTCCATCCTTTTATTTTGAGCCTATGTGTGTCTCTGCACATGAGATGGGTTTCCTGAATACAGCACACTGATGGGTCTTGACTCTTTATCCAATTTGCCAGTCTGTGTCTTTTAATTGGAGCATTTAGTCCATTTACATTTAAAGTTAATATTGTTATGTGTGAATTTGATCCTGTCATTATGATGTTAGCTGGTGATTTTGCACGTTAGTTGATGCAGTTTCTTCCTAGTCTCGATGGTCTTTACATTTTGGCATGATTTTGCAGCGGCTGGTACCGGTTGTTCCTTTCCATGTTTAGCGCTTCCTTCAGGAGCTCTTTTAGGCAGGCCTGGTGGTGACAAAATCTCTCAGCATTTGCTTGTCTGTAAAGTATTTTATTTCTCCTTCACTTATGAAGCTTAGTTTGGCTGGATATGAAATTCTGGGTTGAAAATTCTTTTCTTTAAGAATGTTGAATATTGGCCCCCACTCTCTTCTGGCTTGTAGAGTTTCTGCCGAGAGATCCGCTGTTTGTTAGTCTGATGGGCTTCCCTTTGAGGGTAACCCGACCTTTCTCTCTGGCTGCCCTTAACATTTTTTCCTTCATTTCAACTTTGGTGAATCTGACAATTATGTGTCTTGGAGTTGCTCTTCTCGAGGAGTATCTTTGTGGCGTTCTCTGTATTTCCTGAATCTGAACGTTGGCCTGCCTTGCTAGATTGGGGAAGTTCTCCTGGATAATATCCTGCAGAGTGTTTTCCAACTTGGTTCCATTCTCCCCATCACTTTCAGGTACACCAATCAGACGTAGATTTGGTCTTTTCACATAGTCCCATATTTCTTGGAGGCTTTGCTCGTTTCTTTTTATTCTTTTTTCTCTAAACTTCCCTTCTCGCTTCATTTCATTCATTTCATCTTCCCTCGCTGATACCCTTTCTTCCAGTTGATCGCATCGGCTCCTGAGGCTTCTGCATTCTTCACGTAGTTCTCGAGCCTTGGTTTTCAGCTCCATCAGCTCCTTTAAGCACTTCTCTGTATTGGTTATTCTAGTTATACATTCTTCTAAATTTTTTTTCAAAGTTTTCAACTTCTTTGCCTTTGGTTTGAATGTCCTCCCGTAGCTCAGAGTAATTTGATCGTCTGAAGCCTTCTTCTCTCAGCTAGTCAAAGTCATTCTCCATCCAGCTTTGTTCCGTTGCTGGTGAGGAACTGCGTTCCTTTGGAGGAGGAGAGGCGCTCTGCATTTTAGAGTTTCCAGTTTTTCTGTTCTGTTTTTCCCCATCTTTGTGGTTTTATCTACTTTTGGTCTTTGATGATGGTGATGTACAGATGGGTTTTTGGTGTGGATGTCCTTTCTGTTTGTTAGTTTTCCTTCTAACAGACAGGACCCTCAGCTGCAGGTCTGTTGGAATACCCTGCCGTGTGAGGTGTCAGTGTGCCCCTGCTGGGGGGTGCCTCCCAGTTAGGCTGCTCCGGGGTCAGGGGTCAGGGACCCACTTGAGGAGGCAGTCTGCCCGTTCTCAGATCTCCAGCTGCGTGCTGGGAGAACCACTGCTCTCTTCAAAGCTGTCAGACAGGGACATTTAAGTCTGCAGAGGTTGCTGCTGTCTTTTTGTTTGTCTGTGCCCTGCCCCCAGAGGTGGAGCCTACAGAGGCAGGCAGGCCTCCTTGAGCTGTGGTGGGCTCCACCCAGTTCGAGCTTCCTGGCTGCTTTGTTTAACTAAGCAAGCCTGGGCAATGGAGGGCGCCCCTCCCCCAGCCTCGCTGCCACCTTGCAGTTTGATCTCAGACTGCTGTGCTAGCAATCAGAGAGACTCCGTGGGCGTAGGACCCTCCGAGCCATGTGCGGGATATAATCTCGTGGTGCGCCGTTTTTTAAGCCGGTCCGAAAAGCGCAATATTCGGGTGGGAGTGACCCGATTTTCCAGGTGCGTCCGTCACCCCTTTCTTTGACTCAGAAAGGGAACTCCCTGACCCCTTGTGCTTCCCAAGCGAGGCAATGCCTCGCCCTGCTTCGGCTCGCGCACGGTGCGCGCACCCACTGACCTGCGCCCAGTGTCTGGCACTCCCTAGTGAGATGAACCCGGTACCTCAGATGGAAATGCAGAAATCACCCGTCTTCTGCGGCGCTCACGCTGGGAGCTGTAGACTAGAGCTGTTCCTATTTGGCCATCTTGGCTCCTCCCCCCTCTGCTTGGTTTTTGTTATGGGTTGAACTCTATCTCCCAAAAAGAAATGTTGAAGTCTTAACCCTAGTACCTATGAAAGTGACCTTCATCAGAATTAGGGTCTTTGCAGATGTAATCAAGTTACCATGCAGTCATACCGGATTAAGGGTAAGCCCTAATCCTATCACTGATGTCCTTATAAGAAGAGAAAGTTTAGACACCAGAGCCAGAGGCACAGGGAGAATACCGTGCGAAAATAGAGGCAGAGATTGGTGCGATGCCTCTACAAGCTGAGAAATGCCTAGGATTGCTGGCAGCCACCAGATACTGGGGGAGAGGCATGGGACGGATGCTCTTTCTGAGCACCCAGATGAAACTGCCCCAACCAACAGCTTTATTTTGGACTTCTTGCCTCTGGAACTGTGAGAGAATAAATTCCTGTTGTCATAACCCACCCGGTTTGTGGTAATTTGTTATGGCAGCCCTGGGAAAATAATACAGTTTCCTATCCCTCACTGTATTAGTCAGGGTATATATACATATACATATAATCAGGGTATATATACATATACATGTACATATATACACATATACCCTGACTAATACTTAATAAACTCCATATATATATATATAAGTACTTAACAAACTCTATAGATATATACATGGAGTTTGTTAAGTATTAGCTTACATGATCACAAGGTCCCACAATAGGCTGTCTGCAAGCTTGAGGAGCAAGGAGAGCCAGTCCAAGTCTCAAAACTGAAGCACTTGAAGTCTGATGTTTGAAGGTGGGAGGCATCCAGCATGGGAGAAAGATGTAGGCTGGGAGGCTAGGCCAGTCTCGCCTTTTCACTTTTTTCTGTCTGCTTTATATTCACTGGCAGCTGATTAGATTGTGCCCACCAGATTAAGGGTGGGTCTGCCTTTCCCAACCCAGTGACTCAAATGTTAATCTCCTGAGGCATTGCCCTCACAGACACACCCAGGATCAATACTTTGCATTCTTCAATCCAATCAAGTTGACTCTCAGTATTATTAACCATCACACTCAATTTATTGTAAGAAGAATGTTTCTTTTTCCTGGACTAAACAGGGGACTCCTTCAGAAATCCACTGGTTTCTTCTCTCTGGGACCCACCTGGATTTGGTTAAGAGGGTATTGTATGAATCCATCATGAGGCAAGAGAGGACAGTGGATAAAGAAATGACCTATTCTTGAGGCCACCAGAAAAGACTTATGGAGGCAGAAGCATGGCAGAAAACAGAACTTGGAAATGTAGGATAAAGAGCTAATTTGAGGAAGATGGGAGAACAGTGCGTGTCAAAGCACTTGGCATGATAAAGCATGGTGCCTATCACATTGTAGATGCACAATTAATGTCAGTAACAGAACGTTAAAGAGTGCAAGATGCCTTAAAAGCAGTGTAAACCATCCTATTGCATATGAACTGCTGTACATTTGCTGGATACAAGTTTTAGGCAAGAGCATTGTTACCTAAATTGGTTTGAGTGAATTGTCAAAGGTATACATCTGATGCATTGGGGGAAACCGAGGTTCTGGCCTCAGAAATCTGAGTTCTGGCTTTGACTCTGTTGGCTCCTATTTGTGTGACCTTGGGACCTCATTTGCAAAGTGGAGATAATAACTTTCTTTTTCTTTGTGGAATTGTGGAGATGAAATGAAATGACAAAGAATTTGAAAGTTCAAAGCATAATATGAACATTAACTGCAACGCACAATGTGAACATAAAGGATTATTATTGTTGTTGTTATCCATTTGCCAGTCTCTTTACTGCTCTGTGAATGCCCCATAACCATTTGAGCCTTTGCTCATGGTCTCTTTACGCACTTGGAAGTCTCTCTGTGTAAAGTTAGGATTAGGTTTAGATACAGTTAACAAAAAACTCAAAATGACAGTGGTGTGTTTCTCTCCCATATGCTAGTCTAGATGCACTCCAGGGCTGGTAAGGGTGACCCAGGATTCTTCTATCTTGATGTTCTGGTGTGCGTGGTTGCCATTTCCAAGGTCACCTTATGGCCCAAGATAGCTGCTGGACCTGCAGCCATTACAGCCGTATTTTAGCAAGGAGAAAGGAAAGACAGATGGCAGGCTTCCTGTCTTTAAGGACATTCTCTGGGAGTTACATATGCCATTTAAAAATATATCTCATTGGTCAGAACTTCATCATGTGAACACATCTAAGTTCTGGAGAAACTGGCAAAAATGGTTTTTATTCGGAGTGGTCATGTGCCCAGCTAAAAATCAGGGTTCTAATTCATAATCATACTTCAAAATCAAATTCAGTTTATCTGCAAAATAGTTTGTATTAGGCAAATAAAGAGCTCGTCCATAGTACGGTTTCATTATGCTAGTAAATGAGTGAAACGCTTTACATGGATGATCTCATTTAACCTGCAGCCCGGACCTGTGGGCTAGGCACCATCATTGTCTCAGTGTTCTAGATGAGGACCTATGGCTCAGAGTTGTAAAATGTCACTGCTTAGGTTTCCTGTGAAGCAACAACTCTGAGATGGAAATTAGCAATGAGTAGGCAGGATGTGTATTAGAGAGTGCTTTGGGGGATTAATACCTGCAAAAAGGAGGAGGGCATGGAAACAGGATAGGGCAGAGGGAAAAGCTGAGTTTCCGTTCATTTCAAGTAAGGGTCTCAGCTGACTCCCCAGGGACCTCTGGAGCTAGGATTGCCTTGCAGAGTTGTTCCAAGGCACTAGAGGGATCCCTCTGCTGATCACTCATTGGACACAAGCTGTCCTGGAAGGGAGCCTGACCCTGGGCAAATCACTCTCTCGGGCTGAGGCAATCCTTGTAGGAGGCTGACAGCTGAGGACTTTCTGCAGGCAGCTCTCCTGATGGCTACAAATTTAAGTCCTTCCTTCTTGAAACAAAATCCTGTAGGGATCAGAGAGCCCCCCCACATGAAGCCATTTGACTAAGCTTGCACTAAGTAGCAGGTGACAGAGCTGGGACTAGTACCCAGGACATGTGACCCCAGCAGTTGGGATCTTCCTGCTGTGCTGAGGCTTGCGGCAGTTAAACAGCTTGCTGAAAGTCACCGCTAGCAAGTCAAATCCATAATCCCAGCACCCTCCTGTGGGTTCTAAATCAGTTTACTATATCGTCTCCCTAGAGTCTCTGTTGGTACTTTCTCATGGGAAATCTCCCCTGTTTCCTGTGTTGCATCTTCTTTCTTCTCTCTAAACAAGGTCTGGCAGTTAATAGAGCTCTGGTCTCCTAGGGGCTCAGCCCTCTACCAGGTGGAATGGAGTTCTGAGGACATGATCCTGCCCCAGCAGGGTTGCAGGCCACTTGGTGAGCCGAGGTTATCACCCACTGCAATGTTGGCGATTGCGGCAGACAGAGGAGTACTGGGTACTGCCTTGTGAGTCATGTCTGGATGTGCCGTGGGGTTCAGAGGAAGGAAAGGTTCCCCGAGGCTGGATGAGAAGATTTGTGCTCATGCCAGCTCCACCCCCGCTCTCACCACACAGACTCCAGAGGCTGGAGCCATATTTCTCCTCTTTCAGAACCCATCAAGTGCTCAATAAGTGGGAAGGGATTTTAGAAACTTAGAACTGGAAGAAGATGGTCAAGTTTCTTAACTGAGAGATAGGAAAATAGAGGCCCAGAAAGCAGCATGGCTTGCCCAAGGGAACACAGCCAGGTGGCAGTAGCATGGCTGGCTTGAGAACCTGGGTTTCCCAACTCCCAGCTTCTCCACCACCATGAGCTGCCCCTGCTGAACAAGGACCATTCAGATGGGCTGGACACAGACTCCAGGCTGGTCCCTGCTTTCAGACATTCTCAGCAAAGCACTCAGGATCATCACTGTCACAATGAAGAGAGAAACAAAACACCGAATTGTAACTAGATGGCCTGTGGAAACACTCCACAGAACTCTGTAACTGATTTCTACCAGGCCCAGCTGCCTCCTTGTTAGTCCAAGGCAATTGCTCCAACAAAGGGGGATGGGGGGGAAGAGTAAAAATGTTCTATTTTGGGCTTATCACCTGGGACTTTCGACCATGGCGAGTCTGCAGAGAAGATTTAGGAATGATTCTATAGGAAGCCAGAGTGTGATAATCTTTAGATCGACAGTTCAATATGCAGAAAGCTCTTGCCTACCGCCCAAGAGAGGCTTCCTAATACACTGTAACCTGCATCTTCCTCCTAAAACATCTTAGCTCCATGAAGCAATAAAACAGTCTGGCCTAAGTTACTGAGCTTCTTTGAAGTCCCAGAGAGGCCCATAAATAAGGTAGGTACTTTGGAAGGGGGGGGCACTCATTTTGAGGGGTCCCTACGCAACTCTTTCAGAGCCACATTGATTTGTAGCTGCCTCTAAGTCAATTTCCTGGGGCTCATAAATCTTGATTCGAGCAAAACTAAAATGCCATCAATATTTATTTGATGCATTTATTGTCACTCCACAGAAAAAAAAATAAAAAGTCAGCATTCTCATCCGCCACCCCGGAGAAGGTATGGAACATAGCCATCCCTGGCTCCTCACAGACCATTTCGTTGTGAACCATAAACCCCACCCAGGTAACAAATGTACCATTTCATGGTCAGCAAGAGCGGTAACTGTCACTGGAGAAATAAAACTGAGTTATTGTTTCCAGTTTCCAAAGAACAGCAACAAGTATAAAAAAAAAAACCTGTATGTGATCCCTGTCCTCTTCCCCTCAAGACACCTGCAGCCGTCTAATGTTTCACTGAATCCTGCCACATAAATGCATAGCTTCACTCACTAATCCATATGGCTCCAGAGACCACTGTTACATGAGAACTTAAACTGATGGGGCCAGGCAGCCCAGGGCAGCTTAATCTTTTTTAATTCAAATCGACTGAGTCCCATGTGGCCCGGAGATGATACCCTATATGCTGCAATCAGACTGACCTAGACTTCTTGTGCTCTAAATGATTAATGAAACTGCCTCGAGTTTGTTTCTATGGTGACTGGAAACCCGACCCGGACAGAGGAATCTGCCATTCACGGTGAATGGAACGGAAAGAGGGGAACAGGGGGACCCTGGCTGCTGGTGCTGGTCTTGAAGAGAAGATGCCCAAATGCCTCAACTCCTCCCCCAGGCCGCTGCTGTGGGTTCAGAAATTGCAGTGAGGGGAGAGGAAGAAAATGGCCCTCCTAGGGAAGTTTTAACTCAACAAAACTGCAGAATTATTTTATTCTCCCAAAGTATTCCTAAAGCAAATGACCAAAGAAGAATTGAGGGAAGTTAGTATTTAATTCACATTTGGTTTCCTAAAATAAATACATGAGTAACTTAAAGAAAACAAAACCATAAAATCTTTGATTCCTTCTTTAGAATGAATGGTTTTTGTCTACTATGAACATGACAAGAGCTGCTGAGTATTTCGCATGACCTGTGCACTCTCTGGTTCTATGTAGTTTTATTTGTTTCCCCTCCTTATTTAACATAGGCTGAATTTGGGCTTCATGCAGCAAAACTTTGCTGTCAGAACTGTCAGAGGCCAGCTGAGCAGAACTTGGGGGGAATTACATGCAGCTGGTGGAGAAGCAATGGATGTGAAGAGTTTGTGCCAAGGGTTACCTGCTGCCATCCACCTGGCACGACAGTTGGGTCCTGCTTCAGGATGGAGTTGATCCTAGCTTTCTCAGCAGAGCCTCCAAACCCTGCCAGGTGCCCAAGTGCCACAAAATACGGAACCTTTAGAGAGGTCTCATACAGGGACCACCAAAGGACAAATGTGAACATCTGAAATCTGATGCCTCGTCCAATTGCTATTGACCGAGGGATGGTGAGTATGGGAGTTCATGGGGGCATCCTTTCCTGCTTTCTTCCCTCCTGCTCACCTACCTTTCTTCATTTGATCTCTAGCTACTTCCTTCAACACTCAGTCCCCCTGCACATCAGCCTGTGATGCCTTGTATTTCCCATAGAAGAAATTCCAGACTTTTGTAAGACACATGCAGGTACCTACGAGGTTCTGCCCACCTTCCATCCCAGCTTCGTCTCCCACTCATCTCTGCTGACTGACTGTTCACTGCCTGACCTATGTCCATGACTTGCCAGTTCTCTGCCTTTGCTTGCACTGTTCCCTCTGTCTGCAATGCCTTCCCCATCTCCATCTGTTGGAATGCTCCTTTTCCCCACGTTCCAGCTCTGATGCCATCTCCACAACAGGCATCTCAGCTCCTCAGGCACAGGGTCTCTTCCCTGCCTCTCTTCCCCACTGTGGTATCTTTTATAATAAACAGTACCCCTGACTCTGCCTTGCATGATGGGAAATCTTGTTCTTGGTCACAGAGCTCGGCACATAGCACGTGCTCAATCTGTGTTTGCCAACTTGAATTTCTATTTCCAACCTTACTTCTAGCTGGTAGGGTCATCTGGCCACACTATCTGTTATCCCCATGATGGTCACTGCTTGCTGTCCCTGAGTCAACAAAGGCTTCAGGACTTTGTGGCTCAGAAAACAGTGAGGGATGCTTCTGGGAAGGCAACCAGGAACTGCTCCACTCAGCTCTAAGCCTCTCTTCCCACCAAGCTGGAGCTCATCTGGCCTAAGTTTCTGCAAATTGAAACCTTCCCTGTTGAAGGCCTGAGTGGTCTAAACCAGGGCTCAGCGGTGTTCAGAGGGTCTGGCCAAGCCCTGCCTCCCATCCTGGCCCCTCTATGGCGGCATGGTTGGCTGCCGGCAGCCGGGGCTGGGCCACACCTGTCGGGCAGGGCCCTCCCTCTGCCCTTGGCAGGAGGAGAACCTGAGTGGGAACAGGCCTAAGCCAGTCTCTCACCCATCCACTTAGACGTTTTTGCAAGCCACTTCCTGGTGAGGGATCCCTTTGCCTTATCTGAGTCCCCTGTGGAAGTGGATATCATGTGTGCCTGCTCTGCTCCCTGAAGACACAGGTGGTAAAACTTGGGTGTGGGGCCCTGGCAGGGAAGGAGTAGTGTTGAGATGCCTAGAAACAGATATTCGGGTGAGCAGAGTAGAAGGGAAGAGTATGTTAACACAGGGTGACTGTCTGTCCTGGCAGGTAAACCTGGTGGGGAGGGTTACGTCCACAGCATAGGGTCCACTTTGCCAAATTATAGACCTCGCCCCATCCTGCTCATCTGGAGTCACCCCATGCTGCAGCACAGAGCTCAGAGAAGGCCCCTTACTCACTGTCCTGGCCACTGCTTCTTCATTTGTCTGAAGGACAAGCTTGCAGCCCCTGCATCTGTAACACTTTGTGAGTGGTAAAGAATCTCTCTCCCCTGTTCCCCTTCATCTCCCCTTGTCAACCCCCTTTCTGCCCTAAATGCAACCTGTCATGGCTATTCATTTTTTCAGATTGCATTTTATTCTGAAGGGCTCCAAAAAGCCCCTATCCTCCATCCAGAAGGCTCTTTCAGGGACCCGAAGAGTGCTCTGCCCAGGCCTGGCGTGGCGAGTGGACTGGTGGGTGACCTCAGACAACGTGGGGACTGAGTCAGCCGCTGCAGGGAGGAAAGTGAGACTTGCAGGAGACACTGAGAGGGAAGTGAAGCCATGAATATTTAGACAGAGGGAGAGTGGAATTCAACCTGACACTGATACACAGGAGGATTGGATTGATAGCAATAGCCTAAAATTAGAAGCGGTCTACGGGGGAGTTCGGAGTTCAGGCTCTGGAGACAGACTGGGTGAAAAACTCTGAATTGGCCACTTACTAGCCCAGTAACCTTGGGCAAACTGATCAACCTGTCTGTGCCTCAGCTCCCTCATATGTAAAGTAATCTCTACTTTACCTTAATAGACTTCCTCTACGGGATCGTTGTGAGGATTAAGTGACTTCTTGCAACAGTGCTTGGCACATGGTAAGCACATACTTGTTGCATTATAACAGAATAAAGATCCTGTCTTAGGTCTGTTGGGATCTTTCTTTCATCTAGAGTGCCTTTTGCTGCTTTCCAAATCCCCCTTCCACCCTTTTATTTGTTTTGGAGGAAAGAAGTGTGCCATGGGCTGTGGACTGAAAGTTCGTGTCCCCCACAAAATTCATACATTGAAATCCTAACCCCCAAAGTGACAGTATTAGGAGGTGGAGCATTTGGGAGGTGATTTGGTCATGAGGGTGGAGCCTTCATGCACGGGATTAGTGCCCTTATCAAAGGGACCCCAGAGAGCTCTCTAGTTCTCCCTCTGCCATGTGAGGACACAGAGAAGTTAGCAGTCTGCAACCTGGAAGAAGGCCCTCGCCAAAACCCGGCCATGCTGGCGTCCTGATCTTGAAAGTCCAGTCTCCAGAACTGTGAGAAATAAGTATTTGTCTTTTAAGCCACCCAGCCCATGGTAATTTGTTACAGCAGCCCAAGAGGACTGAGATAGATGGTCTAGATCAGCACTGTCCAATAGAAATACGCAAAACACATATGAAATTAAAAATTCCTAGAAGCCACATTAAAAAATAAAGAGAAACAGGTAACATTAATTTCAATTACATATTCCACTTAATTCAATATTTCTAAAACATTATCCTTTCAATATGTAATCAATACAAAGATTTGTCAAAGAGCTACTTTGCTTTTTTTTGTTTACTAATCTTTGAAATCCTGTCTATATTTTACTTATAGCACATTTCAATTCAGGCACTAGATCATCATCTGAAATACTTGATTATATTTAGATTTCATCAAATTGACAATTGAACAAGTAGATCCACATACCCAAGTTGTTCCATACAACTTCCCAGTAACTGAAACCAGTATCAGTTTTTAAAGTAAAATTAGTTAAAATGAAATGAAATTCTAGTTCTTCAGGTGCACCAGCCACATTTCAAGTGCTCAGGGGCTACATGTGGCTACTGTATTGAACAGTGCAGGTCTAGAGGTTGCTATGGGGAGGACTTAGCATGGAGAATGGTGTCTGGCTGTAGGAATCTCAGGCACAAGGAACTTACAAGAACAGAGACTCTGGCAACATCCTCAGCTTGTTTCTATTATGGTGGGAGGCAGGTAGGGTGGTGTGGGGACAGGGGTGTAAAGAGAATTGCTTGTTCCTTCAAGAACAAATGCATACCACTACTCACTGTCTACCAGCTGCTGCCCTGGGTGCCAGGGATGCGGTGTGAGTTAGCAGGGAGAGAAGGGACCAGACAAATCCAAGTATTTACTGGAGATATTGATGGAAAGACAATAATACCAGCCGTTGGCATTTGTCTGTTATGAGAAGCCTTCCTGGCCACCATCTCTTTTGGATCTTCACAGCAGCTGAGACTCAGGGAGGGCTCAGGACGTTAAGTGACTTGCCCATAGCATGTGTGGGGAGGAACAAAGGGCAAAGTGCAGGGCTTCTGAACCCAGGTGCAGGCTCTGTGACTTGCTGTCTTCACTCTGGACAAAGGGCTGAAAGGCCGTCATGTGTGGGGCCTCCTGTTGCATGATTTGTAACCATGGTGGTGGGAGGGGTCTCTGGGGAGGCAAACAACTTCAGCTGGGCAGTGGAGGCCTCCCATCCATGATGTCCCCTTCATCTAGGGCCTTTTGCGGTACACAAGGTCTGGTTCCTGCCTCAATTTGTTCCTATGGTGAAAGAGTTATAACTGGAGACACAGAGAATAAAAACTGAAGGAAAAATGAACAAGTAGGGCTCCTCCAGGTGCCCCTGCAGAAGTGCTTCTGGTCTCCCTTCCCCATCTCCCTTGCCCTCCCTGCTGCCTCCAGGTGCATTCTGGAGAGCTGTACCTTTTGGGCATGGCTGTTTAGGGGGCAGCCTTTGCTTACTCAGTGTTGTGCTGGGGCAGGGATGAGAGGGATTTGGCACAAGGTGGTAATCATATCTCCACCACAGGACCTCATCAGCACAGCACAGGGTGTTTGCAGAATAAGTGGGTGAAGGAAACAGAGGATCACCCCAAGCTCTTCATCTAACGAACCTAAGCAGATCACTGAAGTTCTCTAATTGGTGACCCTCCACACATCCCACTGGCTGGGCAGTGATCTGCAAGCCAGGCAAGACCACTGTCCCTCTGCTTTCAAGATGTCTGGCTCTGATTTCCCTACTTATATTAGGCCTGTCCTTTCCTCCTAACAGAGTCTAGACAACAAAGGTTTCTCTTGTTCCCTCTTTGACCTGGGACTTAATTCGACAAGAGGCCACAGAGCCCATGTGCTGACTTGGTGAACACAGCATCCCAAAGAGACTGTGTGGGGGGAGGAGCCAAGATGGCTGAATAGGAACAGCTCAGGTCTACAGCTCCCAGTGTGAGCGACGCAGAAGATGGGTGATTTCTGCATTTCCATCTGAGGTACCGGGTTCATCTCACTAGGGAGTGCCAGAGAGTGGGCGCAGGTCAGTGGGTGCACGCACCGTGCGCGAGCCGAAGCAGGGCGAGGCATTGCCTCACTTGGGAAGTGCAAGGGGTCAGGGAGTTCCCTTTCCGAGTCAAAGAAAGGGGTGACGGACGCACCTGGAAAATCGGGTCACTCCCACCCGAATATTGCGCTTTTCGGACCGGCTTAAAAAACGGCGCACCACGAGATTATATCCCGCACATGGCTCGGAGGGTCCTACGCCCACGGAGTCTCTCTGATTGCTAGCACAGCAGTCTGAGATCAAACTGCAAGGTGGCAGCGAGGCTGGGGGAGGGGCGCCCTCCATTGCCCAGGCTTGCTTAGTTAAACAAAGCAGCCAGGAAGCTCGAACTGGGTGGAGCCCACCACAGCTCAAGGAGGCCTGCCTGCCTCTGTAGGCTCCACCTCTGGGGGCAGGGCACAGACAAACAAAAAGACAGCAGCAACCTCTGCAGACTTAAATGTCCCTGTCTGACAGCTTTGAAGAGAGCAGTGGTTCTCCCAGCACGCAGCTGGAGATCTGAGAACGGGCAGACTGCCTCCTCAAGTGGGTCCCTGACCCCTGACCCCGGAGCAGCCTAACTGAGAGGCACCCCCCAGCAGGGGCACACTGACACCTCACACGGCAGGGTATTCCAACAGACCTGCAGCTGAGGGTCCTGTCTGTTAGAAGGAAAACTAACAAACAGAAAGGACATCCACACCAAAAACCCATCTGTACATCACCATCATCAAAGACCAAAAGTAGATAAAACCACAAAGATGGGGAAAAACAGAACAGAAAAACTGGAAACTCTAAAATGCAGAGCGCCTCTCCTCCTCCAAAGGAACGCAGTTCCTCACCAGCAACGGAACAAAGCTGGATGGAGAATGACTTTGACTAGCTGAGAGAAGAAGGCTTCAGACGATCAAATTACTCTGAGCTACGGGAGGACATTCAAACCAAAGGCAAAGAAGTTGAAAACTTTGAAAAAAATTTAGAAGAATGTATAACTAGAATAACCAATACAGAGAAGTGCTTAAAGGAGCTGATGGAGCTGAAAACCAAGGCTCGAGAACTACGTGAAGAATGCAGAAGCCTCAGGAGCCGATGCGATCAACTGGAAGAAAGGGTATCAGCGAGGGAAGATGAAATGAATGAAATGAAGCGAGAAAGGAAGTTTAGAGAAAAAAGAATAAAAAGAAATGAGCAAAGCCTCCAAGAAATATGGGACTATGTGAAAAGACCAAATCTACGTCTGATTGGTGTACCTGAAAGTGATGGGGAGAATGGAACCAAGTTGGAAAACACTCTGCAGGATATTATCCAGGAGAACTTCCCCAATCTAGCAAGGCAGGCCAACGTTCAGATTCAGGAAATACAGAGAACGCCACAAAGATACTCCTCGAGAAGAGCAACTCCAAGACACATAATTGTCAGATTCACCAAAGTTGAAATGAAGGAAAAAATGTTAAGGGCAGCCAGAGAGAAAGGTCGGGTTACCCTCAAAGGGAAGCCCATCAGACTAACAAACAGCGGATCTCTCGGCAGAAACCCTACAAGCCAGAAGAGAGTGGGGGCCAATATTCAACATTCTTAAAGAAAAGAATTTTCAACCCAGAATTTCATATCCAGCCAAACTAAGCTTCATAAGTGAAGGAGAAATAAAATACTTTACAGACAAGCAAATGCTGAGAGATTTTGTCACCACCAGGCCTGCCCTAAAAGAGCTCCTGAAGGAAGCGCTAAACATGGAAAGGAACAACCGGTACCAGCCGCTGCAAAATCATGCCAAAATGTAAAGACCATCGAGACTAGGAAGAAACTGCATCAACTAACGTGCAAAATCACCAGCTAACATCATAATGACAGGATCAAATTCACACATAACAATATTAACTTTAAATGTAAATGGACTAAATGCTCCAATTAAAAGACACAGACTGGCAAATTGGATAAAGAGTCAAGACCCATCAGTGTGCTGTATTCAGGAAACCCATCTCACGTGCAGAGACACACATAGGCTCAAAATGAAAGGATGGAGGAAGATCTACCAAGCAAATGGAAAACAAAAAAAGGCAGGGGTTGCAATCCTAGTCTCTGATAAAACAGACTTTCAACCAACAAAGATCAAAAGAGACAAAGAAGGCCATTACATAATGGTAAAGGGATCAATTCAACAAGAAGAGCTAACTATCCTAAATATATATGCACCCAATACAGGAGCACCCAGATTCATAAAGCAAGTCCTCAGTGACCTACAAAGAGACTTAGACTCCCACACATTAATAATGGGAGACTTTAACACCCCACTGTCAACATTAGACAGATCAACGAGACAGAAAGTCAACAAGGATACCCAGGAATTGAACTCAGCTCTGCACCAAGCGGACCTAATAGACATCTACAGAACTCTCCACCCCAAATCAACAGAATATACATTTTTTTCAGCACCACACCACACCTATTCCAAAATTGACCACATACTTGGAAGTAAAGCTCTCCTCAGCAAATGTAAAAGAACAGAAATTATAACGAACTATCTCTCAGACCACAGTGCAATCAAAGTAGAACTCAGGATTAAGAATCTCACTCAAAACCGCTCAACTACATGGAAACTGAACAATCTGCTCCTGAATGACTACTGGATACATAACGAAATGAAGGCAGAAATAAAGTTGTTCTTTGAAACCAACGAGAACAAAGACACAACATACCAGAATCTCTGGGACGCATTCAAAGCAGTGTGTAGAGGGAAATTTATAGCACTAAATGCCCACAAGAGACAGCAGGAAAGATCCAAAATTGACACCCTAACATCACAATTAAAAGAACTAGAAAAGCAAGAGCAAACACATTCAAAAGCTAGCAGAAGGCAAGAAATAACTAAAATCAGAGCAGAACTGAAGGAAATAGAGACACAAAAACCCCTTCAAAAAATTAATGAATCCAGGAGCTGGTTTTTTGAAAGGATCAACAAAATTGATAGACCGCTAGCAAGACTAATAAAGAAAAAAAGAAGAATCAAATAGACGCAATAAAAAATGATAAAGGGGATATCACCACCGATCCCACAGAAATACAAACTACCATCAGAGAATACTACAAACACCTCTACGCAAATAAACTAGAAAATCTAGAAGAAATGGATGAATTCCTCGACACATACACTCTCCCAAGACTAAACCAGGAAGAAGTTGAATCTCTGAATAGACCAATAACAGGAGCTGAAATTGTGGCAATAATCCAATAGTTTACCAACCAAAAAGAGTCCAGGACCAGAGAGATTCACAGCTGAATTCTATCAGAGGTACAAGGAGGAACTGGTACCATTCCTTCTGAAACTATTCCAATCAATAGAAAAAGAGGGAATCCTCCCTAACTCATTTTATGAGGCCAGCATCATTCTGATACCAAAGCCGGGCAGAGACACAACCAAAAAAGAGAATTTTAGACCAATCTCCTTGATGAACATTGATGCAAAAATCCTCAATAAAATACTGGCAAAACGAATCCAGCAGCACATCAAAAAGCTTATCCACCATGGTCAAGTGGGCTTCATCCCTGGGATGCAAGGCTGGTTCAATATATGCAAATCAATAAATGTAATCCAGCATATAAACAGAGCCAAAGACAAAAACCACATGATTATCTCAATAGATGCAGAAAAAGCCTTTGACAAAATTCAACAACCCTTCATGCTAAAAACTCTCAATAAATTAGGTATTGATGGGACGTATTTCAAAATAATAAGAGCTATCTATGACAAACCCACAGCCAATATCATACTGAATGGGCAAAAACTGGAAGCATTCTCTTTGAAAACTGGCACAAGACAGGGATGCCCTCTCTCACCACTCCTATTCAACATAGTGTTGGAAGTTCTGGACAGGGCAATTAGGCAGGAGAAGGAAATAAAGGGTATTCAATTAGGAAAAGAGGAAGTCAAATTGTCCCTGTTTGCAGACGACATGATTGTATATCTAGAAAACCCCATTGTCTCAGCCCAAAATCTCCTTAAGCTGATAAGCAACTTCAGCAAAGTCTCAGGATACAAAATCAATGTACAAAAATCACAAGCATTCTTATACACCAATAACAGACAAACAGAGAGCCAAATCATGAGTGAACTCCCATTCACAATTGCTTCAAAGAGAAGAAAATACCTAGGAATCCAACTTACAAGGGATGTGAAGGACCTCTTCAAGGAGAACTACAAACCACTGCTCAAGGAAATAAAAGAGGATACAAACAAATGGAAGAACATTCCATGCTCATGGGTAGGAAGAATCAATATCGTGAAAATGGCCATACTGCCCAAGGTAATTTACAGATTCAATGCCATCCCCATCAAGCTACCAATGACTTTCTTCACAGAATTGGAAAAAACTACTTTAAAGTTCATATGGAACCAAAAAAGAGCCCGCATCGCCAAGGCAACCCTAAGCCAAAAGAACAAAGCTGGAGGCATCACACTACCTGACTTCAAACTATACTACAAGGCTACAGTAACCAAAACAGCATGGTACTGGTACCAAAACAGAGATATAGATCAATGGAACAGAACAGAGCCCTCAGAAATAATGCCGCATATCTGCAACTGTCTGATCTTTGACAAACCTGAGAAAAACAAGCAATGGGGAAAGGATTCCCTATTTAATAAATGGTGCTGGGAAAACTGGCTAGCCATATGTAGAAAGCTGAAACTGGATCCCCTCCTTACACCTTATACAAAAATCAATTCAAGATGGATTAAAGACTTAAACGTTAGACCTAAAACCATAAAAACCCTAGAAGAAAACCTAGGCATCACCATTCAGGACATAGGCATGGGCAAGGACTTCATGTCCAAAACACCAACAGCAATGGCAACAAAAGCCAAAATTGACAAATGGGATCTAATTAAACTAAAGAGCTTCTGCACAGCAAAAGAAACTACCATCAGAGTGAACAGGCAACCTACAAAATGGGAGAAAATTTTCACAACCTACTCATCTGACAAAGGGCTAATATCCAGAATCTACAATGAACTCAAACAAATTTACAAGAAGAAAACAAACAACCCCATCAAAAAGTGGGTGAAGGACATGAACAGACACTTCTCAAAAGAAGACATTTATGCAGCCAAAAACCACATGAAAAAATGCTCATCATCACTGGCCATCAGAGAAATGCAAATCAAAACCACAATGAGATACCATCTCACACCAGTTAGAATGGCAATCATTAAAAAGTCAGGAAACAACAGGTGCTGGAGAGGATGTGGAGAAATAGGAACACTTTTACACTGTTGGTGGGACTGTAAGCTAGTTCAACCCTTGTGGAAGTCAGTGTGGCGATTCCTCAGGGATCTAGAACTAGAAATACCATTTGACCCAGCCATCCCATTTCTGGGTATATACCCAAAGGACTATAAATCTTGCTGCTATAAAAACACATGCACACGTATGTTTATTGCGGCATTATTCACAATAGCAAAGACTTGGAACCAACCCAAATGTCCAACAATGATAGACTGGATTAAGAAAATGTGGCACATATACACCATGGAATACTATGCAGCCATAAAAAATGATGAGTTCATGTCCTTTGTAGGGACATGGATGAAATTGGAAATCATCATTCTCAGTAAACTATCGCAAGAACAAAAAACCAAACACCGCATATTCTCACTCATAGGTGGGAATTGAACAATGAGAACACATGGACACAGGAAGGGGAATATCACACTCTGGGGACTGTGGTGGGGTGGGGGGAGGGGGGAGGGATAGCATTGGGAGATATACCTAATGCTAGATGACGAGTTAGTGGGTGCAGCGCACCAGCATGACACATGTATACATATGTAACTAACCTGCATAATGTGCACATGTACCCTAAAACTTAAAGTATAATAAAAAAAATAAAAATAAAAATAAAAAAAAGAAAAAAGAAATCCATTACACCAAAAAAAAAAAAAAGAGAGACTATGTGACTCGAGGCAAGTCAACCTACCTTTATAAGCCTCTGTTTATCCTTCAAAAGAGAATGATGGTATTTATAGCAGACATTGCAAAAGCCTGTTATGATGAGCCAATGAGATACAAAAAGCGCCACAAAAAGTTATGCATACGCAATATTATTTAAATATCTTATTAGTAAACACATACCCTGCTCTGCCACGTTGCTTCAAAGTGGGCAAATGTGTTGCTCAGGCACAATGTGGTATTAGTTTAATATCTTATTAATAAATTAAACCATCTCTGTTATTTCGTTTGATGCTCTTGAGGGATTTTTTCATTAGGGAAAAAGTTGACAAATTTTATAGACTAAACCAAAGATGGGGTTTGGGGAACAAGAAAGATCTGTTTTGTTCAGGAACTGAGCATTGTGGAAGGAGGGAACGTGAGAACTGTGCAGAGTGTGGAAGGGGTGTTAGAGCATGAAAGGATGGGCCACTCATGGATACGAGGTCAGCAGTGGCTGCAGGAATGGGATGGGGTTGAGCTGCAGCATGGAGACATTTAGGGTAAAGATCTGGGGAAATGTCTCTGAGCAGTTTGAGGAGCTTAAGTTCAAACCCCAAGGACACCCCTCGCTGCCAGGTTCTCCAAACCCAGCTCTGGTCAGCTCACCCAGGCCTGCAGTGAGCTCAGAGGAGCTGGAAGGTGACCTGGAAGGAGAGGCTGAGAAGAGGGGGAGGAGAAGACCACCCTTAAGAGCAAGGGGAGGGGAAGCCCCTTCCTCTCAGGTCCTGGGGGGCCCTCTGCCATCTGAGGAGGGCTGGAGCCTGCCAGGGTATGGACAAGGGACCCAGTCATGTCAGATTTCTAGGAATGGAGCCTGACTCAGGTAGGTACCCAGAATTTCCACTTCATGCTAGCCCCAAATTCAAAGTTTCCCCAGAAAGAACTGAGCCCACAAGATTGGGAAGGGAAGCCCTGCTCCGTCTTTGCCCAACCAGCATGGAAGGGGTCGGGGAGGGAGTTCCAGCCCTGTTGTCTGTTCATTTGAGGAAAACTGAGAGCCCAGCCCTGCCCTGAGGGCATTTCTAGGTTAAGAGGTGCCAGTTCACAAGAGGCAACAAATGGTATGGACTAGGGAAAAGGATATTTGCCTTTTGGGGTTTGGCATATAGACTAAGGAACCAAATCACCCAGGTCTAAATCCTGCTTTGTCATTTAAGCTATTTAACTTTGTCCCTCAGTTGTTCCATCTGGAAAATGGGGGTAATAATAGTACCGATTTCAAAGGGCTGTAAATGAGGCTAAAATAAGTGAATCTTGAAGAGTATTTAGTATGGTGCTTGTCACATATGTTTGTTAAATAAATAAAATTTTTCAAAGCCGCTACTGACTATTTGATTCACTGCAGTATCCCCAGCCCCTGGCAAGTGATCAGTAAATATTTGTGTAATGAAGGAAGTGCTCTCAAGGAGGGCTTTGTAACCAGTTAGAAGGAATAGTTTGACAAGCCACAAAAGGCACGTGCTTCAGTTGCAACTGGTGGTTGCTAACCTGTCTCTGGGTGGTGATGTTGGCTACGAACAGTGGTGGCAGCGTCTGTTCACTGCAGATCTGTTGCTTTGCTGAATGGTGGGGGGTGAGACTGAGCAGTGTTCCCTGCCCTTCACCCACTGCTCTTGCTGTTTCCTCCAGATGTTTAATGAATTTTTAAGCCACCAGTTTCAAGGAATGCCCAATGTGAGCCTGCCCAGGACACCTTGTCTGTCTGAGCCTGCCTGTTGGCTTTGTCTGCTTCTGGGTAAACCTCGGGGAGTGGCAAAGACTAACTGGGTGATGAAGGAGACTAGAGCAAGGAGTTTGGCCAAACTTCACCACATCAGGCAAAAGCTCCTTCTAGATGGTTAGACTAAGGAGAGCAATTCAGAAACACAGACCATTCCCCCAAGGTCACGGGAATTGAAGCCACACTGAACATCACCATCATGTTTGGGGGGATGTTGGGCCATGGTGGAGGGTGGGGTTGAATAGAGAGAGCAAAGATAAAATGGATCTGCCAGCTAGGTCCCAGGGCTGGTGGTTGGTTTGGAGGTGCATGCATGGCAGATGGTATTATTTAACATCTCACGCCCGTGTGTTGTCTGGAGTGCTTCTGAGAGCTGGCCCGTCTATCACTCACGCTTCTGTGAGGCTTCCAACAGCACCCATGCCACCCTCCTCTCCCTTCTCCCTGCAGCATGGACACATAGGAGGGTCTCAGGAAATACCTGCGTTTGGGTGGACTGATGACCTATGCAGGAGGTCAGCTTGCTTTATAAAGTTCCAGGTTGATCCCATTCTGCCCAGGTCATAAAGTATCCACCAAGGTTCTGCTGTGTCCACTTTTGTGCCCTACATAGTGCAGGCCACTGTGGAAACATCTGTGGGGAAATAATACCTTGGACCCAACCTTGACTGAGCTCTCTGACACTGGGCTGCTCTTTCTTCTGCTCTGACTGGATAAGACAAAAGGCTTTACTCCCTCAATTAAATCTTTATCAGTCTATCTTTATCCAAACAGATGGCGAAACTATTTCACCACTAAGCAAATTAACAGCAATAATAGTATTGAGCACAGTGAATATGCATGGATCACTTACCACTTGCTGAACATGGTGTCCAAGTGATTCATATGTGTCATCTCGTCTAACTCCTACCACAGCCTGTTGAGGTAGTTTCTACTGGAAAGACTGGGGTGTGTGGAGGGTTAAGTGCCCGCCCTCTGGTACTGGGCAGCTTGGATTCACCATTTCCAGCTGTGTGATTTTCAGCGCGTGCCTTCGCAGAGCTGTAAAATAGGGATGCAAGTCACAGGATATTTTTGAGAATTGAAGAGACAATGATGCATGAGCTTAAAAATGTGCATACTACATTTTAACAACATTTTAGCTGTTATAATGAGTCCCCATTTGATAGATGAAGAAGCTGAATTAGAATAATTCAGTAGCTTGCACAAAGTCACAGTAAGTGATACGCTAAGATTTGAACCCTGCCTGACCTCCAAATCCTTGTGTGTAATCCCTGTACTACACTACAGTGAATACAAGTTTATTCTTCTTTGCCTCAGGTGCTGTGCTGGTCAGTTTGCAACCAATTATCTCACTTAATCTTCCAAATAATTCTATGAAATGAGCTAATCTCCTGGCCAGGGCAGGGCCTAGGCGGGGCTGCCAGCTGGGCCAGTATGTGGAAGGAAGTTCCCTCCACGATGTGAAAGGGTCACCCCGTTAGATCCACCCAGGGAGTCCTGTCCCATAGGCAGATGCGGAAGAACAGGGCCACAGTAGTTACCGAGGAGGGGCATCCATACTGCTCAGGAGGTCAAGTTTTTCTGAAACAGACATTTCACCTAAAACCATTATAAACTCATTGAGAACAGGTGTTTTCGTCTGTTTTGTTCACCAGTACATACCCTTTCTCACACAGTACCTGACATATAGTAGGTGCTTAATAAATGTCTAGTAAATAAATGGAAAGGGAGCTCTACATTGTGGTTCTAGGGCGAGAGGGCCATGTGTGCAAAGGCACAAGGTGGAGGGGGACAGCATGGCCCACTGGAGGTATAAGTTGGTTGAGCCTATTCTAAACCATGAAAACAATGCTCTAATACAGGTGAATGCTCCTGCTGGGACAGGACAGGAACTGAAGGCTAAGCAGGGCCCAGTTCACCTAAGGGCCTGGGATGGACACCTGAGGGAGAGATGAAGAGGACTGTCCCTGGGGCCCTTAGGCACAGGCAGGGTGGTGAAAGGAGGCAGATGGACAGACAGCCACGGCGAGGTGGTGAAGGAGCCAAGCCCCAGCTCCACAGACACAATGTTCATTAAAAATTCAGGGAAATAGCAGAAGTGCGTGTCCTAGAGGGTGGTAACTGTCAAATGAATGTGAAAGACACAAGTGTTCTTCTTTTGGGGTGGCATCGGTTGAGAGGAAGTTCATCTAAACAAGTGCTTCTTGATTGCCTACTGGAAAAAGACATACAGTGAGGCCCTCTTCACCACCCCCCTCCAACCTTAACCTCTCTTCATTTAATTTTTTAATTTGTGCCCCTCCCCTCAAAAACAACAGAACAAAACAGGTAGCCACTGTTATTAGTTTCTTGTATATACTTCTAGAAATTTAAAAATATATATAAATCCAAGTAATTTTTAAAACATACGAATTTTATTATTCCGTATCCATTGTTCTTCATTTTGCTTTTTACCCCCACCACCCACAATATATCCTTGGACTCTTTCTATATTAGTACATAAAGAGATTTTTCATTTTATTTACTTACTTATGTATTTATTTATTTTTTTGGAGACGGAGTTTCCCTCTGTCACCCAGGCTGGAGTGCAGTGGTGCAATCTCGGCTCACTGCAGGCTCCGCCTCCCAGGTTTACGCCATTCTCCTGCCTCAGCCTCCCGAGTAGCTGGGACTACAGGCGCCCGCCACCACGCCCGGCTAATTTTTTGTGTTTTTAGTAGAGGCGGGGTTTCACCGTGTTAGCCAGCATGGTCTCAATCTCCTGACCTTGTGATCCGCCCGCCTCGGTCTCCCAAAGTGTTGGGATTACAGGCATGAGCCACGCTTTTTCATTTTATTTAAAATTTACATAGCATTCCATTTCATGGTTGTACTATATTTAACTGGTTCCCTATTGATAGACATGTTTAAGTTTCTCCCAGTCTTTTGCTATTACAAGCAGTGCAATAATCAATTATCTGGTATTTAAGCAACTGTAAATGTGCTTCTAGAATTCTTACTATAGAAATAGCATTTCACATGCAAATCAAAACTACAATGAGATACCATCTCACGCCAGTTAGAACAGTGATCATTAAAAAGTCAGGAAACAACAGATGCAGGTGAGGATGTGGAGAAACAGGAACACTTTTACACTGTTGGTGGGAGTGTAAATTAGTTCAATCATTGTGGAAGACAGTGTGGTGATTCCCCAAGGATCTAGAACCAGAAATACCATTTGACCCAGTAATCCTATTACTGGGTATATACCCAAAGGATTATAAATCATGCTACTATAAAGACACATGCACACGTATGATTACTGCAGCACTATTTACAATAGCAAAGACTTGGACCTAACCCAAATGCCCATCAATGATAGACTGGATAAAGAAAATATGGTACATATACACCGTGGAATACTATGCAGCCATAAAAAGGAATGAGATCATGCCCTTTGCAGGGACATGGATGAAGCTGAAACCATAATTCTCAGCAAACTAACACATGACCAGAAAACCAAACACCGTGTGTTCTCACTCATAAGTGGGAGTTGAACAATGAGAACACAGGCACACAGGGAGGGGAACATCACACACCAGGGCCAGTTGGGGGTTAGGCGGCAAGGGGAGGGAGAGCATTAGGACAAATACCTAATGCATGCAGGGTTTAATACCTAGATGATGGGTTGATAGGTGCAGCAAACCACCAGGCCACATGTATACCTATGTAACAAACCTGCACATTCTGCACATGAATCCCAGTACTTAAAGTAAAATAAAAAAAAAAAAAAAAGAAGAAACGAACAAACAAAAAAAGAAATAGTATTTCACACGCACGCACAATTCTTTACAGTTTTGTTTTTTAATTAAACATTTTATTTTGAGATAATTATAGATTCACATGCAGTTTTATGAAATAATACCCTTTACCCAGGTTTCCCTAACTGGGTGCAAAACTATGTATAATAATAGCACAACCAGGAAATTAATGTTGATATAACCCACTAAACTCATTCAGGTTTTACCAGTTTTCCATGTGTGTATTAAGTTCTACACAGTTCTATCACCTACAGAGGCTGTAGTATCCATCACCACAGTCAAGAGAGAACAGTTCCATCATCACAAGGATCCCTTTTCCTGGCCTTTTGTAACCACATCCACCTTCCCCCCTGGCTACTGCCTCCACGCCACCCCTACCCCGTCCCTAACCTTTGGTAACCTTGGAACTTTGGCAATGTGTCCTAATTCTCTGTACTTTTGTCTTTTCAAGAATCTTATGTAAATGGAATCATATCATACAGTATATGATACCTCCTGGAATTTGATTTTTAAAAATCAGCATAATCCCCTTGAGATTCATCTAGATTGTTGCATGTATCAATAGTTTGCTCCTTTTTATTGCTTCGTAGTTTTTCATGATACAGATATACCACAGTTTTTTTAACCGTTCACTCATCGAAGGATATCTGGGGTTCTTCCAGTTGTTGGCTCTTAGGAATAAAGTTGTTATGAACATTTATGTAGAGGTTTTTGTGTAAACATAAAACACTTCATTTTCCTGGGATAAACACCCAAGGGTACAGTCGCTGGCTTATATGGTAATTGCATGTTTAGTTTTATAAGAAATTATCAAACTTTTCCAGAATGGCTGTACCATTTTATAATCCTACCCACAATGGATGAGTGATTTGCATCCGTGCCCACATGTGGTGTTGTCACTATTTTATATTTTAGTTTTTCTGATGTATGTGCGTGGCTTTTAAAATTTCTCACCACATTCTTCCAGCTTTAAGTCTCTGGCTTTAAATCCAGGACTTCAATAACAATAACAGTTGCCCTTTATTGAGCTTATGCCATATTCCAGGCACTGTTCCAGGTATTTTACATATACTGCCTTATTTAATTTCACTTATTCCTCAGTATAAGCCTGGGAAGTAGAATCCAGCTGTTCATCACAGGCTTAGTCATTTCTGAAATGGTTGGTGGGCTTTAAATCATTTGCCTCTCAGTGTATCTTTTTCTACGTCCCTTCTCTTCTCTCAGCTTACTGTTTTGGCCTCTCCTTAGGGAGAAAGGAACCGGGGGTATTCAGGACTTTACTCTTGCCTTTAAGACAAGTACCAGATGGATGGGAACAGGCCAGAGAGCCAAGGGGCCAGAGTGTAGTAGTGATTGATGGGCTTCTGGTGCTCCCCCCCTTCCTGGTTCATAGCTACGGACTAACCAGCAAAGCTGGTGGGCTGGGGAGGAGGACCGGGAAGGAGGGAGAAAGGGTATTCTTCCCTGGTTGCCATCTATATGCTCAAGCCCTGAATTAAAAATACCTATGGTCCTTCATGTGAGACAGGGTTCTGCTCACTTGCCCATGATCTTCCTGTGGCAAATGAAAACCCTTGACTGCTCCCAGTCCATGAGTTGAATCCAGGCCCACACCCCAGAGCAGCAGGGAAGGAAAAATGCACAGCTGACAGCCGCGAAGTCCCAACGAAAGCTTAGGGGTAAAACTGGAAGCAACTCTATTCTCTGAGCTAACAAAATGCCTGGAAGTCAATGTGGGTAAATAGTACTGCAATCAATTAAAATTAATAAACATTTTCCTGCACCTTCTGTATACAAAGGCCTTTCACAGCATGTCTGAGCTGGAGGGGACCGTAGGGCCATCTCCATTTTCTCCATTTTGCAAATAAAGAAACAGAGTCCATCTGCGAAGAGACCAAAAGTAGGGATGGGATACTTGTATTTACTCCAAATCTTATCTTTTCCAGGCCATTTCATCAAACCGTGAGATTGTTCTTGTTTTATTTTAGTTTTGGGACAAGGAAACTGAGACTCAGCAAGTGTAAGGAACTTGTCTACCGTCTCCCAGCAAATTAGCAGTGCCACCAGCCACCAGCATTTGAAAGGAGTCCCCAACCCTGATCTGCTTCTTACAGATGCATCCATGCTACAATAACTACAACAGCAACAAACAATAGAAGGAGTGCTGTATCAAGAGCTCAAGTCTCGCCGTTACCTTGTTGGGTGATCTTAGACAAACTACTTATACTCCTTAGGACTTGGCTTCTTTATTTGGGAAATAGAAAAGCTGGAGATAGCCCTTCCAGCTCAAAAACACTGTGTGGCGGGGACTTAATTAAAGAAGGTCTTACCTGTTGATTATCCAGTGAGGACATCTGCAGTGTACAGCTCCCAAACAGTGGAGACCATCATGATGTGCCTCTGAATTCTGGAAGCCCCACGAGGGCAGGTGGCATAATAAAAGTACAGGGAGATACATTTCGAGGATGTTTGGGTTCTTATCTCATCTAGGGTGTTCATTTGTTAGGCTAGGAAACTAAAGACAGCTTAAAACCCTGAGCTTTTAAAGCGCCTGGTTTCCCACCCGCTGCCAACACTGATTTTATTTCCCATGTGCTCTGTACCCAGCTCTTCATTCGGTTCTGCATCAGCCCCACAGCTGCACACGTGCATACGTTCAGGCCCCAGACTTAGACAGTTTTGGTTCCTGTAAGTAGCTTTGACAGAGCTCAGCGGTATTCCTTGGGTAGGAGCTGTTTTCTTTTAAAAAGCAGATGTTGATGACAATAAGGTCTAAAGAGAAGACTGCAATGTAACGGAATTTTAAAATCACTTCTATTTAGAGGAATCCACAGGATATGTTTTAAGAAAATACACCCTCCCATGTTATTATATTACTAGTTTCATTGATGAAAAGGCTCAGCTACATTTGGCTTAACATCCTTAATACAAAGGGGCACCTCAAAACACATTTCCAGGCCAAAAATGGTGTAGATTTCTTGTCCTTTTCAATTAGACCTTACTTTCTATCAATGGGGTTCCCTTGTTACCTCTTTTTCCTTTTTTAAAATTTTATTTTACTTTAAGTTCTGGGATACATTTGCAGAACATGCAGGTTTGTTACATAGGTATACACGTGCCATGGTGGTTTGCTGCACCTATCAACCCATCCTCCGGGTTTTAAGCCCCACGTGCATTAGATATTTGTCCTAATGCTCTCCCTCCCCTTGACCCCACTCCCTGACAGGCCCTGGTATGTGATGTTTCCCTCCCTGTGTCCAGGTGTTCTCATTGTTCAACTCCCACTTATGAGTGAGAACACGCGGTATTTGGTTTTCTGTTTCTGTGTTAGTTTGCTGAGAATGATGGTTTCCATCTTCACTCATGTCCCTGCAAAGGACATGAAACATGAACTCTTTCTTTTTTATAGCTGCATAGTATTCCATAGTGTATATGTGCCACATTTTCTTTATCCAGTCTGTCATTGATGGGCATTTGGGTTGGGCCAAGTCTTTGCTATTGTAAATAGTGCTGCAATAGACATACGTGTGCATGTGTCTTTATAGTAGAATGATTTAAAATCCTTTGGGTATATACCAGTAATAGGATTGCTGGGTCAAATGGTACTTCTCCTTCTAGATCCTTGAGGAATCACCACCCTCTTTTTCCTTTTTCAAAATTAAGAAAAGCAAGTAGTTTTTCACTTATGAGAAAATAAAAAAAAGAAACAGAAAAGAAAACAAGGATTTTATTTGGATATTTAACTATTTTTTAAAAATAGAAAACATATTAATATGATTAAAAGCTCAAAAAAGTCAGAAAGATAATCAGCAAAAACTCTCCCTTCCGCCCCACTCCACAGACACAAAGTTCCCCTCCCCAGAGGCAATCAGTGTCTTTACCCTTCCAGAGGTATGTGATGCATAAGCAAACACACATTCCTGCCCATTATTTTTTTCCTTTGACCTATTATATCACGCACACTATCTGTTGTTTTTTTCATTTAGCAATATATCCTGGGGTAATTCTCTTTCATTATATGAAGAGTTTTCTTTTCAGCTGTATAATATTTTGTTGCAATTTATTTAGTAAGTCCCCTACTGATAGCTATTTGTGTTGTTCCCAATCTGTTGCAATTACCAAAAGGCTTCAGAAGTACCTTGTATATGCATATCCTTACATATGCTCGGATAGCCTTAGAAGAAATTCCTTGAAACAGAAGTTTAGAGTCTACAAAATTAGCCGGATGTGTTGGCGCATGCCTGCAATCCCAGCTACTCAGGAGGCTGAGGCAAAAGAATCTCTTGAACCTTGGAGGCGGAGGCTGCGGTGAGCTGAGATCACACCATTGCGCTCCAGCCTGGGCAACAAGAGTGAAACTCTGTCTCAAAAAAAAAAAAAAAAGTTTAGAGTCAAAGATAGGAGCATTTGTAACAGTGATGATGAATTAGACTTTCATTTTATTTTACGTTTTTTTTTTTTTTTTTGGACAGAGTCCTGCTCTGTCACCCAGACTGGAGTGCAGTGGCATGATCTCGGCTCACTGCAACCTCCGCCTCCCAGGTTCAAGCGATCCTCCCACCCAGCCTTCTGAGTAGCTGGGATTACAGGCACGCATCCCCATACCTGGCTAATTTTTGTGTTTTTTGTAGAGACGGGGTTTTGCCATGTTGCCCAGGCTAGTCTTAAATTCCTGGGCTCAAGCAATCCGCTGCCCTGGCCTCCCAAAGTGCTGGGGTTACAGGCATGAGCCACTGCGCCTGGCCTACACTTTCATTTTAAAATCACCTGTAACCCCTTCTTCAGTGTTAGTCATACTAACATTTTAATGTATAATTTTCCAGAAACACCCATTTAACAAACATATACCAAGTCCCGAGGGGCTATGTGTTCTAGTAGGCCCTGAATACAATAGCATAGCACAAAGCTGGCTTCTAGAACGGAGGAAGAGGCACCCAGTAGACGAGAGAAACTGTTATGAGTTGCTCCACGTCACTCGGGTGTGAAATTTTCTCCCTAAATCCCATCAAATCTGGATCTCAGCTCTACCCTTGCCAAAGTCTGCACCAAATTCCACATTAGCGGCCGGGGTCATTTCCTTTCCCATGGATCGTACCAAAATCCTGGGGTTTTTGTGGCCAGAAAATTGGAGGCAGCTCTCACATCCTCAGCCCACTGCTGTCACAGTTTCTGGGGTTGTCCTTGGGGGACCTGCTCCCTGGGGGGCTGGAGATCGCTTGCTCAAAGCCCTCCTCTGTTCTATCAACCCCCAGGTGGGTTCCCACCATGGAGACATCTGCTTTGCACCCTCAGAGGAAATCCCTGCTCCCACTGAATTCTGCACCCAGGAGTTTACTCAGTTTCCTGGTGCAGTATTCTTTTTAAAAACACCAGCTTCCACTCCTTCCTTTCCTTGCCCAGTGCTAGCCCCTTCCCTAGAAACTCACCAATAGCTGGGAGCTATGACCCTCCCAAAGAGCCTAGACTGGTTAGACCACACAGGTTCAGCTGCTTTGAGAATTGGGAGAGGGGAAATCACATTTTCCTTCCTGGGGTTTCTGTATCCACAGGAATAAAGCAAAAATTAATATCTAAGTGATTGATCCTACTGCATAAAGGAATAAATAAAAATAAAATGACAAGCTCTGGTAAGCCTTGTTTTGTCTACTGCTGTATTCTTTGCACTTAGAATAATGCCTGACACATAGTAGATGCTCAGGAAATACTTGTTGGCTGAAAGAATGATGTGTTAGGAGGAAAAAGAATGGGGGAATGTGTAAGGGAGAACATTGGAGCTAGTGGATGACTGCTTTAGACTGGGTGGTCAGAGATAGTTTTTCTGAGGAGGTGACATCTTGATGGGTTTTTGAGGATCAGAAGGAATCAGCTCTGTGAACTGTACTGGGAGGAGCCATCCAGGTAGAGGAGGGCATGGAGGGCTTCAGAACTAGAAGAGAGTTGTAGGTGAAGTGAGCCCAGAAAGAAGCCTTGGACAAAGGCAGCAGGTTGTGGGGGACCTTGCAGGATGTGTGAAGGCATGTGTAGAGCGCATGCAAACTGCGACGCAGAAACTTTCAATGACTTTGAGCAGGTGAATAAAATGATTTCTTTTTTAAACTTCTTTACATTTTTAAAGATCTTCCGGGCAGCTGCTTAATAGTAGATTTGAGCAGACAAGCGGGTAAATCAGATCTGTAGAGAGGTTACTGCTACTGTCACTGAGATGACATGGCTGGAACTGGGGTTGGTGCTCGGAAACATGGAAAAGTGTGGGTAGATTTGAGATAAATTTGGAGGCAGACGAAACTCCATTATGGATCCAAGGCGGGAGATGAGAAAAAGAGGGAAACTATAAGAGTTATTCCCAGGCTTTTCCCTCGGAAGAATTGCAATCTGGGCATCACTGGGATGCAAAGTGAGGGTGGGGCAGGCTGAGGAACGCAGGCTGGGGAGTTTGTGACCATTGTCTACATAACATTGATGTGGTGTTAAGAATGGGGGAGAGTCAGACAGCAACGTACTAGTCCTGCCTGTGCCAGGGCAACTGTGGGATAATGGGCAGGTTACCCAAACTCTGTGCCCCAGGTTCCTCATCTGGAAGGAAATAATAATAGTTCGTTTCTAAGTTTTTATAAGGATCAGTGGAGATAATCTATGTAAAATGCTTACAGTAGTGTCTGTCACATAGTAAAGTATCCAATTTAGCTATTTTTCTCTACTTCTATACTGGAATTTAAGATGGATGTACAGTGTTCCATTTTATGAATCGAATATTTATCCAAATCCCCAATTGTATTCTTTTCAGTGTTGCAGCTTATTAATAGTAGCACAGTGTTAAAAGCACAGACTTAGGAGCTAAACTCCCTGGATTCAAATCCTGACCCAAGCACTAACTAGATGTATAACCTTGGGCAAGTTAACTAAGCTCTTGGTGCCTCAGTTTCCTAATCCCTAAAATGAAGATAATAACAATAGCACCTACTAGTACAATCTCAGAAGTGATTCTATTCCAATTAAATCATTACACTCATATATTACACTCATTAAATTAAATGAGTATAAAGGTCTCGCTCTCTTAGAACAATGCCTTAGAACTTGAATATATTAAACATCGTGTAAGCATTGGCTTTTATCATTATGTGCCAGCTACTCTTTTACATGTGTTATGTGTATTTCCTCATCTAATATTTATAATACCCCTGTGAAATAGCTATAACTATTATGCCAATGTTATCAATCAGAAAACTGTGGTGCAGAGATTTAAGCCTAGACTCCAGAACCCCTTGCTTTAACAATTACTATTTATGGCACATCATTTTATATGTATTTTTGCTCATCATATGCCTATTTCTTTAGGATAAATTCCAAGAAATGGAATTTCATAATTTAAAAAACCCTATTTTAAGGTCTTTGGTGCATATTAACAAATTACTTCCCAGAGTTTGTAGCAATTTATAATCCCTTGAAAGCAATATAATAGCTATGCTTTCTCACAGGATTGCTTTCTTTAGAGTTAAGTAATTCTTATTAATATTGCTATACCAGTTCTTTTTTGGTTAATATTTGCACAGTATGTAGTTCTTCCATTCCTTAATTTTAATCTTTCTGTGTCTTTATTTTTTAGATTTACATCTCGTAATCAATGTGTATCTAGATTTTGGCTTTTTATCCATCTGAATACTCTATTTATCATAAAAAGAAAGCTTAATTCATTACTTTCACTGTGATTACCGACATAGTGGGACTTTTGTCCCGATATATAATTTTGCATTTTTAATTTACCATACTTCTTTCTTTTCCTTTCCATCTTTTTAGTCCTCTAATGGATCCACTGAGTTTTCTTTATTCTTCCTTGGTTTCCTTGACTAGTTTGAAATTGTATAGTCTATGTCTATTTTTTAAGCAATTGCTCTTACATTTTTAATATGCTTATTTAAGTTAACAAATTCTGTCTTCGTCCCAAGCAAGATTGGCATCTTTATGTACATTCATTGCAAATGATCTGTCCTTCACACATCTATGATAATATTGCTAATAGACTAACTTTATTAATACATTTCTCTCTCTCCAATTATTCTTTAACAAACATTCATGCAGGACTTCTGGCTATGGCCTAATGAGGAAACTGGCAACCTCTCTTCCCATAAAACCAACTATGAAGCCAGCAAAATTGATAAAAATAACCTTTTCAGTACTTTGGAAACTGATCAAAGGCAGACCACCTGAGAAGCTTTTATGCTTGAAAAACTGCTAAACTTCGGGTATGGACAGTGGCAATCTGTAACGTCTTAGCCTGGGGCTGCTCCTCTCCCCAACTTAGCTGATGTGAAGTTTGCCAGGCCTGGGCAGGTCAAGAATACTGGCAGCTTCTCTGCCAGGATTGTAGGGAATTCACCAGATTTGGAGCAGTGGGCAAAGCCCATAACCAGAGGCATTGTTGGTGAAGTGACCATGCCAGCACAGGTAAGTGGGTGGGGACAGTGGTCTACTAGCCTGAGGCTGTGTGGTTGGGGCCAGTGTATTCCTAGCTGAGGCTGTGGGTATACACAGCAGGGAATGAAGAGGGCTCAGAATCCCCCTTCAAATTCCCACTCAGAATTCCATTGTCATGTCTCCCTAGTATCTTCCAATCTGGGTTAGTTCCTCAGTCTTTTTTTCTTTTCATGGTCTTGACACTTTTTTTTTTCCCTTTTTCAGGCAAGGTCTCGCTCTGTCGCCCAGATTGGAGTGCAGTGGTGCAATCTCGGCTCACTGCAACCTCCGCCTCCTGGGTTCAAGCAATTCTTGTGCCTCAGCGTCCTGAGGAGTTGGGATTACAGGCGGGCACTGCCAGGTGGACTAATTTTTGTATTTTCAGTAAAGATGGGGTTTCAATATGTTGGCCAGGCTGGTCTTGAACTCCTGACCTCAAGCGATCCGCCGGTCTCAGCCTCCCAAAGTGCCAGGATTAAAGGCGTGAGCCACCATGCCTGGCAGATCAGGGCACTTTTGAAGAGCACTATTCAGCAATTTGTAGAATGAATGCTCCTCAACTTGGAATCAGACAAGGATAACTATTAGGAATGTGCTAGAGAATGTATAGGAAAAGATGGATAGAATGAGTAAAGAATTATATGGGAGTATTTCAGGAAAGAATTGGAAGCACTATAAAACCCAATGAAAATTTTAGAACTGAAAAATACAATATCTGAAATCATGTCTTCAGATGGGATTCATAGCATCTGGGACATTGGGGTATTCAGAATGAAGGATCTGTGAACTTGGAGATAGGGCAAAATAAATTATTCAAACTGAAGCAGAATGAAAACAAAACTATTTTTTTAAATGAACAAACCGTCAGTGACATGTGGAATAATATCAAGTAGTTGACATATGTAATTGAAGTCACAGAAGACAGAACATGACAGAAATAAAATGAAAACAAAAATGATGGCCGAATATTTCTTAAACTTGATGAAAAACATCAATACACAGATCCAAGAAGTTTGACAAATCCCAAATGGGATAAATACAGACACATCATGGTCAAATTGTTTAAAAAGATATGAAGAAAATATTAAAAGAAGCCAGAGGGAAAAAAGAAAAATTATCTACAAGGTGACAAGTATTTGTATTGCTGTTGGTTTTTAAAATTAGAAACAACAAAAGCCAGAAGACATTTGAAAAACATCTCTAAAGTGCTGAAAGAAAAAAACCTTCAACCTTAAATCTTGAAATGATATATCCTTAAAAAATTAAGAAGGCCAGGCGCAGTGGCTCACACCTGTAAACCCAGCACTTTGGGAGGTTGAGGTGGGCAGATGACCTGAGGTCAGGATTTTGAGACCAGCCTGGCCAATATGGTGAAACTTGATCTCTACAAAAAATACAGAAATTTACCTGTGTGGTGCCACACACCTGTAATCTCAGCTACTCGGGAGGCTGAAGCATGAGAATCGCTTGCCAGGAGGCGGAGGCTGCAGTGAGCCGAGATTGTGCCACTGCACTCCAGCCTGGGCAACAGAGTGAGACTTCGTCTCAAAAACAAAAACAAAAACAAAAACAAAAAAATTAAGGTGAAATGAAGACATTTTCAGATAAACAAACATTGAGAGAATTTATAGCCAGTAGACCTTCACTACAAGAAGTGCTAAAGGGAGTTCCTCAAACCAAAGGGACACTATACCAGATAGAAACACATGCGACCAGGAAGAAATGAAGAGTTCCAGAAATAGTAAGCATGGGGGTAAATAGAAAAGGCTTTTTTCCTTTCCTTAATTTTCTGAATGTGCAATTGATAATTTAAAGCAAATGAATGATAACAATATACCATGGGGTTTATAACATATGTAAAATAAAATATGTAATCATAATACTACAAAGTACAGTAGGAGGTAAATGAAGTATGTTGTACAGTTTTTATTACATGTGAAGTAGCATAATATTAATAAGTTGCAGTCTGTAAAAAACTAAAGTTGCATATTGCAATCTCTAGAGTAAGAGCTACAGATAAAAAAGAGGCATAACTAAAAATCCAATGGAGGAGATAAAATAAAATACTAAGAAATAACACAAAGAAAATCAGAAAAGAAGAAAAAATGAACAAAAATGGGGGAAATAAATAGGAAGCAAATAACATGATAGTAGATGTAATCTAAAATAATTGTTTATCAATAATTACATACATGCAAAGAAGCTAAGCACTTCAATTAAAACCTCAGTGCCTTAAGCACATATCTGGTTCTAATAACTTCACGGTCGATTTGGTTTTTAGTTGGTTTTTACAGCTCTGATTTTAGCTTTCTTTTTCTACTTTCCAGTACTTGTGGATTTCCTTTGTATGTTTTTGAGATAGGCTGAATATGAATTGTTTTTAAATAAATATATAATATTTACATAATTTTATATATATATGTGTATATATGTAATATAAATCACGGCTCACTGCAGCCTCGATCTCCTCAGGCTCAAGTGATCCCCCCACCTCAGCCTTCTGAGTAGCTGAAACTACAGGCACACGCTACCATGTCCAGCCAATTTTTGTATTTTTAGTGGAGATGGGGTTTCTCCACGTTTCCTAGGCTGGTCTCGAATCCCATGGCTCAATCAGTCTGCCTGTCTCAGCCTCCCAAAGTGCTGGGATTATAGGCATGAGCCATAGTGCCCGGCTTTTAAATATATATTTAAAGCATAACTTCCCTGTGTTTGGAGGTAGGGTAGGGAATCTGGGAGCTTCCCGCAGCAGTTCAGTCTATGATATTGGCAGCTTTATTTAAAAAATGTAAATAATGAATCCCAGCTGAATTTATTCCATCTTAAGCTAATAATAAGTTTCTAACTTTATTTTAAAAATAATTGGCTCATTGCCCTCATTTGCTAAATAACCTAGCCTTCCTCCACTGATTACAAACATTTGGGTGCATTGCTGTATTTCTGCTCTGTCACCATGCTTCTCTGTTTTTGCACCAGTAGTACAGTCTTACAATTATTTCAGCTTTCCATTATTTCATTCAGTCTTAGTGTCTGCTAGGTAAAAGCCCCTACCATCACCCCTATTCCAAACATTTTGGCTATTCTACTTAGATGAACTATAGGATAATTTTGTCAAGTTAAAACATTTTTTGTTTGGATTTTATTTGGGATAATGTTAAAGATGTAGTATTACTTGGGCGAAGAATTGGTATCTAAGTGGTCTTAGATTTTCCCACCCAGAAACATGACATGCTTTTTCATTTATTCAAGGCAAGAATGTCTCTCAATGAAGTTTTGCAGTTTTCTTCGTGCATGTTCTGTCCATTTTTTCATAAGGGTATTCCTCCATCCCTCTTCAGTAACTGTGTTTTGCTGAGTAAGATCTCTTTATCATATATGTAGGGTTTCTTGTCTTGACCTTGTGTTTAATGAATAGAGTATTAAAAAGGTTTTTCTTTTTAAACATTCACTAACATGGTAATGCATTAAAATTCTTTTTCTTTATTTTTATTTAACTGTTCTGTTTTGTTTTTTGAGATGGAGTCTCTGTCGCCCAGGCTGGAGTGCAGTGGTGCAATCTCAGCTCACTGCAACCTCCATCTCCCTGGTTCAAGCAATTCCCATGACTCAGCCTCCCGAGTAGCTGAGATTACAGGAGCCCACCACCACATCCGGCTAATTTTTTTTGTATTTTTAGTAGAGACGGTGTTTCACCATGTTGGCCAGACTGGTCTCGAACTGCTGACCTCAGGCAATCCGCCCACCTTGGCCTCCCAAAGTGTTGGGATTACAGGTGTGAGCCACAGTGCCCGGCCTATTTAACTATTTTTATTGAAGCATAAAATACAATAACATACAATAAACTGTGCAGGGGTACTGATCTTATGTGTTCCTCTTGGTGAATTTTTGCATCTGTATAATCAGGTCAAGATATGGCTCTTTCCAGTACCCCAAAAGCCCCCTTTATGTTCCACTTCCACCCACACCAACCCCTGAGGTAACTACTGTGTATTTCTATCAACAGGGAATAGGTTAGCCTGCTTATGACCTTAATATCAATCAAATCATGCACTATGTACTTTAGTGTCTGGATTCTTCCATTTAATATAATAGCTTAAGGTTCACCTGTTTTGTTGCACTTATTAGTACTTCATACCTTTTATTGTTTTGTAGTTTTCTATTGTATGTTTGTGGGTGCGTATGTGTTTATATATTTGTGTGTACACATGCACGTGAATATTTATGTACACACACCTATATTCCATGATTGACGTACCCATTCTCCTGTTGATGGGTCTGTGGGTTGTTTCTAGTTTTTTGCTATTACAAATAAAGCTGCTATGAACATTCTTGTGCATGTTTTTTTTCATGCACATATGTGCAGCTTATTGTTGGGTGAACACAATGGGTGAATTTGCTGGATCACAGGGTATGCACCTGTTGACTTTAATAGATGCTACCAAATGATATTCAACAGTGGTTATGACATTTTACATCCCAACCACCAGTGATTGAAAGGTCCAGTCGCTTCCTATCCTCACTAGCATTCGGTAGTGTCAGGCTTTTAAATTTTAGTTATTCTGGTGGGTGTGTAGTGGCATCTCATTATGGCTTTAGTTTGCATTTACTTGATAAGTAGTATAACGTGCAGTATTTTTTCACATGCTTGTTAGCCATTTGGATATTCTCTCCTTTTAAGTGAAATATTTTTACACATTTTAAAATTGGTTTGTTTTCTCGTTGATTTGTAGGAGTTGTTCATATATTTCAGATATGAGTCCTTTTTATTACCTGTACAAAGATATTTGTCTGAGACTTGCTTTTTTATTCTCTTAATGATTTCTGTTGATGAACAGAAGTCTTCAATTTTAGTGAAGTTCAATTAATCAGGTTTTTTTTTTTTAATTTAAGGCTACTAATTTATTGCATCCTAAGAAATCTTGGCTTCCTCCAAGGTCTTGAAACTATTCTATTTCCCTTTGGAAACTTTATTGTTTTATCTTTCATATTTAAGTCTATGATCCATCTCACATTAATTTCTGTGCATTGTAGGAGGTAGGGGTTCACACTTAGTTTTTTTGCCCTATTCAAGTTTCAGCACCAGCTGTTGAAAAGATAATTCTTTCCTCCACTGAATTACATTGGTATTGTCTTTGTGAATCAGGTGAGCATATATGTGGGTCTATTTCTGCACTGAATTTTATAACACTGATCAACTTATCTATTCTTTCACCAATACCATGCTGTCTTAGTTACTAAAGCTTTGTCATTTTTGTAAGACTCAACATTTTGTACTGTAAATTCTCCAATTTTGTTCTTCAAGGCTGTCTTAGCAATTCTAGGTCTCTTGCATTTCCTTGTAAAATTCAGAACCAACTTGTCAATTTCAACAACCATAAACTTTCTGGGATTTTGATTGTGATTTTATTGAACTTATATATCAGTTCAGGAAGAATTAATGTCTTAACGATATTGAGTCATCCAATCTGTGAACATGTGTGTCTCTCATTTATTTAACTCTTTTTAAATTTCTCCCAGTAATTTTGCTGTTATTGTTATTTTTTCAATATACAAGTCTTGCACATATTTTAACTTTATTCTCAAGTATTTCATAAATACATGTTTATAAATATGTACATAAATATTATATGTATATATATATATATTTAGAGACAGGGTCTCACTCTGTCACCCAGTCTAGAGTGCAGTATAACCATAGCTTGCTGTAATCTTCAACTCCTCAGCTCAAGCCATTCTCTCACCTCAATCTCCCAAATAGCTGGGACTACCACCATACCCAGCTACTTTTTTTTCTTTCTTTTTTTTTTTTTTTTTTTGTAGACAGGGTGTCACTATGCTACTCAGGCTGGTCTTGAACTCCTGGCCTCAAGTGTGTTCCTCCTGCCTTGACCTCCCAAAGTGTTAGGATGACAGGCATGAGCCACTGGGCCCGGCTTATTTTATATTTTTTGAATCCATTATAATGGCTTTAAAATTTTTCCTTGCCAATTGTTTGTGGCTATTTTATAGAAATGCAATTTTATAGATTGAGTTTGTATTAATGTACTTATTAGTTCTAATAGTTTGTAATAGATTTTTTGGAATTTCTACATACAAAATTAGGGCATTTGCAAATAAAGACAGTTTTACTTCTTCCTTTCTACTTTTTATGGTCTCTTATTTATTTTTCTTCAGAAAAGACTTCCAAATATTCTCTCTGTAGACTGATGGTCCTAATTGAAGTCATATGTAAAATGGCTATAAAAGTGCCAGGACAAGGAAGGCTTCTTTGGAAAGAATATTGGATAATTTAATTGAAGCAATGATCTGAATATGATTTCTCACTGAATGCCCCGTTGATAGAAAATGTTTACATACAAAAATGTATGCAATGTACATACATAATAAATATGTATATCAACAACAACATGGTGAATCACCTTCATAGCAAATGAAAAAAAAAAAAAAAACACAAAAAACCAACAACTTTGCCTGAAGGAAAATTCTTGTGGAGTTACCACAAAATGCTCAAAAGCTTGAATGCAGAGGTCTTAAAACAAACTTTGCTCCTATCAAACTTTGCCTCTTTATGTCTCAGGACTTTTTAGAAAGCAATTTTCCCTGTATTTATCCACATAAACACACAAGATAAGGGCAGGATTTCTGTCTTCTATTTCTAAGTTGCACCTTGCCAATTAGGTGTTCCATGGACGTTCCTTGAATGAGTGAATGCATGAATAAATGAAAAGAATGAATGAGTGGATGAGAGAACTCAGACCCAATCTTCAGTTTTCTTTGATAACTCACCCTGTTGGACTTAGAATTTATTTGCTATTTTCCATATGCTGTTCAGATAATCTGGTTTCCCATTTACAACTTGATTCCATTAAAGGAATGTTCCCAGCTGTAGTAAACTGTTTTCAAAGATTGTGCAACAATCTCTTTGCCCCCACTTGCCACATCTACCCTATTTCTCAGAGGTTACCCCTGGTAATAGTCAAACAGAGAATTAGAAAAAGTAGATTGGACAGAATTTGACTTTTTTTTTTTTTGGAGACGGAGTTTCGCTCTTGTTACCCAGTAACTGGGTAACCATTGCACTGGAGTGCAATGGTGCAATCTTGGCTCACTGCAACCTCTGCCTCCCAGGTTCAAGTGATTCTCCTACCTCAGCCTTCCAAGTAGCTGGGATTACAGGCACCCATCACCATGCCCAGCTAAATTTTTGTGTTTTTCTTTAGTAGAGACAGGGTTTCATCATATTGGCCAGTCTAGTCTCGAACTCCTGACCTCAGGCAATCTACCCACCTCAGCCTCCCAAAGTGCTGGGATTACAGGCACCCATCACCATGCCCAGCTAAATTTTTGTATTTTTCTTTAGTAGAGACAGGGTTTCACCATATTGGCCAGTCTAGTCTCGAACTCCTGACCTCAGGCAATCTACCCACCTCGGCCTCCCAAAGTGCTGGGATTACAGATGTGAGCCACTGTGCCCAGCCAGAATTTGACTTTTTTTAAAAACTAAATTTGGTTGTATCAATCGTTCTGCATGCATTGTATAGTTATGGTCCTGGAAGTTATGTTATAATTATCATGCAGCTTCAGTGAACTTCAATCCACCATCTACATGCTCTGACCTCTCTACTCATTGCCCCTCCATCTACATTGAAACAGGTGCTCCCACTCTCTGTCTGCACTCAACAGTCCTGCCAATGTCTATCAGTCCTCTATTCCCCATAATAGTTTACTCACTCACCCATGTACATGATCATCTCTCTATATAATTTCCGTAGACCCCAAGGGTCCCAGTGCAGTGCTTTGCAGAAAGTAGAACTTTAGAACAATACTTGCTAAATGCACAAAGTAAAAGAGGAGATGGACAGACGGGTAGACATCAAAGATGGGATGTAACCAATACACAGTCAGTGTTACAATCAGCAAGATATAGTATACATACATTAAATTACATTGGATTGTTTTCTAGTAATTACGGTTCTGGGTTTATAATGGTTTTGAGAGAGGCATTAGCAATTCCTACCTTGGATTAGTCACAATGTTTAGTTTTCTGTCGGAAGGCACATTATTTATTTAATGTCACAATACTAAAATCATTTCATTCTGCAATGTTCAATAAACAGAAAAAACCCGCCTAACATCTATATTAAATTGTTGCTAAGAAAGTAAACATTTCTCCCCCTGTTTTCTCTAAGTTGATTAAGCACCAGTATATTTAAAAATGTTTCCCAAGCCTGAGAAGGCTCCCCTCTGTACTTACAACTATTCGGTGTAGAATGTTTTTCCTACCACTTGATTACAATTTGGCAGTAGTTTCTGAATAATTTACAAATTTTAAATTTCTGTGCCCCAAACACACATGTGTTTGCAGCTAAACAGACTTGAAAGAATATGCAAATTGCACTTTTATGTCAAAAATGAGTGAATGCAGCTTCATGCAGAGAAAAAGCTAACTGTCACCCTTGTGTTTTTGTTTAGACTAATCTGTGTGCTGTCGCCCCCACATCAGACTGCATCAACATTTTCTTTGGGATATTAGACATAAATGTTTATGGCTGCAAAGAGCCTAGGAGGGATTGGCACTTATTAAAAACGACCCTGGAGTATTTTCTTTGGTTTCCACATAAATATCCCGGGGAAGCATTCAATGGAATGAGACTGCCAGGTAGAAGGAAATGAGCATTGCAGCAGGGTGCTGGGGTCTCCTGGGTCCTGTCACATGAGAGGCCTCATCCAGGAGTGCAGCAAGAAGGCTGAGACCAGAGAACTGGGTGGAGCTGTCTTCTTCTCACTGTGGAAGATGATGTTGCTGCTGATGGGAAATGTCTCCCCCTAAGGCCAGGAATTTCCGCTTCCCCTGCCCCTCCCCAAAACTTCAATTTTAAAGAGTCATCTAAAGACTAGATACCATATGTAGATTTCATCCCATCTTCAATGTGGAGGCCAAGCCTTGGTGTGTTATCAAGATGGGGCAACCTCCTACACCACACTCAGTTTCATTCACAGGACGAAGTAGGTGAGAGCTCACTATGCCTTCTCAAAGGTTGGGAGCTGGTTCCTGAAGTTGACACATGGAGGTGTTCTTTCTTGATTTTAGAAAAAGCTAAGAATTTTATACGAGCATCTCAGACATTGAGGACATGATTCTAGTCCTCTCTGATTCAACCAAAATTTATCAAAAATCCACTATACAAAGGCCCATTAAGTTCTCCTGATATTAACCTCTCCAATGTAATCACTGTCCTCTAGCTTTTACCCCTAGACTGCCTGAAATTTAGGTAATGTCATTGCACTCCCAGTTGTCTTTACCTCATATCATCCCACTACAGTAGCTATCACCAAGGTCACAAACCACCTCCACAAAACCAAACCAAATGAACATTTTCCAGTTTCCATCTCACCTCTCATCAGTATTGGTGCTTTTGATCACTTCCTCCTTTTTGAAACCCTTTTTTCTCTTGACTTCAATAACACCACACTCACTTTTTCTCCCTCCTATTCCTGGCAGCTCCTGTCTGTCTTTTTCTTGCAGGCCCATTTCTCTCTACCCAGTCTTTAAATGCTGACAGACTAGAAACCGCACAGTCATCTCAAGAGGCACAGAAAGAGCATTTAACAAAGCCCAACATTCTTTAGTGTTGAAAACACTCAGTAAACTAGGAAAAGAAGGGAACTTAACCTGACAAAAGCAAGGAAATGGAACCTGCCCTAGAGCCTCCAGAAAGGAGCAGATCCCAGACAACACACTCCAATCTAGCCTGGTGACACCATGTTGGACTTTGAATCCATTGAACTGGGAGATAAGAAATTTATGTCGTTTTAAGCCAATTTATCATAATGAGTTATAGAAGCAATAGAGAACTATTATAATACAGTCATCTATGAAAAACTCTAATAATACAGTATAATAATACAGCCATCTGTGAAAAACCCACACCTAACACCAACTTAAGGGTGAAAGACTGGATATTTCCCCCTTAAGATCAAGAACAAGACACGGATGTCTAGTCGCAGCACTTCCATTCAACATCTAATTCAGGGTATCTAATTCACGGTAATTAGGTGAGAAAAAGAAATAAAAAGCATCCAGATTGGAATGGAAAAAGTAAAACTAGCTCATATTTGCACATGAAATCATCTTGCATATAGTAAATCCTAAGAAAAGCACAAAAATTGGGCATAATAAATATGTTCAGAATAGTTGCAGGATACAAGATCAATATGCAAAAATTAATTGTATGTCTATAACTAGCAAGAACAATCAGAAAATAAGACAACGATTTCATCTATAATGACATCAAAAAGAAGAAAGTACTTAGAAATAAATTTAAAATAAGTTCAAGACATATATACTGAAAACGATAAAACCACTGAAAGAAATTAAAGAAGACTTTAAAAAATGAAAAGTTATTCAATTACAATTGATTGGAATATTTCAAATATTATTATGATATCAATACTCCCCAAATTGATCTACAGATGCAGCGCAATCCCTATCAAAATTCCAGATGGCTTTTCTGTAGGTATTAGTAAGCTCATTATAAAATTCATGTGGAAATTCAAGGGACCCAGAGGAACCAAAACAATACTGAAAAAGAACAAACTTGGAATACTCACACTTTCTACTTTAAAAACACAAAGCTATAGTGATCAAGACTGTGAAGTATAGGCATAAAAATAGACATACACATCCACATCGACGGAATAGAATTGAGAATCCAGACAAAAAAAAACCTCTTACATTTTTGGTCAATTGATTTTTGACATGGGGGAAATAGTCTTTCAACAAATGTTGCTGAGACAACTGATATCCACATGCAAAAGGGTGAACTTGGATCCTTATCTCTCTATGTACAAAAGTTAACTGAAAAGGGCCAGAGACCTTCATGTGAGAGCTGAAAATACAAAACTTTTAGAAGAAAATATAGATGTGAATCTTCATGTCCTCAGATTAGGCAATGGTTTCTTAGCCATGACACCAAGAGCACAAGTTGCAAAGAAAAATGTAAATTGCACTTCATCAAAGTAAAACACTTTTGTGCTTCAAAGAATATAATCAATAAAGTGAAAACCCACAGAATGAGAAAGAAGTTTTGTAAATCATACATTTCATAAGGGACTTGTATCCAGAATAAAAAATGTATATACAATGCTACAATAAAAAGAAAAATAATCCAATTTTAAAATGGGCAAAAGATTGGAATAAGCATTTCTCCAAAGAGGATATATAAATGGTCAAAAACACATGAGAAAATGCTCACATTATTAGGGAAATGCAAATCAAAACTGCAATGAGATGTCACTTCATGTCCACTAGGATGACTATAAAAAACAGACAATAACAGGCGTTGATGAGGATATGGAGAGCTTAAACCTCATACATTGCTAGTAGGAATGTAAAATTAATGCAGCTGCTTTAGAAAAACAGTTTGGCAGTTCCTCAAAAAGTTGAACATAGAATTGCCATATGACCCAGCAATTCCACTCCTAGGTATATAAAAAAATTGAAGACATATGTCCATACAAAAACTTGTATATCATTGTTTATAGCAGCCTTGTTCATAAAAGCCCTAAAATGGAAACAACTCAATGTCCATCAATTGATGAATGGATAAACAAAATGTGGTATAGCTATACAATGGAATATTATTTAGTGATCAAAAGGAATAAAATACTAACACATGCTACAACATGGATGGATCTTAATATCATTATGCTAAGAAGCTAGACATAAGAAGTCACATATTGTACAATTCCACTTATACGAAATGTCCAGATTAGGGAAATCCACAGATACACAAAGTAAATTAGTGGTTGTCAGAGGTTAGGAAGATGATGGAATGGGGATGAATGCTAATGGGTGTGTGGTTCGTTTTTGGGGTGACAAAAATATTCTGGAATTAGATAGCAGTGATAGCTGCATAACCCTGTGAACTTATTAAAATACTGAATTGTACACTTAAAAATGAATTTTATGTATGCAAATTATATCTCAATAAAGTTTTTATATATTAACAAGACAAAACAAAACAGTGGATGGGCCTCAAGCTTTGGTCCCAAGTCTATTCTTTTTCTGTATTTTCCCTGGGCAATCTCTTTGACTCCTATGGCTTCAGCTATAACCGAGGTACCTGTCAATCTCAAGTTTTTATCTCTATCACAAATCTCTCCTCTGAGTTTCTCTGAATTTCCTACTTGAAGGTTTCGAAAGCACCTCTCATTTGACATAACCCAGGCTAAAATTTTGCTTTCCTTTTCTGCACCAAAGCCTGGTCTTCCTTCAGTGTTGCCTATTCAGCAAGTGGCACCACCATCCACTGGTTTACCAGAGTTGGAAATGGGAATGACACTTTCTTGTTCTTATGCCTTGTTGGTGTTTAGGAGGTACAATAAACGACAGTCTCTTTCCTCTGCTCAAGTTGATATTCAGTGATGTCAGGTTGATATAGAAGAAGATCTTGTCGTCAGCTTTATTACTGATAAAGCCAGTACTGGAAAATATGGCTTAGTTGCTTGGTACCAGGTGATTTCCCAACACTGAGCCCCAGATGTAGGCACACTGAACACTCATTTATAAGCAGAACCAGCAACTGCAGCCTCCCCAAACAGGGCCCTGTCTCTGCCTAGCTTAGGGCAAACAGGAGCAGACAGAGATATGTATTTTCAGTGGTCAGAAAGAGGAGGGATCTGGGAGACAGACATAAACTTGGAATTTGTGGGTATCTCAACTGTAGCTCAGCCATAAGAGTGGGAGATTGCCTGGGGAGAGTATAGAGAAAGAATAGGATTCAAGACTAAGGCTTGAGGCTGGTCAACTTTAAAGGCTGCATAGAGGAATATGAGCTTTTGATGGAGACAGAGCACCAGCCAGAAAAGGAATGAAGTAATTGTGGTGTTGTGAAAGTCCATGGAAGAGTGTTTCAAGAAGGAAGGAGGTATCAAGCATCTTTATGCAGGGCCTTTGCACCTGTTGTACTCAGCTGACTGTTCTTCCCCACCTTTTTAGCTGCTTTAATTACTACTCATTTCTCCATCTAAGTGGCACTCCCACAGGGAAATCTTCCCTTATTCCTGACTACCAGGCCTGGGTTAATCTCTTTCCCCCTTTACATGCTCTTATGGTCCCTGAAAATTTCCTACAACCCCTTGTGTTGACTGAAATATGATTAATACAAATGTAATTTATTAATTGAAATGTAATTAAATGCACGGGTATCATTCATGTCCCCACTTCACTGGTACTTCCGTGACAGTCTATTCACCTCTCTAACCCTTTGCTAAAAAATATTGGTGAGTATATAAACAAATCAGGGAACCATTGTAACAGTTTCGCATAATAAGGGATAGGTTTCAGGCTCATGTGTGGGTGTTATTTTTGGAAATAGTGACGCTCTGCAGAAAATGCACTTGCCTCCTATGATTCATATTTTCTACTAAATAAAGATAGGGAATAAAATGTATTTGGACTTGAGGCCTGAATTTCAGTGAGCTTTCCTTTCAAGAGGCACCGGGGAGATTATCCTGCGAACTGTTGACCTTCCTGGAAGATTTTGAAAACCCACACCTGCGAATGGGAAGACCCTTTGTGCTTCATGAGTGTTTGGTGAGTGACACTGAGTGCTTGACAGTGGGGAGGTCTGGGCTCTTTTCTATAAAGATTTTATGGCAGTGACAATGGGATGAGAGCATTTCTCACATGCAGCAGAGCAGAGTTTGTCTCGTGTAGCTCTCCTGTGCTTGCAGCAATGAACCTTTGAGGATCGTCCTGCCATCTTGAACAACACATATACCTTCTTGTGCTCATTTGGACATCTTTTTAGTCTTATTGGGCTCTCTCTAATGGAGAGACACAGTGACCAATTTCACAACTAGGTATGTGGTCATAAAAAACTCATGAGCCGAAGTCCTCTGATGTTTGCAGTTTTCTTCCTCCACTTGTAAAAGTCAGCTTGAAGTTGGGTGATTCTAGTCACCCACTGGGTGTGAGCTGGGTTCCTACATGGACCATGTCTGGGACTTCTTAGATGTACTGATGATTGGGTGATGATGGAAATCTGGACCTGCTCACCCTTAAGACCTGTGTTAGCCCTACTTCACACTGCTATAAAGAACTACCTGCAGCTGGGTAACTTGTAAACAAAGAGGTTTAATTGACTCACCGTTCTGCGTGGCTGGGGAGGTCTCAGGAAACTTAGAATCATGGCAGAAGGTGAAGGCGAAGCAAGGCATGTCTTACATGGTGTCAGGAGAGAGGGAGAAAGGGAGAGGAGGAGAAGGGGAGACGGGGAGAGGGGGAGAGAGAGAGGCAGGTGAAAGAGGGAGGGAGGGAGAGAGAGAGACAGCGAGAGAGAGCGAGAGCAGGGGAAGAGCCGTACAATTATCAAACAACCAGATCTCGTGAGAATGCTATCACGAGAACAGCAAGGGGGAAATCCACGCCCATGATTCAATCACCTCCCAGCAGACCACTCCCCCAGCATGTGAAGATGATAATTTGAGATGAGATTTGGGTGGGAACACAGAGCCAAACCATATCAAGAACCATCTGTGCTTAATATGCCTCTGCTCATTATTGGGATTTAACTCAATAGCAGTATAAGTTACCGTGAATATTTGCTGAAAAGCATAACCTACTGACCTCTGTGGGGACATTAAAGGTATACTACCAGAACTCATAATTTTGTCCTTCTTTCCAAAGCTTTCCTGGAGTAGCCTTTTACTAGGGGCAGAGACGGAGAAGTACAGAAGAATGCATTTTGAAGAATCATTTTCTCCTCTCTGTCTCCTTTGGCAAGGATTGATGGGTGTCTGCTTAAACAAGCGGCATCCTGTACACCCTGACCTCGGCCCTTGCCCCTACCTCCTCCTTCAGAGCCTTGGTTGTCCCATAGTTGCTACCTGTACCCTACCTAAGGCCCCTGCCTTTCATGTGGTCCAACTCACACTGTTGGGGACCAAGAAAAACAAGCTTAGCTGGTAATAGCACAGTCTTAGGAGTCAGACAGACTTGGGTTTGAATACTTGGTGACCTTGGGCAAGTTACTTAGCTTTTCTGGAACTCTGTTTCCTCACCTGGAAGACTGAGATAATAGTACCCACTGCCTCATGAGGTAGTTGGAGGAATAAATGAACTAATGCAGACAAAGCAGAGTGCCCGGAACGTCAAGTTGTCAAATAACTGTCAGTTATCATCATTGCCTTCATCATCATCATCATTATATCCATCAGTAAATTTTAGTTACAAGTGACAGAAGCACAGCTTAAGTGAATTTAAGCAAAGAAAGAAAATAGTTTGGCTTGGTTAACTGAAATGTCCAAGAACAGACTTAATCTAGAGCTTCAACAACATCATCCGTGCTCAATCTGTCTCTGAATCTCACTTTGCTTTTTTCTATCTTGGCTTTATCCTCCAGCAGGTGGATAAAAAGATAACTGAAGGACCCTAGCCCACAGAGGCTCAATCTCGCTTCTCCTCCAACCACAAGGCCTGTGTATATGCATGGGGACACTCCAACCCATGTGTCCAAGCTCCAGCCACAAATCTATCTCCCAGAATACAGTCTCCCCTTGTTCTCAGAAACGCAGACTGTGGAAGAAGCCTCCATGGGCCCTGAAATAGGCTCAAGACTCTTTGGGAAGGAATTCCAGGGTCCTGGGCATCAGGAGCATGGTGTAAAAGTGGGAACGGAAACGATGCAGGCTCAAGATGGGCATGTTCAGTTGTTCCCACAGAATTGTCACCCCATGGGGAAGGGTAGGGCCAGATGAGGGCCAGAACAGAGCTTTTTAATGTGCAGGCGCCCTGGTTCCCAGGTCTAAGAGAGGTATTTACTTACTAAGGAGCATATTTATTCACATAGTGATTGCTGTGAAACAGTCTAACACAATGCAATCCAGGATATAATTACGTGTTGTGGAGGTTTTAGAGAAGAGAGGGATGGATGCCAACAGGAAAGAGGGTCTTGGAGGATGGAGAGATTGGGATAGGCCCAGGGCGACACTAGGTCTGCCGTATGTAGGCACAATAGGGAGCCCAGCCTAGTAAGACAGAAGGTGTGTGCGGGATAAATAGGAGAAGGCTAGGGGGTGGGGTGGGAGTGAGGGGGCTGGAGGAGACATTTAGCAGGGCTCTACGGGGGAGGTCAGCTCCAAATCTGTTACCATAAGAATTACGGAGTCTTTGAAGTTTGTGAATAGAGGATGATGGTTGGAAGTGGTGATTGAGAAGCTGGAGCTGAAAGCATGATGCTGGTGGATAAAACGGCCCAGAGCTGAGATCTAGGCTAGTAGATGAGGAATCAGACCAGGGCTACTGTGAAGATGACAAATTAGGGGGAAGTAGAGAAGGAGGAATGCTCATACATAGTCCACGAAAGAGGCTACACTAACAAAGTGACCACATCCAGATCTGATGTCCCCAGAAGAACCAAGTACCTAGCACCAAGTGAGTTGCACACGAATGTGTTGCCAAGTTCAGCTGTTGCAGTAGATGGGATGGACACATGTCCAGTCTTATTTGGTGGTTATGACGACCATCTTAACTGCATGAGGTGTTGAATTTTTTCTTTTTTCTGTTTTTTTTTTTTTGAGACGGAGTCTCGCTCTGTCCCCCAGGCTGGAGTGCAGTGGCGCGATCTCCACCTCCCATGTTCACGCCATTCTCCTTCCTCAGCCTCCCGAGTAGCTGGGACTACAGGTGCCCGCCAACATGCCCTGCTAATTTTTTGTATTTTTAGTAGAGATGGGGTCTCACCGTGTTAGCCAGGATGGTCTCGATCTCCTGACCTCATGATCCGCCGGCCTTGGCCTCCCAAAGTGTTGGGATTACAGGCGTGAGCCACCGTGCCCGGCCAGTGTTTGCTTTTCAATTTTATTCCAGTCTCATGATGGGCAAATTAAATGCAGTGAGTCCATGGGGCTTGGCCTGGCGAGGGTTACCACCTCTGGGTGTCCCATGGACAGAGCTGGCACCTTGGGCTCAGGCTGACACACTGGTGAGGTTCCTGTGGCCAGAATGGAGAGCTTTTCCCTGGATGGCTTTGCTGGGCAGTTTGTAGGGCCCTGTTTGTTGGTAAGGGGTGAATGTGTACTTGAATGCATTTGTAAAGGGGGCTTCCAATCCTGGACTGTGCCCACTGGCTTCTCACATGAGGAAGGGTCTCCACAGTGCCTGCCAGCTTCATGACTAGAGCGCTGGTGCCCGCAGGCCCAGGTGGGTCCCACCAAAGCCTTGGCTCCTACAGCATGGGGCATACACAGGGACTCAAGGGTATTCCTGGGAGTGAAAAAATCATGCACGGCCATGTGTTGCAGATCTAGCCTTAAAGCTGGGCAATTTTTAATTACATGGTGTCAGTCAACCCATAATTGTTTATTGATCACCTACTGTGAACTCTGCATTGTGTTGAATGCTGCATGAGACACAGAAGAAATTCAAAGGACTTCTAAAGAATATAGAGGTTTTGAGTCTGAGGACTTGGGTTCAAGTCCCAGCACTACCATTTACTGGTTATGTGGACTTTATTAAGTCTTTCAACAGTTTCCTTATCTGTAAAATTGGCACAGAAACACAACCTATCTGACAACATTGATAGAGAAATACATGAGATAGCTATAATGATATCATAAGCTGACAGATATTTATTCTAATTGAATACGTGGAGACTAAAAAATTGATAATTTTCTAATGTTTAATAATAAAAATCCTCCAGTTCTATAATTCAATAGTTCTATGAAACTTTTTCTCGCTCCCAGGAAACATGTCATCTGACTGTAGGAATAAAACTAAGACACGTGTATAAGAGCAATGAATACAAGAGAGAAAATATCCATATTTAATGAGACAGAGCATAAGAGCCATTTGGTATTTTCTCAACTTTGATGTCATTTTCTTCCTTCCTGATTGTCACATTTCTAGAAGTATCTGGTTTCTCCATAGGCTCCTGAATGTGGAAAGTATCTGTAGCTAAGAGACAATTAGAAGCCACTGTCTCCCCAGCCGCCGTTTACAGATGGGGTGACCAAGGCCTAGGGAAGAGAGGAGTCCTGCCTTGCAAAGATGGTGCCGTTAGGAAGTGGTAGGACCAGGACTTGACCTCTACTGGTTCTTTCCAATCTACTCTGCTGCCCTCTGACCTGGCAGTCATCCACAAGGTGTGAGATCTGGGTGATGAAGGGGCACCTCCCCACTTCACTGCAGGCCACTCTTTGCTTTCCTGTCCTGGGTGGTCCGTCACACATAACCATGTCTTTATAATAATTTATTTTGGCATGAACACACACACACACACACACACACACACACACACACACACACTCACAGAAGAAAGGGAATTTTCAAGTAGGAAATAGGTGGGGAGATAGGTAAGCTAGCCCTCAGCGCTTCTGTCCCCCAGCAGGGTGCACTCCCCCTGACCTTAGGCCTTCTAGGCCCACACAATCCTCATCTCAAGGAAGGATGGCCCATAGCTGCTACTCTCTGTGTGATCCCTCACCAGAAGAGAACGGACCATGAGATCCAGGAGAGAATTTAAAAAATGCCTGACTCTGACCCTATGAGCTGGAATGGAAGAGGAAGGCGGGGCCGCCAGAGCAGCTGCAGCAATAAGAATTTGCTTTAGGTGCTTCGGTGGCGGGAGTGGAGGGGAGCAGTCGTTAGCCTCCCCTGGAGCTAAGCACTGGAGCAGGGGGCGTCCAAGTGCTGTTCTTGGTTTTGCCATTTTCATATCTGGCAGGAGCTACTAATCCTTCATTACCGAAAATAACTTCTTTATCCAGGACCCAATCACTGTGAAACCTCATATTATCAGGATGCTGTTCCTTCAGTTTCTACAGTAACCTATTTTCCTAATGATGTCCCTGAGGGCCTGCAACGCCCTGGAACGCCTTCTGAATCATTGAGGAGTATGCGGTTGTGTTCAGTCTAGTTTCAATGTGAAGGGATTCTTACTGTGTTTTTCCAAAGCACGAAATAAATGGCAACTCATGGGAACTACTCAAATGCTCTAGAGAAACAAAAGACACCTGTCTATGGAATGACAGTATGGAGCAGTCATTTCAGCCACTCTGGACGTCCTGACATCCATCCTAATCTACATGTACCTGCATATGGTGAATCCATGTGTATCTACCTCAGCTCTGGTTCTATCTATGATGTTTTGTGTTTGTTATCTGGGGTTTGAGGACATGCATTTTTTGCTTATCCTGCTTTGCTTTTTGACGGCAAACTCCTCAAGAGTGTGAAACATCCCTCATTGGTTCTCTGTCTTCCAAACATGCTTCTCTGCTGACGGTGGTCACCCAGGTACTAAGTCCATGGAGCTGCTAAGCTCACTACAGGGCCATCTCTAGTCAGAAAACTGCCAGTTCCCTCTAGACAAGTGTCATCTGCAGAAAAATAAACCTACCTCCCAAAAGTGATCAGTCCTTGGGTCTGCATTTCCCAAGTACTTTGGCTCTTTTTCCTGGAAGTCAGTCTGCCAGCAGATCTCCAAGGAGAGCTATCCACATCACAGTTTCTGCGTGCTGTCTTCACATACTGCCTTAATTACATTATTGCCTCCAGGGACAGGAGGTGGTGAACTGAATGGGGGAAACAGCAGGCAGGGCAGAGGCAATAAGGAAACCTTGGCAATGATATGATAGGGGGCACAGATGTGGCCTTGCATTCTTTCTATGAAATGACCTCTGTAACTCAAGAGGACAAGAACCTTATGTGTCCAGTTCCCCTTTATATTCTTAGCACTGAGGTGAGTGCTCAGTTTATGTTCAATAAATATCTGCTGAAGGAATGACACTTGGGCTTCCAAGCCAGTTCAGCCCTTCATGAACTCTCCGGGTCTTTTGCTTTTCCTCATCTCTAAACTGAGAGGGCTGCTGCTGTAGTTCATTTATACTGCTGTATTATATTCTACTGCATAGATCTCAGACATATCATGTTGAGTGGGAAAGAAAAGTAAATATTAGATAATGACATGCAATATTAATTACCATCTTTCAAAGCTAAAAAAAAAAGCAAAAGTAAACAATATGCTGTTCAGGGATACATAGTATATCAGTCAGCTATTGCCACAATAATGCTGCCTAACAAATGACTCCAAAACTCAGTGGCTGACAACATTCATGTATTCTTACCCAGGTGTCTGTGGATTGGCTGGGAGTTGGTTAATCCAGGCTGGGCTCAGTTGCACTTAGTTCTAACTTCAGATTGGGTCCAGGTCTTCCCCATAGGTCTCTCATCCTCCTTGGAGCAGCAGGTGACCTGAAGCATGTTTTTCTCATGGCAGAGGCAGAAATACAAGTGGGGAATGTGGAAACAGGTGATTCCTCTTAAGGCCTGGGCTCAGAATTTTCACCGTCACAGCCTGCAACATTCTACTGACCAAAGCAAATCTAACATCTTGGGCAGAGAAATGTATTTCACTTCCAATGGAAGGAACTGCCAAATTATATGTCAAAGGAAGGATATTTAACTCAGAGCAATAATGCAATCTACCATGCTAACATATTTGGCAAAACTATAAAAATCATTGTGGGGGGTGGGGCTATAAACATAAAGTCCCGGACAGTGGTTATTTCTGTTGGGGAAGTAGGAGGGACATCAATTGTAATGGTCTGGTTCTAAGGTTGAGTGGTGGGTTCACAGGTTTTATTATTATGCTTTATAATTTGCATACATATTATCCTGCACATATCAAATGTTACATAATTAAAACAGTACATTTAAATAAATAGGTAAAGGGTGTGATCCAACTATACGAGAGGTTCTTTTCAGTGGTAACATTATATGTTCTACAGTTCTAAGGTAAGCAGGAACTAGGAGCTCACCTCTGGAGATGGAAAGCTCCTGAACGTTCAGCAGGAATCCTGGCCACCCGGCACCCAGGCTCAGACAGAGGCCTTTCTTAGTGTGGGAAGGTGAGAAGATGTATTCCTTGCCTAGAGAGCTATGAGAAGTCTGTAGGAAACAATTCAATTCAGATGTGAGATAGCACAGAGAGCCCTTGTTTCAACTGCTGGCTGACTTGGCTGCATATCCCAGTGGATACTCTGGCCTTGGGAGAGTTAGGTTATCCTCTCAGTCTGTTTCCCTGTTCACGGAGGAGAGGTCGCTATGTCATATCTCGGAGGATGGCTATGAATCTTAGAATGAGGGAGTTTCTATTTGATTTCTGATGTTGAGCACACAGGCCGTGAGGCACAGTGTGTTGCAAAGTTGAATACCTGTGTCTGAATCTGACTGTGCTGCTGGTGAGATGGGGATGGGTCCTCAGGCAGTAAGTTAACTTTTCCAGTTCTCCGTTGCCTTCTGTAATGTAAAGACATATGTTCTGTGGTTGAAATGAATGCTATGTGTTATGTAGCTGACACATAGAGGGGAGGGCTCCATAAATGTTAATCCCTTTCCCCTCCCACTTCCATCCTGTACGCAGCTTCCTTCCATCGATGGCACAAAGATGGTGGGGGAAAGAGGTCGAGTTCATGACCAGGTGTCTTCAGGAGGAGAGACGGCATGGATGTTGAATCCAGGCTCCTTGGTTGAAAGGGTGTCTCAGGTGTGGGTACTGGGAGGGGGTTGGGCCTAGGGAAGGATTATGTTTTCCATTATTCAAACATCTCCAATTTCAGCCTCCAATTTGGGGAAGCAAAATAATTTTGGCCCCCCAAGCAGTATCTGTCTCTGGAACTCATTATCTGCTTTGTTAAGTTCAGAGACATTCTGATAAGGGTAATTGAATTAGGCTTCTCAGGACTCCTACAAGCAGGCTGGCTGCCACAGTAGGGGGTCTTGCTGTCCAGGCTTCTTGACACGCAGGCTCTCCCTCCACTGTTCTGCTTTGGAGTGGGCCCTCCTGGGGGTTGCAGTGCCTTGGGCTTGGCCTTTGAAGATCTTTGCATTGCAGGGAAGCCTCTCTACACTCCAGAGTCTCATCATGCTTCCCAGGGTCCTGCTTTAAATCTCTTCCCAGCCCACTTTGGAGGCCTCTGGAAGTGAGGGGGGCAAGAAGTCTTCCCTTGAGGTGGAGGAATTTCTGGAGGTCAAGGAAATGTCCACCCGGGGACAAAAGAGCAAGAGGTCAAGGTTCAAATGATGTTGACCTAAATTTTTCCCAATTCCAGAAGGTTTTTTTTTGTTGTTTTTTTTTCCCTCAGGGAAACTTGCTTCCACCCTTCTCACAGATTTGGCAGGGCTCTGACACCTGAAATGACAGAAGCCTGGTCATTTGGAGATATTATTATGACAGCAGCCACTCAAGTTTTCAAACATCTGCAATAAGAGTTACATGACCCCTGTCAGAATGTGTGCAGACCAGGCCTCTATTTCTCACACCTTGGCCATGGTCTCTATACTCCCACCCATTCTTCCTCTTCTTGTGACCTGGCACTAAAAAACCTCATCAGGCCTGTTTGCCGCACACCTCTTAGGAGTTGTTTTTATTTCCTCCCATCGAACCAAGGCCTCATGGAAACTTAGCATAAAGGGAATAGTAACTATGCAGTGTGCCCTTCAAGGTCAGAGCAAGACCTTTCAGTTCCATGAATCTGTTAGTCCTGCCTCATTTCTCCAACCTCTGCCCACCAGGCAGCCCTACGTATCCATCCCCTGATGAGCCCACTGAGCTCCCATCAGTATTATAAGCAAAAGTAATGTATTTCAGAGACCACTAGAACAGATCTGGGTTCAAACCCCAACTCTAGAATTTACTACCAGTGTGATGTTTGGTAACCTGAGAGGATTAGCATTACGCAGAGGCTCCCGAACTTCCTCAGTTCATAGTGTCTTTAGCATCTCAGTAATTTTTCACAGTATCTCTAGGCCTTAAGAAAAATGTGTTTCATTTATCAGGAAGTTAGAACCAAACTATGTAATAGGAATTTATGTCCTGACAAAGTAATTACATATAAATTGAAAGAAAAAAGTTAATAGTTTGATTTTATTTTATTTTATTTTATTTTATTTTTTTTTTTTTTTTGAGAAGGAGTCTCACTCTGTCACCCAGGCTGGAGTGCAGTGGTGCGATCTCGGCTCACTGCAACCTCTGCCTCCTGGGTTCAAGTGATTCTCCTGCCTCAACCTCCTGAGTAGCTGGGATTATAGGCATGCGCCACCACACCCGGCTAATTTTGTATTTTTAGTAGAGATGGGGTTTCACCATGTTAGCCAGGCTGGTCTTGAACCCCTGACCTCAAGTGATCTGCCCACCTTGGCCTCCAAAAGTGCTACGATTACAGGTGTGAGCCACCGCGCCTGGCCGATTTTATTCTTAAGTAGTAATGATTGCTTATTAGTGGGATGCAGACACCTATTGGGCACTGTACAACTTCTCAGACCTTGGAATCTGACTGAACATTGCTTCCCTCATCTCCTGTTACATATTGACTTTCATTGCTCCACAAAGATGTGACATCATCAAAAGGAATGCAGTATGATCTAATGTTGAAACTGTGAACTACCTTGAGCTAGTAGTTTGCACAGTGTCTAACAGACATTAAGCATCATGATATTACCCTCAAAAATTTAAAATAATCCACGGTCTCCCTACAAATTTGCTTTGGCATCCAGAGTGGGAACTGTAGCAGTAGTGTTTGAAAAGTACCTAACATATTGTAGACATTTAAAAAATGGCAGCTATTATGACTTCTCTTTGAACTTTTAAAGTCACATTTGGTTGCCCTATGACTAAATTGCCGTGCCACCAGGCTAGACTACAGTCTCCCTGAAGGTTGACTTATCTAGGTATCCCCTATGAATGGAACAGAGTATGTGTTGGGTAAATGTTTCTTTAATGGTGGATGGATGGATGGCTTTTGGACCGCTCATCTCTTGGTTCATCTGTATTTACAAGCATGTGTGTATCTATCCATTATTGCATCTATGCATCCTATAAGCAGCGGAAACTTGACTTCTTTGTCAGCTGGAGCTGCCTCTCAACCCCTGTCCCATTCTAATGGATGGTGTTGACTCCTCTTCCTCTTTCTGTCTACCTCATGTTGCCTTGAAGAACCATCATCCTTTGGGCATCAGCTCTAGGATTATCTTTCATGCCTGTAGCTTGTTTTCTCAAAGTCTCTTCAAATTCTTGTAGGATAGAAGCAGGCCTAACTCGCCCATGAATTCCTGCATTTTCTGGTGTGGAATGTTGCTTACAGGGCTGACTGTGGACTAGGTGCTCAGTAAATACTTGCTACATGAATGACTTGATTTATGTTGTGGTTTTATGCAGAAACCAATGTCAACATTTTGATAAACTTGTCTAGTGACTCATTAATTACAAAATATGCAGCAAGTGAGAAGCCAGTACAGCCTCATGGCTCAGTGAAGGAAAGAAGAGTCAGGACAACTTCAGCAGTCAGCGAGGGCTTCACTGAGGAGGGGGCCACAACTGGATGTTGAATGGTGGGCAGGATTCAGAGGAGCCAAAGGAAGGAGGCAGGCTTTCAGGACTGGGATGATAGGGCACAGCAAGAAAAATGGCCTGGAGGAAGAAATGGGCTGGGTGCATGAGGGCCCAGAGAAGCAAAGGGCTTACTTGTATAGAGAGAGAATGAGATGGAATTCCAAGGAGTAACGTTGGCTAAGAAAATCCTAAGATCTTGAAAGCTAGGAGGAAGTACTTTAAAATGTGAACATTAGCAGTTAACTGGAAGGTATACTACAGAGTTGGCTGCATAACGGTGGTTCCACCATATTGAATCACTTTACCTAGGGAAAGGGGACAAGGGGTGGAGGGAAAATTAAAATAATATGCCCAGTTACAGGAGAAGTCCAAATGAAAACATTTTGCTTGGGTTTAACTGGCCATAGGTCTGATGGTTTTCTATCCACCACACAAGTAAATAGCTCAAGGGCAGGCTGCCCACCAGCATAAGCCTTTGTGTGGAAAATACTGCCAGTGTGGCCATGGAAAATGCCCTCTTGCTGACCATAATTATACAGAATGTGTGCAAATAAAAGCTGAAAGAAAACCCTTTTGCAGAAGCATGGTTTTTTCTGTTCTTATTTTGACAGAGTGGAAGAGAAATTCACAGACCATTTTCTCATTCTCCTAGTTGGGGCAGAATGAGCTCATGCTGCATGGCTGGGCTGGGGGTTGGGTTTCAGTGAGAGGCCTAAAAACTGGTTTCTCCACAGAGGCCTACATTGATGGGTCTTTCAGTCCTGAGATGGCTTGGTGTGGGGATGAGGGTCATTGAGGAGAAGGCCGCAGAGGCCGTTTCTTTGTTTAGCTCTGATTAACCAGAAAGGTTTGATCTTCTTCAGCCAAAGGGAGATGGGAGAAGTTGGGGGTGTTTAAAGCATGTATCTACTTTTTAAGGTGAACTTCAGCAGAAGGTAATTCTTCTGAGTCCCCAACTCTTTCGTGTGGTTCCCATCAGAGACAATTTCTGACTCTGAATAAGCCCAGAGCATGACAAATGTCTCCTAGAGAGAGTCCTCTTTAAGCCACAGGATAACAGATTTTGTTCCTTCAAGTTTTACAACTGCCCTTCCAGAAAACTGCCCGTCCTCTTCTTCTCTTGGATATTTTTAGGAACACTTGAGTGAAAAACACTTGAATGAAGAGTTGGTATTTGCCAGTCTGGCAGTGATGCATGCCTGGATTACCTGGTCCCATCAGGACTGGGCTCCAAAGTGCAAAGAGGCAAAGGATCGACAGCTGCTTTGGTCCAGCTCTGAGCTGCAAGGAGAAGAGAGATACGCTCAGGGTCCCTGCAATTATAGAAGATTTATTGCAGGACACACATGCAGTGGAGCTGGAAATGGTCTAGGAACTAGAAAATTAGAAGAATCCAAGGTAACCCTGGAGACCAGTCCCCTTCCCAACATCTCTTGGTCTGTCTGCCTGTCTGGCTCATTCTCTCTGCTTACTCATGGATTCTTTACTTCACCTTGCCTAGGGCCCATCACGACTGCCAGCTTCCTTCACTTCAGCAACTCTCTGTACAACTTTTGGCCTCTATCTCCAATGTTATCTGGCTATTTCTCAGTTTCTTTCTTTCTTTTTTTTTTTTTAAAGACAGAGTCTTGCTCTGTCACCCAGGCTGGAGTGCAGTGGCACAATCTCGGCTCACTGGAACCTCTGCCTCCCAGGTTCAAGCAATTCTCCTGCCTCAGCCTCCCGAGCAGCTGTGACTATAGGCACGTGCCCAGCCTCAGTTTCTTAAGAGAAATATAAAGGGCTCAACTAGCCTTGATCATTTGGAGGGGGGCAGGGTCTAATGGTCTGGTCAGCTCATGGTTTGGTTGCCCTTGTGTTGAGCACCCACCCAGAGCGCAGTTCATGGAGGGGTGGACAACATAAGGAGCAGAGGTTATGAGTTGGGGTGTGGACAAAGCAAGGACCACTTGCCATATCTATTACAATAATCATTCTGAACAGCACTGATAGGGAAGGCTGTGGTGAGACTACACACATTGTTTTGATCAGTTTAGCTAACATTTATTTCAAATGTAAAAAAAATATTTTTTTGGCCAGGTGTAGTAGCTCACACCTGTAATCCCAGCACTCTGGGAGGCTGAGGCGGGTGGATCACTTGATGTCAGGAGTTCAAGACCCGCCTGGCCAACATGGTGAAACCCTGTCTCTACAAAAATATACAAAAATTAGCCAGGTATGGTGGCACATGCCTGTAGTCCCAGCTACTCAGGAGGCTGAGGCAGGAGAATCGCTGGAACCCAGGACGTGGAGGTTGCAGTGAGCCAAGATCATGCCACTGCACTCCAGCCTGGGTGAAAAAGTGAGACCCTGTCTCAAAGGAAAAAAATTATTTTTATGAGAAGAAAGAACCTGATAATGAATACCAGGGGACTGTGACATAGTCTAAGACACACAGGTATATTTGTACCCAATAATACCCAAATAGCCTGGTAAATAATCTATACTTCTCACTTCAACTCTTTAGTGTCATGTTGGAGAAAAAACCTCATATTCCATCAAAAACAAAGCAAACCTTATTCAACTGGCTGTTCGCATTTTTAAAATGTGTTTTGTGTTTTAAACATATCATCTATTCAAAGGAGATGAGAGGAATTATAATGTTCAGGTTAAAACCCCCATTTCTTTTTAAACTTAACTTCTTGGGAAGACAACCCTACTTTGTCATAAGCAATGCCTCAGGATATGTAAATGCAACCGTGACCTGCCAACATGTATTTAGCATATTCTGGACTCTGTGACAGGTCCCCTTAGTTACAGCAGATGTTGTATTCAGGCATGGCAGAGGGACATGGCAAAGTTTGGGTATAGAATTTAGGATTACATTTTGCTACTAGTAACACATATCCAAATAGCACTAGATAAGACAAAGAAGTTCATTTTTCTCCCGAGTCAAAGTTTACAACAACCCATGGCTTTGCTGTGTTCATTCCAGCCTTGGGAACTCCAATTCTCAGGGGTGGTCCTCCTCCTCCTGTGGTCCAAGACAGAGCTCCACCTGTTGAAACAGCTCTGTTTCAAGCAGTAGGAAGGAGGAAGAGGGAAAGAAGTAGCACAGGGCATGTGCTAGCTTTGTCTTAAGGAAGGTCCTGGCCAAGCAGAACTTTGGGAGGCCGAGGAGAGAGGATAGCTTGGGGCCAGGAGTTTGAGGCCAGCCTGGGCAACATCATGAGACCCTGTGGCTACAAAAAATAAAAAATTAGCTGGGCATGGTGGTGCATGCCTGTAGTCCCAGATACTCGGGAGGCTAAGGCGAGAAGATCACTTGAGCCTAGGAGTTTGAGGATGCAGTGAGCCATGTTTGTGCCACTGCACTGCAGCCTGGGTGACAGAGCAAGACCCTGTCTTAAACAAACAAAACTACAAAAAAGGTCCTTAGACTGTGCTACATGGACTTCTGCTTACACTCCATTGGTCAAAGCTTAGTCATATGCCACACCTAACTACATGAGACAGAAATGTAGTCTTTATTCCAGAAAGCCACTTGCCCGATAAAATAACTATGCGTATGAATCAGGGTTCTCTAGAGAAACAGAATCAATAGTTTGTGCAAGTCTATGGAAAGAGACTTATTATATGGAACTGATTTACATGATTATGGAGGCAAGCAAGTCTAAAATCTGCAGGTGGGCTGGCAGGCTGGAGAATTCTCTCTTGCTCAGGGGAGGCAGGTCTTTTGGTTCTATTCAGGCCTTCAACTGATAGGATGAGGCCCACCCACATTATGGAAGGCAATCTGTTTTATTCAGATTCCGCTGATTTAAATGTTGTTCATCTCATCCAAAAACACCCTCACAGAAGCAGCCAGAATGACATTCGACCAAATATCAGAGCACCCCAAGGCCCAACCAAGTGACACACAAGATTAACCATCACACATACAAGAAAGGAATTAACCTTTACATTATGGAAGAAGTGGAGCCGGATATTGGGGACAATAGCAGACTCTATCACTCTGGGAACCAGCAACCTCTTTTTTTCTTTTTTTTTTTGAGACAGAGTCTCCCTCTGTCACTCAGGCTGGAGTGCAGTGGTGCGGTCTCGGCTCACTGCAACCTCCACCTCCAGGTTCAAGCGGTTCTCCTGCCTCAGCCTCCTAAGTAGCTGGAATTACAGACGCCTGCCACCATGCCGGGCTAATTTTTGTATTTTTAGTAGAGACAGGGTTTCACCACATTGGTCAGGCTGGTCTCGAACTCCTGACCTCGTGATCCACCGGCCTCAGCTTCCCAAAGTGCTGGGATTACAGGCATGTGCCACCACGCCCAGCAAGCAACCTCTTTTATAAGCAAGAATGTAAAATATCTGAGGGCAATGATTGTCGCCATCATAATTGCAATTTTCATGATACTTTGCACAATAATGGTAACCAACAAATATTTGTTGTGTTAATAAAGAACATATTCAGTGTGCAGAGATGATTAAAATGAGCTGGAACCACAGAGGGGAACAAACTCAGCAAACTTTTTCTAAAGGCTCAGAAAGCACATATTTTCAACTTTGTGGGCCATGTGGTCTCTGGCCCAGCTCTCCAACTCTGCACTTGTAGATGAAAGCAGCCACAAGATAATATGTAAATGGATGGATGTGGCCAGATTTGACCCAAGGGCAGCAGTGTGCCAAACCCTGGACAAGACTATCAAACTGGGAAGGATCTAGCATCTCATTTTATAGGAAACCGGAGCAAATTGTCTTGCTCAAGGTTACACCTTGGTCAGTGGCAGCAGAACCAGGACTAGATCATAGGTCTCCTAACTCCTTGTTCAGTACTTAAGACTTATCACTCAAAAATTAATTTTTGAGGGTTAACAATGTGTAATGGACAGCTCTTATTCCTCACTCAATTTCACAGACCTTGGAATAACAGATGTGATGTGTGTGTGTGTGTGTGTGTGTGTGTGTGCACGCACGCTTGTGTATGTGTGTTAACAGCCACGGGGAAGGATCATTGTCCTGCCATGGGCCTGAGAGGGCACAGGTGTTTCATGACAACATCACATCCACCTCCATGGATTCCTTGTCAGAGGAAACAGAGCATAGTATGCCGATCCCACACCTACCACCTCCTGAAGTCATTCATGCCTTAACGAGGGGCATAGACTGAGACCTGGTCTTATCTGTCAGCTGTCAAACTGGACAGGATACCATATGAGAAGAGGATGCCAGGGCAGGTGCATGCTGGGAAAAAGAAAGCCGGGCCCACTTTCCAGAACCTGAGATGCTATCCATATAAAGCAACTTCTGCCACTGTGGCGGCCATCACTACTCTATGGCTGTGCTGTCCAATGTGGTAGTGTGTGTAGCTATTGGGTAGTTGAAATGTGGCTAGTGTGACTGAAGAAGTGAATTTCAAATGTATTTCATGTTAGTTCATTTAAATTTAAATGTAAAAACCTAATACTTGATGAAGTCATTAGAAAACTTTTAAGTCTGTGTGGAACAACTTGCATATGTGAATCTACTTTTTCAATGGGATATTTTATGAAATCTACATATGGATCAAGTTTTTCTGATGCAAATTTAGCATATGAGTAGAGATTTTAAATACACAACAGGATCTCACAGTGTTAATGAAAAATAAACAAATTTAAAATATCTCAATAGTTTTGTATTTTAATTACATGTTGAAATGATAGTTTGTGCCTCAGAAGAAGGAGAAAAAAAAAAAAAAAAAACTGGCTGGGTGCAGTGGCTCATGCCTGTACTCCCAGCACTTTGGGAGGCCAAGGCAGGAGGATTATTTGAGCCCAGGAATTCAAGATGAGCCTGGGCAATATGGCAAGACTCTGTGTCTATTTAAAAACAAAATTGTTAAAAAGGAAATGATACTTTGGATATTTTGTGTTAAATTATATTATTAAAATTAATTTCAACTTTTTAAAAAACTTTTTTGTGGTGTGGCTACTAGAAAATGTAAAATGACATAAGTAACTCGTGTTATATTACTAAGGGACAGTGCTCTCGTGGAGACACTAGCCTCTCATCCTTAGGAATGACCTGGTTTGTTCCTTGGCCCGCAATTTCCCTCTTAGCACCTATAGCAAATTTTGTCTAAACCAGGACTCCACAATATCTCTGCCTGATCTCTAATTGTTTCATAAAATCACCCTTCTCTCCTTCCTTGTTGAAAGTGGAAGGAGGGAAGAGACGTCATCCTCAACAGAGTAGGGTCACACTAAGGAGGTAATTGGAATGATTCTTGAGCTGGGGATCTGAAAACTGGGACTTTGCACCAATTTCATGGCAGTCATGAGACATGCCAGTTAGCACACACGACAGTTAACACATGAGAAAGCTGCTTTACCCCTCTAGATTTCAGATTCTCCATCTACCAAGTGAAAGTAAGATTTCTTGCCCTCTTCTTAGGGCTATTTTAAACATAAGAATTAATATCTGTGGAGAGCTTGAAAAAATGAAAGTGCTATTCTAATGTGAAATAATTTGCATTCACAAAGTGGAGGGATTCTGCTCTTTCCCACCCTCCTTCTCTCCTTCTATCCATTTAGCAAATGCTAAACTTCCTGTGGGCCAGGGCTGCACTTGGCTTCCCTGTGCATCACAGAGCATCTTCCTTACCTGGCCCCATCCTATCCTCTTCCTGCTAGGAGAATCCTGGTTGTCTAAATGGCTCACTCCTCACCTTCTGTAATCACCTCCCATTCGCAAACACAGCTTTGGGGCCAACAGTGGTTTATCCGATTTCATCTTCATCATGAACCCTCCATGAATCTCTGAGGAAGAAATCAGCTCACACGCTGTGTTTCAGGCCCACCATTACTCTCTGCATGATGAAATGTACACAGAGACTCTCAAAATTGGTGTTAAAAGCACATAAACCTCTCGGGTTGTTGAGATTCTTGCCCAAGTAGGGAGAATGTGTAATATCACTAAAAGCAGGTATGATGGATAAAAATGAATGATGGCCCCTTCTAAACGTAAACGGAGCTGCTCATCCTTCAGGGCTGTTTATAAATAGAGGGGAGTCCATTTGTTTGGGATCCCGAGGACAGGCCGGCACTCCATTTAGATAACGACCACATTTCGTGCCCAGCCGCCACTCTCTGGCTTGTAAGGTGGCGATTAATCAAACAGTGTTTTGGTTTCTCCCGATATACATCTAGTCCTTCTGGTTGAGAGTGAGCTGAAGATGGCTTCCACAGTTTACAGAACAGCTGGGGCCTGCACATTAGAAAGTGGCCAGGACGAGGGCCTATCAGGCTGGACATTCCAGTTGGAATTTTTGGTTGGGAGCAGCTGCATGGATGGGAATTCCAGAAGTTTAATCTAGTGTCAGCCTGGCCTTCTGGGACATCACTGACTTGTGCTCAGTCCGAGTGAGGGAATATCCCTTCTCATTAAGATGGAGACCTTGAGGTGAAGGAATACCAGAACTGGAATAATTGGAAGACATACCATTTTTCTGATAATGTCATTTGTCAGACATAGATCAAGGATAACAGAGTCTCTCCCCTGGCCTCCCTGCCTCCATCAGCAGGAGTAAAGAGGGGGTCCCAGTGTTCTGGGTGCTCATGCAACACACTCCCACCCCAACATGCCCAGGCTTATGACCACAGTCTGCCTTGCAGACCATCAAAGCTTATTTCATCAAGCCCCTTACTCTGCTTATGTCCATCACACCAAGAAGCCCAGGGCTCCCAGATCATCCTTTACCCCTTAACTCTCACCTCCAGACAACTCCATGAGGACCCTAGTCTTCATCTCGTGATCCATGGTCCATCTCATGGTCCATCAGAGGTAGAATACTTCCATCCACCGCCTCCCCTGAATGCTCCCTCTGCCTTCTTGCTGTAACCGGATGCCGGCTTTCCAGCAAGGACACTGCTTCCTCTATAGCCCTTCCAAGTGGAGGATGTTTCCTCTCCTCCATCCCTCATGCCACTAAGTCTGAGGCTGGGGTAGGGTCTTCTCTGATACCTCAGTGCTGCTTGGGGACCATAGTCCATCCACCCTCTGCAAAAAGCCTGCTTTGAAGCAAATGCCATCAGCCTACAATCCTGCAATAGCTTCCCTTACAGTTATCTACTGAACCCTGGCTCACTGCACTGCTTTCCACGCTCTTCTGTTATATTTCTTGGTGGCTTCAGTAGTCATGATGACACTGCTTCCAACATTTGGACTTTTCTGTTTCTTGACCCATCTCTCCTCCAATGACCTTGTCCTCCCAGCTATCACAGACACTCATACCTTATAACCATCCATGACCAATGACTGCAACACTCTCACAATGTTAATTTCATCTTCCCACTCTAAAATCACCCCTGCTGTCTTATAGCTCAACCCTCTAGTACCTGGCCCAAACAGTTCTTTGACTCAAGTTGTCATGAACAGTTGTGCATTTTGTGTATTGCACAAAAGTCCTTGGCCAAGGGACAAGTAGGCCCTGAAACCCACCTCAAGTTCTAGGAATGACACTGTGTTCTCTGCCTGGCTCATGGCTTCATCCACCCAAAGGAAGAGGCAGCTTTTTCTTTGCATAACTGCAGGACTGCGTCACCTAGAGGGGAAGCATTTATCTATTTCACTCAAGACACTCTGTGGACTAGTGCCAGCTCTGACTTGGCCCCACTGGGACCTATGATTCATTGCTTTCATTACCATTCCAATCTCCTCATCCCCCTCATGCCCTTTCCTCCTTTTCCAGCTGACATTTAGTGTTCCATGATTAGAATCTCTCCTTTGCATACACTTTCAAACTCCCTGGCTCCTTCCTCCCTTCTTTGGCAAAATTGTTGTTCCTTTTAAAATGTAACATTCTGTCTACTTCATGCCTGCACCCATGCAGTGGAATACAGCTGGAGGAAAACAGACACATTTTACATTCCCATTCACGGCGGCTAACTTTAAGTGGACCCTTACTTCTGCCTGGTAAGCCTCGTCTAGCTACTCTTTTGCTCTCTCAGACACCAATCTGTTGGGATACCCAGTAAGAGCCCACTTCTTATTTATCCGAGAGAATACAAGCAGTCAGAAGAGAACTTCCACATTCTCCCAGCACCATCGTCACCCATGTATCTGCACCTGTACCTCACACGCTGCCTTCCCCCCATTACCGTAGATGAACTGTCCCTGCTCTTATCCAAAACCAACCCCTCCACTTATATATTAGATATCATCCCTTTTTCGTATGCAAGGCCTTTGCTCCACTAATAATCTCTCCTCTCTCCTGCATCATCATCACTTTTTCCTCTCTCTACTGGATCGTTTAGATCAACATATCAACAAGTTGTAATACCTCTTCTATTTTGAAAAATTCTTTCTTGACTCTGTGACCCCTCCAGCTACTACACCACTTATCTGCTCCATTTTATAGCAAATCTCCTCTCAAGAATGGGTTATCCCTGCTGCCTCTTCTCCCATCCCCTCCTGAACTCACTCCAGCCAGGCTATTGTCCTCATCACTCCACCAAAACTTTTCTTGTCCAAGGTTATCAATGAATCTCATGTTGCTAAATCCATTGGTCAATTTTCAGTCCTCATCTTACTTGACCCAGCAGCTTTTGACACAGCTGATCACTCCATCCTTCTTTACTTGGCTTCTAGGACTCCACTTGGTTTCCTTTTACTATGTTGGTCACGCCCTCGCAGACCCTGTGCTGGTTTTTCTATGTCTCCTCAAGCTCTGAGCTGTGACACAACCCTGGAAAGTTCTTGGACCTCTTCTCTATCCACACTCATCCCCTCTCATGGCTTTAATTATCATCTGTATAATGATGACTCCCAGAACTCTAGACTCACATATCCAACTGCAAACACAGTGTCTCCACTTGGATATGAACGGGACTCAAACCTAGTGTGTCCAAAGAAGAGCTCCTGATTCCACCATCCTTGCCAAGCTGCACATCCTCCACCCTTCCCTAACTCAGTCAATGGCAACTCCATCCTTCCAGCATCTAGGCCAAAAGCCCTGGAGTCATCCTTGATCTCTCAATCTCTCTCTGTCTCTTTCTTCACTTATGAATTACCAGCAAAGTCTGTCAGTTCTGCCTTTAAAATTGATCCAGAATCCAACCACTTTATACCATCTCCATTACTACCACCAACATCCAAGTTACCACTATCTCTCATCTTTGTTTCCTGTAGTAGCCTTGACTGGGGACTTCAGCTGGGGCTGTGATCAGAACACTAACATGTAGCCTCTTCACAGTGGCCTGAGCTTTCTCACAACACTGTGGCTGGTCTATGGGCAAGTTTTTTGTTTTTGTTTTTTCTCTCCAAGTCTGGAGTGGAGTGGCATGATCATAGCTCACTGCAACCTCAAACTCCTGTGCTCAAGCGACCCTCCTGGCTCAGCTTCATGAGTAGCTGGGGACTACAGGTGCCTTTTCTGACCTAGAACTACTAAGTGACAGATACTACATTAAGCACTGAGGACATAAAGATGAGTAAAAAATAGTTCTTGGGTTCAAGGAGTTTATAGACTTGAAGGGGAGATGGACAAGGGAACTCCATGTGTTAGAACTTAACATTCTAAATGCTGTTACACAATTAAGCAGACGGTGCCTTGGGAAATGAGGTGAAGGGGGATAAATCAGCGGAGATTTGAATTGGAATTACACTCTGGAGGAGGAGGAAGGGGCTTCTGCATGATGAAAGCTGCACTTATGCTAGGCAAAGAGGTTAAAGAGGAAGCTATGAGGTTAACAATGGACACACCATGGGATGAATCAGAACAAATTCAAATCCTCCCTCTTACACTTCCTATTTAAACATGGGGAAATTATGTAATCTCTCTGATCCTGTGTTCTCATTTATAGATTGAGAATTACTCTTCAGACTTGAGAAAATTATCACAGTGTCTAACACTTCATAGGCATCCAATAAATGATGATTTTATAAAAATTAGTTGATTCAAATTGTCTGACATAGGTTTTTTTTGCAGTTTTTTTCTTTCATGAGCCCTATTCCAATAGGTCCAAACAATCTTCAGAGTTTTCATTTAAGAAATGAAAGAAGAAATTTTGGGGGCAGAGAAACAGAAAGATTACTTTTCTCCAGCTTCATTACTTTTCTTCATCCTCATCATCAGAGCTGCACAGCCTGATTTGCAATATCTTCTTGCCCTTATTTCCAATGCAAAAATTCCTTGCAGCAGGCCTTGTATTTGATTCTGGGGGCTAATCTGGGAATGTTTTCCCGGGATATGGACTGGCAGATGCGGCAATTTCCGGGTCATGTTACCTTCTGTGTTAGCCGGGGCAGATAGGGAGAGGAGAGGAAAAAAAGTGGAAATAAAAGGTTTCTTTTAAATTCAATTTTGAAAGTCTACGCTGTCGAGAATAAAGTACATAACATCTGGTCCCTGCCTTAAGATTCTTACATTAAAGCGGGAGACTGAAACCTAATAATCTTGTGTCCGGAGGTGGTTCCTTCCGGTGGGTTCGTGGTCTGGCTGACTTCAAGAATGCAGCCACGGACCTTTGCGGTGACTGTTACAGCTCTTAAAGATGGCACGGACCCAAAGAGTGAGCAGCAGCAAGATTTATTGTGAAGAGCGAAAGAACACAGCTTCCACAACCTGGCAGGAGACCCGAGCGGGTTACCCCTGAAGGCTGGGGTGGCCCAGCGTTTATTCCCGTATTTGTCCCCGCCCATTTCCTGCCAATTGGTCCATTTTACAGAGCGCTGATTGGTCCATTTCACAGAGTGCTGATTGGTCATTTTATAATCCTCTAGCTAGCTACAGAGCACCATTTGGTGCATTTTTACAGAGCGCTGATTGGTGCATTTTACAAACCTCTAGGCAGCTACAGAGCACAGATTGGTGCATTTCTACAGAGCACTGATTGACGCATTTTACAATCCCTTTGTAAGACAGAAAAGTTCTCTAAGACCCCACTGGACCCAGGAAGTCCAGCTGGCTTCACTTCTCAATCTTAGTTAGAATCATAGGATATAATCAAGTGCTTCAAATGTCAGAATGGAAGATAGAGACACAGAGGCAGGGTGAAGGTGGGAGGCCCCTATCCCCGCTGCAGTGGCAGAGGAGCCCCTAGCCTGTTTTACCAAGTCTGGCACTGCTGGGGCAGATGGTGCCTCTATACAATCACCTACTTTTTTCTCAGCTGTTCATTCCAAGACTGCAACTTTCTAGAAAGGAAGACTCAGCTGGACCCTAAAGCCATTAGGCCAGATCCACCAGAAGGCCTGCCCCACATGCTCTGAGGATTAGCACTGGTCTTATTTAACAATCTAATTAATGTTTTGATAATTTAACAATTTTGTGTGCTTTCTGGAGGGCTTTCGAGAGGAGCGACCTTGGCAGACAAAGCCACATTTTCTTTCGTTCTTAGACAGATGCCTTTTCTGATCCTATTAATGAGAAACACCCTTCCTGTCTGTGCTTGGCCAAGTGAGTAAGAAGAGGCTTTCCTGCAGTTGGGAGGGGGTGGAGGATCCCCAGCAGCTGAGCCAGTGAGGGGTGGGGAGGTGGGGGTGAGCACAGGAGAGCAGCAGCCGTGTCCTTAGCCCCATCACACCAGGGCCATGCAGGTTTCCAGCTGCAGCTCCACCAGGCAGTATGGTGCTGCAAAAGGTGCTTCAGGCGCTGCATGCAGACACCAATTTCCTGAGTTGCCTTGGACTAGGCTCTTCCTTTCCCTGACACTCAATTTCTTCCTATTTCAAATGGTCATGGCAGTCCTTATGTTACCTGCCTTCATGACTGATGAGTCAACCCATTCCTCGGCAGCATACAAGGGATTCCTAAATCACTGGGGAAAGGGAAGGAAGTTAAAATTAGACCTAATTTGAAGATCCCATGTAACCTAAGGACAAGTAATGTAAGAAGCTGCAAAAGCCCCTTTGCATGATGAGGTTAGCTTTCCAGGGAAAGACACAACTACCTTTCTCCTTCCAAATCCAGACCCAGTAGAGTGGCGGTCAGAAGTGCAGGCTCCTAGACTGGGTAAATGGAGTTTGAAGTTTTGCTCCATCACTGCCTGGCTGTGTGCCCCTGGGTGCCAATTAGTTGGCCTCCCTGAGCCTCTTGATCTATAAATGGTTACAATAATAGCAATATCTTCATTCTTTGTAAAGTTACCAAGAGAATTAAATGAGATAAAAAGCAGGCAGTTCCCCTTGGCGTAGTTCAAATAAGTGTGCATTTCAGTTATCATGGTTTAGCTCAATAACCCTGGTCCTCAACAACATACTTTAAATTTCAGTAACCATGTGCATTACCTGTGAGTAAACACATAAGAGTACAAACTTCTCTGCTAGCTCTCCAATCCACAAATCTCTGTGTAGACAACACAGGCATATCATTATCAGTGACCACTTATATCACCTACGGTGCATCTGCTATTCAGTAAATGCACAGACAGCAAAGCATATAGCTGTGTTGCCTCTTGGGTCCCAATAATGAACTCACATGATATTTTGCAGAAAAGGATACTCAAAAGAGAGAATTGGCCAAGAAAGAGGAAAGTGCAGCAAAGAAAAAAAAGTGATAATAATGGAAGTAAAATTTTAATCCAACATCGAAGGAGTTTATAGAATAAATGACCATGGGAATATTGACTTTGCCATTATTTGAAAGACTGTATGCAGCTGAAGAAATTCAGTGAAGGTGAATTTAGTGACATAAATGAGAGTGGTTGTGATGAAAAGGATAATGATGTCTTAGTCCATTTTGTGTTGCTATAATGGAATACCTGAAGCTGGGTAATTTATAAAGAGGTTTGTTTGGCTCATGGTTCTGCAGGCTATACAAGAAGCATGGCTCCAGCATCTGCTTCTGGTAAGGGCCTCTGGCTGCTTCCATTCATGGTGGAAGATGAAGGGAGCCAGATGTGTATGAAGATCAGTTGGCAAGAGAGAGGAAGCAAGAGAGAGAGAGAGAGGGGAAGTGCCAGGCTCTTTTTAACAACCAGCTCTCCTGGGAACTAATGGAGGAAGAACTCACTCATTACCTTGAGGACAGCACCAAGCCATTCATTAGGGACCCACCCCCATGACCCAAACACTTCCCATTAGGCCCCACCTCCCACGTTGGGGATCAAATTTCAACATGAGATGTGGTGGGGTCAAACAAACCAAACTATATCCATGTCCCAGAGGAAGTGAGACCAGCAAAAATCTTCCCATGAAAGGAAACCTCAGAGATTCTTTTCAATATTGAAAGCACAAATAAGAAAATGTTGGAAGCTGATCCAAACTTAGAGAACATAGAACAGTTTGCAAGGCATATAAAAGGGGCTTACTCTGTATCATAAGTTCTACAATGAGAAGCCAGCAAGCACTGTTTACACTTACTAGGTTTTTTTTTTTAAACAAAGAAACAAAACATTTTAATTTTCACGCTTTTAATGTTTTAAATTATAGTGTATTGAGTAAATATTGGTTTTACTATAGTTTTCAATTCACTATACTTTTATAACTGAGGGTAAGAGTGTTTTTAATGTTTGACAAAATTTTTAAAGGTCACAGAACAATTATAATTCTCCCCCATGATTGTTAAGTTTGCCTTGCAGGGTTTCAGCTTATACTTCATTTTTACAGTCCCCTACTTCCGTGCTGTCTGCATCTAAAGTTAGATACTGCTAAACGGTTGCTGCCTTCATGATTATATTGGCTCAGGAAGTCCAGAGAGAGAGCAAGAGAGAGGAAGTGACTGAGAACTGGGAGGTGCCAGGCTTTTCTTAACAACCAGCTCTCACGGGAACTAATTGAGCAAGAAGCACCAAGCCATTCATGAGGGATCTGTTGACTCTTCCATTGCTCTTTCTCCTCAACCATCAGATGAGAACCTGGCTGAAGAAAGTCTGAGACAATAAGAAGTTGTAAACATTGAGAGAAGGGAAGGTCCTGAGCTGGCTGGCCTTACCCAAAGAACATTCTAAACATTCTACCTGGAGCAAATAAATCTGCAAACCACAGGCAACGTGGCTGGTGGAAATTTGCAAATGCTTTCCTAGCATCTTCAAATGCTTGGCATTTGGTGGGATCTTTCAAATCCCACATTGAACTTCACTGACAATAGAAGAGACAGAAAGTTTCTGGGCAGGTTCAAGATCCTAAAACGAACCCCACCCTCACCTTACTCTCAAAAGAAGACGTCTGCAGAGGGTGGTCAAAGGCTTAAAGCACAGACTGGTTCTGAATTTCCAACTGTCTCTCATTTCTCAGGTGAACCAGTCAATCTAAAGCATTTATTTTATGCACAATCTGGGCAAAATGGAGGTGTGTGAGTTAGGGGGAAGCTTCCTAGCTGAATGGTTTATTGTGTTCTGGTTTACTATGTATTATGTTTATTGTGTAGCTTGCAGTATAATTTGAAGTCAGATGATGTGACAGTGGGGCTGCAAATAGCTTAGCAGGCAAGCTCTGCGTCAAACTGCTACCTTGAATCTGAGGGACCCTGGTTACTATCCAGAGTTACTGTCCTCCTCATACCTCAGTTGCCTCATTTGTAAAATAAAGATAATAATATCTACTTACACAGTTGTGAGGGTCCACAAGTCATAAGCTATATAAAGCCCTTTGCAAGTCTCTGGCATATAGTGACTGCTCTATAAATGATTGTTATTAGAAAACAATTAGTGGGGGGAGGAGGGGAAGTATTCACATTCATGCAGAAAGTTCCAGAGAATCAGATTTTCACCACCCTCTAAATAAATGAATTCAATCATAAATTGTGCGGTACAGAGAATTTGTGTTGGTTGCCAGTATAAAGAATTGAACATCAAAGCCATTATTGGTCAGCAGACCTCTATGCCCAGTGGACACTTTACAGGACCACCTATCTGTGGGCTCCCACTTCCTCCTCACCAGAATTAATTGTTCTCATCTTAATGAGACACCAGTGAGTTAATTATTTGTAATAACAAGGAGCTTCCCTTCATCTCTCTTCGCCAACAGGGGGTACATTGGTGGCTATTTTATTTATAGGGATGGGGGCATTCAGATCCTCTCCCAACCCTCCTCACCCTTCCTTCTTTTTTTTTTTTTAATCAGGAAAGTGCTTTTGTGAGAGGGCTGGCTAGGGTTAACGGATGATCTGTTGGGGGAGATGGAGAGCATGACCTTGTCTGTGAAGTTCTGACTGCTCCAGCCCACACAGAGCCCTTCCTTCCCTGGTTTCTTGACCACCTACCACTAGCCCTTGCTGGCACTCAGCATGTAACACGACTCTGTCTACCAACCCTTGTCCACATAGGCAGATGTTCCCTTCCGTGAGGGTACAGCACCATCCTTTCCTGTCTTACTGCTCACACAGTGGGTTCCCCATAGCTGTAAGCAGAAAGAACCTGCTGGATGATTGAGAGGAGGGACCTCTTAGGGAGGTGGGATTGAAGCTCTGGGGCTGGGAATAGCCCAGAGGTGAGGGTGCAGCTTGCATACCCAGAGCCTGCACCTAACTCATCTTTATCCCTGTAACTGGCAGTCTGGACAGAATTTGCCACTTCCCATAGGGTCTGCCTGGAGATGTGTCTTGGGTGACTTCATGGTTCTATGAAAATGAGAGTTGGAAATGGCGGGGGGGTGTGCTTTTTTGAGACAATGGGAGGAAAGAGCCTAACCTCTTTTTTTTTTGAAGTTTTATTTTAAGTTCAGGAGTACATGTGCAGGATATGCAGGTTTGTTACATAGGCAAACATGTGTCATGGGAGTTTGTTATACAGATTATTTCATCACCCAGGTATTAAGCCTAGTACCCCTTCACTATTTTTTCCTGATCCTCTCCCTCCTCCCACCTTCCTCCCTCTGATAGGCCCCAGTGTGTGTTGTTTCCCTCTACATGTCCATGTGTTCTCATCATTTAGCTCCCACTTATAAGTGAGAACATGTGGTGTTTGGTTTTCTGTTCCTGCATTGGTTTGCTGAGAATAATGGCCTCCAGCTCCATCCATGTTCTTGCAAAGCACATGATCTCATTCCTTTCAATGGCTGCATAGAATTCCATAGTGTATATGTATCACATTTTCTTTGTCCAGTCTATCATTGATGGACATTTAGGTTGATTCCATGTCTTGCTATTGTGAATAGTCCTGTAATGAACATACACATGCATGTGTCTTTACAATAAAATGATTTATATTCCCTTGGGTATATACCCAATAATGGGATTGCTGGGTCGAATGGTATTTCTGTCTTTAGGTCTTTGAGGAGTCGCCACACTGTCTTCCACAATAGTTGAACTAATTTACATTCCCACCAACAATGTATAAGCATTCCTTTTTCTCCACAACCTTGCCAGTATCCGTTAGTTATTGACTTTTTAAATAGTAGCCATTCTAAGTGGTATGATATGGTATCTCATTGTGGTTTTGATTTCCATTTCTCTAATGATCAGTGATGTTGAGCTTTCTTTCATATGATTGTTGGTCACATGTATGTCTTCTGTTGAGAAGTGTCTGTTTGTGTTTTTTGCCCACTTTTGAATGGGGTTGTTTGTTTTTTCTTGTAAATTTCTTTAAGTTACTTATAGAGGCTGGATATTAGACCTTTGTCAGATGCATCGTTTGCAAAAATTTTCTCCCATTCTGTAGATTGTCTGTTTACTCTGATGATAGTTTCTTTTGCTGTGCAGATGCTCTTTACTTTAATTAGATCCCATTTGTCAGTTTTTGCTTTTGTTGCAATTGCTTTACATGTCTTTGTCATGAAATCTTTGCCCATGCCTATGTCCTAAATGGTATTGCCTAGGTTGTCTTCCGGGGTTTTAATAATTTTGCATTTTACATTTAAGTCTTTAATCCATCTTGTGTTAACTGGCATAAGGAAGGGATCCATTCCCAATTTTCTGCATATGAGCCCAACCTCTTTAAGGACTAACCACACAGCAAATCAGGCCAGCTGCATAATCTGTGGCACCTGGTGCAAAATGAAACTGTGAAGCTCCTTGACCAAAAATTGTTCAGAATTTTAAGATGATGACTGTAGAGCATTAAGCCAAGTGCAGGCCCATCTGAGGGCGGGGCCTTGTACTGCCCAGGCTTCATGTCCATGAAGCTGGCCCTGCAACAAATCCAGGAGCTCCTCCTAGCTTGGGCATGGCACATCAACTCACCACTCATACATCTGAACTCCTCAGTGCACCTGGGACTCAGGGACAGAGGAGGAAGGGAGGCATCAGGCTAACAGCAGCGTGGGAAGAAGGCTTGCTGGCAGGACCTGTGTCTGTGCCCTCAGGGGAAGCCCACCACCCCCGGCTGGAAATGTTCAACACAGTCTGTGTTTATCCCACCCCATTGTCGTGATGCGTGACTAAGACCTGCCTGCAACTCTACACTGGGTGTGCGCAGGAGGAATCAACCTCGCCATGACAATATTTACTTCACTGTTGCCCCGGGGAACTCTACATTCTGAGAATGGCAGGGCTTTTTTTTTTTTCTCAATCTTTACCCTCAGGGGCAGCTTCTTTGCCCCCTGAGAGTGTTCTGGTTTGAAACAAGAATGGGGTGCACCCCAATGGGAGAACGAACACCCAGGGAAACCCAAGACCTTCAAACTTTTACTGTGTCCAAGAACGGGGAGGGGAAGAGGATACTTATGCTCAGTTCCATTTGCCCAACAGCATTGAGCTCGTGAGTGTTTTGTGTGTCTCCTCTGAGCTCTTTGAGATGAGAGCAGGGTCCACACCTTGCCTTTCATCTCTGCCCCTCAGCCTCTGGGCCATATGAAGGTGCTCAGTTTACAGAACAGAAGAGGAAGGGAGGAACGGAGGCCAAGAGGTCACTCTCTTATGCTAAGTACTTTGGGCCTTACGAGCTGGGCTAGAGGGTGGTGAGTGACCAGGGCCTGGGAAAATCTGCTCTTCCTGAGACCCATTCATCCTTAGCTCCTCAAGGCAGACCCTGCTGGCTGGAATTCAGGTGTCGACTTTTGCCAAATACTTTAAGAGGAATAAACATTTAACAGCTTTGTGAAGTTCCCCACAGAGGCACCAAGGTTTTCCTAAGGATTTAGTCTGTCGTGAGTGCATAACACCTAAGAAAACTCTGCTTTTGAGGGTGATGTCCCAGAAAAGCCAGATAAGACAGGGAGATGAGCCTCCTGTTTGCGGGTGCCTGGAAACATAATGTCCTTTTGCTGTATGTAGATACTTCTATTCCCTTCTCATTCTATTCCCTTCCATTCCCTTTGTGGCAATACATTTCCTGAAGTGATTTCTGTGTGTCAAACCCATCAACCTACATTACTGGAATTATTGTACAGGTGTTACTTTGATAACATAAACTGATATATCTAACTTACATAAAGGAGGCATAACAAAGAAAGTAATTTGTTATAAATTGAAATACTACTTTATTCTATGTAATACATATGTGATACATTGTTATACATGTCATGTGTTAAATGTCAATGTTGTATATCTTATATATTAATATTTCACATATATACCACATATATTTCACATGTGTACCATATATGTGAAATATATTAATAGATATGATAGTATTTCATTGATTTAAGTTACTTAGAGATAACTTAGATTTCCTTTTTCCAGAGTTTCAAATACCTTCTGTCCTGATCAGTGCCTTGATGTCACAGGCACCCACTGAAGAAGAGAGGTTTCGTTTTTCAGCTGGTGGCTTTATCAGATCACTAACCATTCTATCCCATTTTAATGTGACACAATTACATAACAGCATATGTCAACAAATTATCATTTGCTCTTTATCTTTGCTAATAGCTTACCAGTACTCATTTCATCTGTAAGGAAGATTAGCTGCAAAGTACTTCATGTCTTTACGGACGGGGCAGGTAATGGAACACATATGCACAGCAGCCAGTGTCTCAGGGGTGACCACGACAATCGCAGCCGTCTCCATGGTTTTAGCCAATTTACGGAACTGAGTAGTAAACAGAACTTGCTACAGGACCAACTTGATACTCTACTACTTTCTTTTTTTTTTTTTTTTTTTTTGAGACAGGGTCTAACTCTGTCACCCAGGCTGGAGTGCAGTGGCACAATCTTGGTTCACTGCAACCTCCGCCTCCCAGGTTCAAGTAATCCTCCCACCTCAGCCTCCTGAGTAGCTGGGACTACAGACGCCACCACCATGCCCGGCTAATTTTTGTATTTTTAGTAAAGATAGGGTTTTGCCATGTTGGCCAGGCTGTTCTCGAACTCCTGACCTCAAGTGATCCTCCCACCTCGGCCTCCCAGAATGCTGGGATTACAGGCATGAGCCACTGTGCACCACGCCCGGCCAATTCTCTACTACTTTCTTCATGACTTAAAGTTTTCAGGCTTGGAGGGGTTGGGGGATTTTCTTCAAACAAGGCACTCAGTATCCATAATTGCCAACCTATACCCCACCTCCACCCACCCCACTACTTCTGAACTTTGTTTTCTCCACTGTTAACACTCATCTCAAATTAGAGATATCCTCTACATACAGAAAAAGGAGCAGACTTTTGGTGGCCTCTCCAGTATCACCCCCTCCATTGCTTCTTGGTGAATAGTGCCTACCTCCCATCATGAAGGTTCCATGCAGCAGTCTGGGCTTGGACATGTGACCCAGTCCTGGTCAATGGGACCTGGGGGGAAGTAGTCTTGGGGCTTCTGGGAAAGATTTCCCTCTTTGAAAGAACAGCAAGGGGAAACGGCAATTCCTGCACTTGGGTGTGGAGCATGGTGACTAAGAAAATGCACACACTGAGGATGATGGAGCAGGGAAATGGCAAGAGCCTGGGTCTTTAATGTTGTACCAAGTCTCTGCAGTGCCCACTCCTGCTCTTGCCCTGCCCCTCCGCTTCTTGTCACGTGAGCTCCTAAATGCCCATGTTGTTCAAGATGCTTTTGGCTTTGCTTTTTGTTTTTTTTGTTTGTTTGGCTGTGTTTGAGATGGAGTCTCAGTCTGTCATGCAGGTTGGAGTGCAGTGGCGTAATCTTGGCTCACTGCAACCTCCGCCTCCTAGGTTCAAGTGATTCTTGTGCCTCAGCCTCCTGAGTAGCTGGGATTACAGGCACGTGCCACCATGCCCGGCTAATTTTTGTATTTTTAGTAGAGATGGGGTTTCGCCATGTTGCCCACGCTGGTCTCAAACTCCTGACCTCAGGTGATCCACCCGCCTCGGCCTCACAAAGTGCTGGGATTACAGGCGTAGCCACCGCACCTGGCCTTGCATTTTGTTTTGAGAGCATCCCTCCCAACGAAGAGCATCCATTAATTAACAACATACAGAGTAGATGAAGGACCTTGTATAGGGTACTAACAGGGGGGATTAAAAGGAAACCGAAAACATTTATCTCTTTCAATGAGATCATAATCTATTGAGATAAATAAAATATACTACAAGTGCAACATGAGAATGACTGCCCAGTGTCACATGTTCATGTGCAAAGTGCCACAGTGTAGGCTAAATAGCAATGGCAAAAATATTTGCAGTATTGACTTAGGTTATCTGTTTTCATCAGAATGTTTTCACACTATCAACACTATTAAGAGAGCACCAAAGAAAAATATAAAATGCACTCCCTTTTCTTGCGCGAATCTGCTTGAAAGTTGACATTGCTATCTTTTAAATCACCTACTCTGATATTGTTTCAGGAAGTGCTGGGACATAAAATAGTTCTCAGAAATAGAAATTCACCCATAAAGCCTGCTGAACACGTACACTGTTTCTGATGTCAAATTTGCAAGCACTTTCTCTATTTAAGAATTTATTGCCATCAGATTCATGATCTCCACCTGATATGTAGGGAGCACATCATAGGCACCTTCATGGTTTTTTAAACTTGATCTGTGGCTGAGTGGTTATTCAGTGTTAGCACAAATGCAAATTTGATGGTCAAAACTAATAATTTCATAGATTTCTGTTTTCTTGGAGGCCACTTCTATTAGGTGTTCGTGGAAATGGTGACAGAGTATAGGTTCAGGTTTGTGTTACACAGCAGCAATTATGGTGACAGCTTTGGCTCAAACTTTCAAAGTTTGGTGAAATAAGCCTCATTTGGCCTTACTATCTTCCCAGAAATACCATGAAATAGTACTATGACCTAAATTCCCCTAGAGGAGTTGCAAGGAGACTGGCTGCTGGAGGGCAGCTCTACACCAAAGAGCATCAGGACTTGACCGGACCCCTGTCTGGTGGAGGAGGAAGTGAGAATAACAGGAGGTGTTTTATAGATGCTGGTATTTACACTGTGGGCACACAGCCTAGAAGGGGACTCAACTGTAGAACACAAGACCTACATGAACTCCAGAACCTTCCACCGATCCCTTCTGCTGCCTCAATTTCAAGTCCCTCACCCCAGCTTTCTGTCTGCCCCACCTTTAATCCCATTTATCTCTCTCACTCATCCTCTGGAGGGGGCATGTTCATTCCTGCTTACCTGCCTGTGCTCATGGGATGCCCCCTGTCTGGAATGTCCTCCCTCATCCCATTTTCCTTCTTTTATTTATTTATTTATTTATTTATTTATTTATTTATTTTTTCAGACAGGATCTCACTATGTCGCCCAGGCTGGAGTGTAGTGATGCAAATACGGCTCACTGCAGCCTCAATCTCCTAGGCTCAAGCAATCCTCCCATCTCAGCCTTCTGAGTAGTCATGACTACAGGCATGCACCACCATACCCAGGTAATCTGTTGATTTTTTGTAGAGATGAGGTCTCACTGTGTTGCCCAGGCTGGCCTTGAACTCCTGACCTCAAGCAATCCTCCTGCCTCCCAAAGTGTTGGGATTACAGGGGTGAGCCACCATACCTGGCCCCATTTTCCTTTTGCATCTCTACTCTTTGCTTTTTCTTCACTGCCTAGTTGAAGCCCTGTCACTTACAGACTATCCTGGCTCTCATTGAACTCTCTCTTCTCATAATAATAGTAATTATCATGTATTGAGCATGAAGGATATGCCTGGCAATTTACACACACGATTGATTGATCATCCTTGCAGTGCCCTTTGCAGGTAAGTAATCTGAAGAAGTTAATGTCCTGAGAAGTTTTACCTGACTTGCAAGAAACCATGCAGGTCAAAAGTGGCTGAGCCCAGATTCCCAGCAGGTCTCTCTGGCTCCAGCTGTTCCCATTCCTCTATCCTGCCTCACTGCACAAGCTTCAGGGCTAATATGCAAACAGCTTTGCCTGCGTGGAGAGAGAAGAAATAGAAGTTTAGCCTCACAGAGTGCTAAATCCTCCTAAGTCATAGGCATACATTGTGCTGTAGTAGACAGCATGAGTGTGGGGGTGGGTTCTGGAAATGAAAGTCCATTATGATGGGATGGGGTTTTTCTACTCTCCATAGGCTGCTTCCATCCCTTCCCACCTTGGAACCTGGTACACACTGTCGAAAGGGCCCTTGGTAATGCAACTCAAGGAAGAGGACAATTAGAGCTCTTTAGCGAAATGATGCTCAGGTTGTCTTGCAGGTGTTCCACCTCTAGGAGCTAAAGGCCCCAACCCACTCAGAAAAGAATGAGATGGAAGTGAAAGGCTGACAACATTTATCAGAGCTAGGGAGAGGCTGTTGGACGCAAGGATTAGGAGACAAAGGATTAAAGTGAAGAGACTCCATAGACAGTAATGACTTGGTTCCTCAGGATAGACAGAGGGATAGCCCATGGGGCTACCCAAAGAGCCATGATCAAAGAAAGAATCTGCTGATATTCCACGCATTCTCAATAGAGGCTGAATAGGCAGGGGAGCTACTCCTGAATTCTCATTCTAGTACAGGCGGTGGGTGAAAGCTCTACTTGAAAAAGAAGAGTTGTTTGTTTGTTTGAACTGTTGTATATTTAGTTTAAGTGTCAGGAAAAATTGTCCTAGACTTGAAAATTGGCAAAAGAGATGACTGGGTGTCCTTCGAGTGGGCACTGCATGTAACTGAGTGGACCATCTAGGGATTCTCTGACCCAATAGGGGAATGCTCCTTTGATTGTCTGTCTGTTGACTCAAATTAACAGTTTTGTAGAGGTAGAAGTTAAATGGTAGAAAATTTTTAGATGCCAATGATTTGAATCTATAGGAGTCAAATAAAATTTTTCCAATAACAATTATTCCCTCCTTGATTGATAAAATGATCTCCAACATCATTACACTTTGTTGTGTTACAGGATAATAACTAGTTTTGCAAATATTTAGCATATTTGGCTCAGATTTCTGATTTCGTGCGTGTGTGTGTGTGTGTGTGTGTGTGTGTGTGTGTGGGTATAACAATACATATAGAGGACGCGCCGGCGCTGAGGGGTTGGTGCAGCTGCTGGAGCCGTGCAGAAAAGAGAAGCGCCAAAAGAGGCAAACTGAGATGAAGACAAACGATCATCTGTATGCTGATCATTTTGATAAGAACGAAACCTGTCAAAAAATACTACCCTGAAAACTTCATAAATACTATGGTGTGAAGAACCCTCTGTTTATCTTCAGTTTATCATCAGATGTCTTAGGGAGGTTTGATAAAGAACAGCAGGAAACCAAAGCGATCGTCATGGCAGACGGGAGGCAGGACTAGATTGCAGCTCCAACTCAGAGGGACAGAGCAGTATGCAGTGGCTTGCATCGTGAATTTTAGCTCCAGAACTACTGCAGGAATAGACCAGGAAACCCGAGAGGACCCACAGACCCTCTGAAGGAAGCAGACTGCTCCTGCAGGACCCAGGAGACACCCCAAAGACTGTGAGTGCCCAAACTGCGGAAGTGGGAAAGGGAGATCCTCTGCCCCTGAACACACACCCCGACTAGGGAAACTGAAGGTCTAGTTTGCAGAAGATTCTGACCTTACCTGGAGCTGAGTCAGTTTAGAGAGCCGAGTGAAATGCAGGGGCAGAGGAAGCAGCTGGAAAGGCCCTGGGAGCTCGCTGGGTACCCAAACAGGCCGTTCCTGCCCAGCATCACAGGGATCCTTTGGGAGGGCAGCCAGGGGCACGGAGAAAACGCCACAGGGAGAAGGAAATCTCCAGCTGAACTTTGTAACAATTTGAACCGAGGTCGAGAAGCCTCCTGGCCAGAACTTGGGGGAGGGCATGAATCCAGCTTACAGACTCTACAGGTGGGAGAAGAACTAAAGCCCTTCTCTTTTGCAGCTGGGAGGCAGGTAGCCTGGGACAAGTTCTCAGCACTGCTCGCCCACTGCCTGGAAACAGACTCTGTGCTGTTAGGGGTGGCACAGTGGGAGTGAGACCAACCCTTCAGATTGTGTGGGAGCTGGGTGAGGCCTGTGACTGCCGGTTTTCTCCCACTTCTGCGACAACCTGCATGACTAAGCAAAGGCAGCCATAATCCTCCTAGCCACAGCTCCACTGACCTGGGAACCTTACCCCCATCCCCCACAGCAGCCACAGCAAGACCCACCCAAGGAGAGTCTGAGCTCAGACACGCCTAGCCCTGCCCCCACCTGATGGTCCTTCCCTACCCACCCTGGTAGCTGAAGGCAAAGGGCATATCTTGGGAGTTCTAGGGCCCCGCCCACCGCCGGTTCCTCTCTATACTCTTCACAGCTGATGCTCTCTGCAATGTGCCACCTCCCGGCAGGAGGCCAACCAGCACAGAAATAGAGCATTAAACCACCAAGGCTAAGAACCCTCACAGAGTGCATTTCACCTCCCTGCCACCTACACCAGAACGGGTGCTGGTATCCTCGGCTGAGAAACCCATAGACAGTTCACATCACAGGACTCTGTGTGCAGACAATCCCCAGTACCAGCCCAGAGCCTGGTAGACTTGCTGGGTGGCTAGACCCAGAATAGAGATAACAGTCACTACAGCTCACATAGAATACACATTCTATTCAACACCACATGGAACTTTCTCCAAGATAGACGGTATGATAGGCCACAAAAGGAGCCTCAATAAATTTAAGAAAATTGAAATTATATCAAGCACTCTCTCTGACCACAGTGGAATAAAACTGGAAATCAACTCCAAAAGGAACCTTCAAAACCATGCAAATATATGGAAATTAAATAACCTGCGTCTAGATGATCATTGGATCAAAATTGAAATCAAGATGGAAATTAAAAAAAATTTCACACTGAATGACAGTAGTGATAAACCCTATCAAAACCTCTGGGATACGACACACGCAGTGCTAAGAGGAAAGTTCATAGCCCTAAACGCCTACATCAAAAAGACTGAAAAAGCACGAACTGACATTCTAAGGTCACATCTCAAGGAACTAGAGAAACAAGAACAAACCAAAACCAAACCCAGCAGAAGAAAGGAAATAACCAAGATCAGAGCAGAACTAAATGAAATTGTAACAATTTCATGAGTTGAAAAATTTGTCAAATGAAAAAAAATACAAAAGATAAATGAAAGAAAAAGCTGGTTCTTTGAAAAGATAAATAAAACTTATAGACCATAAGCAAGATTTCAAACAAGAAAAGAAAAAAAGAGAAAAGAAGAGAGAAAAATCCAAATAACATCAATAAGAAATGAAATGGGAGATGTTACAACTGACACCACAGAACTACAAAAGATCATTCAAGACTACTATGAACACCTTTACCTACATAAACTAGAAAACCTAGAAGAGATGGATAAATTCCTGGGAAAATACAACCCTCCTAGCTTAAATCAGGAAGAATTAGATATCCTGAACAGACCAATAACAAGCAGCGAGATTGAAATGGTAATTTAAAAATTACTAACAAAAAAAGTCCAGGACTAGATGTATTCACAGCAGAATTCTACCAGACATTCAAAGAAGAATTGGTACCAATCCTTTTGACACTATTCTACAAGATAGAGAAAGAGGGAACCCTCCCTAATTCATTCTATGAAGCCAGCATGACCCTAATACCAAAACCAGGAAAGGACATAACCAGAAAAGAAAACCACAGACTGATATCCCTGATGAACATAAATGCTAAAATCATTAACAAAATACCAGCTAACTGAATCCAACAACATATCAAAAAGATAATCCACCATGATCAAGTGGGTTTCATACCAGGGATGCAGGGATGGCTTAACATACGCAAGTCAATAAATGTGATACACTACATAAACAGAATTAAAAACAAAAATCACATGATCATCTCAATAGATGCAGAAAAAGCATTTGACAAACTCCAGCATCGCTTTATGATTAAAACTGTCAGCAAAATTGGCATATGAGGGACATAAGGCAATGTAATAAAAGCCATCTATAACAAACCCACAGCTAACATGATACTGAATGGGGAAAAGTTGAAAGCATTCCCTATGAGAAGTGGAACAAGACAAGTATGCCCATTCTCACCACTCGTTTTCAACATAGTACTGGAAGTCCTAGCCAGAGCAATCAGACAAGAGAAAGAAATAAAGGGCATCCAAATCAGTAAAGAAAAAGTCAAACTGTCACTGTTTGCTGATAATATGATCATTTACCTTGAAAACCCTAAAGCGCTCTCCAGAAAGCTCCTAAAACTGATAAAATAATTCAGCAAAGTTTCCAGATACAAGATTAATGTACACACATCAGTAGCTCTTCTTACACCAACAGCAACCAAGCAGAGAATCAAATCAAGAATTCAACCCCTTTTACAATAGCTGCCAAAAAAAAAAATACTTAGGAATATACCTATCGAAGGATTTGAAAGACCTCTACAAGGAAAACTACAAAACACTGCTAAAAGAAATCATAGATGACACAAACAAATGGAAACACATACCATGTTCACAGATGGGTAGAATCAATATTGTGAAAATGACCACACTGCCAAAAGCAATCTACGAATTCAATCCAATTCCCATCAAAATACCACCATCATTCTTCACAGAATTAGAAAAAACAATTCTAAAATTCATGTGGAACAAAATAAGAGCCTGCATAGCCAAAACAAGACTTAGCAAAAAGAACAAATCTGGAGGCATCACACTACCTGATTTCAAACTGTACTATAAGGCCATAGTCACCAAAACAGCATGGTACTGCTATAAAAATAGGCACATAGACCAATGGAACAGAATAGAGAACCCAGAAATAAACCCAAATACTTACAGCCAACTGATCTTTGACAAAGCAAAAAAAAACATAAAGTGGGGAAAGGACACCCTTTTCAACAAATGGTGCTGGGATAATTGGTTAGCCACATGTAGCAGAATTAAACTGGATCCTCATCTCTCACCTTATACAAAAATCAACTCAAGATGGATTGAGGACTTAAATCTAAGACTAGAAACTATAAAAATTCTGAAAATAACATTGGAAAAACCCTTCTAGACCTTGGCTTAGGCAAAGATTTTATGACCAATAACTCAAAAGCAAATGCAACAAAAACAAAGATAAATAGCTGGGACTTAATTAAACTAAAGAGCTTTTGCATGGCAAAAGGAACAGTCACCAGAGTAAACAGACAACCCACAAAGTGAGAGAAAAATCTTCACAATCTATACATCTGACAAAGGACTAATATCCAGAGTCTACAACAAACTCAAACAAATCAGCAAGAAAAAAACAAACAATCTTATCAAAAAGTGGGCTAAGGACATGAATAGACAATTCTCAAAAGAAAATATACAGATGGGCAACAAACATATGAAAAAATGCTCAACATCACTAATGATCAGGGAAAGTGAAATAGAAATCAAAACCACAATGAGATACCACCTTACTCCTGCAAGAATGGCCATAATCAAAAAATCAAAAACACAGTAGATGTTGGCACGGATGCGGTGATCAGGTAATACTTCTACACTGCTGGTAGAAATGTAAACTAGTATAGCCACTATGGAAAACAGTGTGGAGATTCCTTAAAGAACTAAAAGTAGAACTACCGTTTCATCCAGCAATCCCACTACTTGGTATCTACCCAGAGGAAAAGAAGTCATTATACGAAAAAGATACTTGCACATGCAAATTTATAGCATCACAATTCACAATTGCAAAATCATGGAACCAATCCAAACATCCATCAATCAATGAATGGATAAAGAAACTGTGGTATATACATGTGATGGACTACTACTCAGCCATTAAAAGGAATGCATTACTGGCATTTGCAGTGACCTGGATGAGATTGGAGACTATTATTCTAAGTGAAGTAACTCAGGAATGCAAAACCAAACATTGTATGTTCTCACTGATATGTGGGAGCTAAGCGATGAGGACACAAAGACATAAGAATGATACAATGGACTTTGGGGACTTGGGGGGAATTATGGGAGGGGGCAACGGACAAAAGACTACAAATAGGGTTCAGTGTGTACTGCTTGGGTGATGGGTGCACCAAAATCTCACAAGTCACCACTAAAGAACTTACTCATGTAACCAAACATCACCTATACCCCAATAACCTATGGAAAAATAAAAAATACTTTAAAAAATACACACACACACACACACCTGTTCTTTACATCCTCCTTTGAATCAGTTTTCACATCTTAGTAGCTCTTTAATTTAATGTGTTAAACAAAATATTTAACACATGCTCATTTTGCTTCTGTATGAGGGTCAGTGTGTTTGGCTAGCTGAGGGCATCTAGTGAAGACTTCTGCTTCACTTTCTGCCCATGGTGATGGCATAATGCTGAGCTCACAAATGGCAGTGGATGCAGGGCCTCTTATTTTTCTCTTTCAGCTGTCATACTTCAATATCTATGGGAAACATCAAGAAATCTTTATACTTGGAGTACCTTCCCAATGCATTTTTAGCCCTTTTCTCCCTCTCAAACTAGCTGCGATAAAGAACCAGAATTTTTATCTCCAATCCACTGCAGAATAACATTTTTGTCAAATACAATAAAAGTGAATTACTAGAAAAATAACCATGTGCTGAGATGTTACAATGTCAAATTGTTATAGAAGTTGTTAAATGCTAACTCTGAATTTGTATACTTAGCTCATGGTTACAGACAGTTTTAGTGCTGACACCAGTCTGCAGTCCACATTTTGAGGAGTACTGCTTTATTAAAAGTGCAGAAAAGACTTTAATTCCCTGGACCAACTTGTCCTGTAAAATCCCACCAGACCAAAAAGGCCCAGGTCTATGCAGTTCTTTCCTGAGGTTGGGCAGCTTTCATTGAGTAGTACAGAGTATGGGAGAGGCAAGGGCTCAATCTCTGAATGTCTCAATCTCTTCCTTGTTCTGAATCAATGGCCCTTCCAGTCTTAGACTTTTGCAAGGAGGGTCCCCCATGAACATTCTCACTCTTCCAACTGTTCTCCTCCAAATCCAGTTTCTTGTCTTTTATTCATCTTATTCTCCATATTAAGTAGAAAACAAGTCTAGCTCCGGTAATAAAGACCAAAATAAGAATGGCTTAAATAAGGTAGGAGTGTTTCTCTCTTTAACAGTCTGAGCATGAACAGTTTGTGTCTACCAGACATCTTGGCAGTGTGTGAACCCTGACTCCTGTCTTGCAGCTCTGCAGTCCTCAGCACACAGCTCCCTTTTTGTGATCTAGGAGCCATTCCAGCTTCCCTGTCATCATGTCTACAGTCCAGTAGGAGGAAGGAGGATGAAGGGAGAAGAGGAGCCCATGCTCCTTTTTCTAGGGATGTGACCCAGAATTTGCACATATTACTTCTGTTCACATCCAACTGGCCAAAGTCTAGTCACATGGCAACACTGACAGACAAGGGAGCTGGAAAATGTTGCCTTTAATCCGGGCACCCACGTGCCCAACTAAAACTCTGGGATCTGTTATTAAAGCAAAAAAAGAGATGGATATTAGGAGGCAGCTAGCGATCTCTGCCACCATCTTCTTAAATTTCCAGAGTCAGGTGCTTCTGTTCTCCCTTTAGTAGCACCCCCTCCCAACAAAAAGAGGAGGTGCTGCCCCTTAGCACCTTGTTCCTTGCAGAACTTGGGTCAGATGCTCATGAGGCTTTCTTTTGCTTGTCACACACACTCTAAAGGGGTGGACTGTGCTCTGCTCTTATCAGGGTGAATGTGGAGTCTCCAATTCCAGTTCAATTTCCTTCCTAAAAAGAAAGACTGGCTATTTTACTTACCAGAAGAACTGAAGACATCTCACCAAGGCAATTCTTTAAAATGGAAAGGCAGCCCAGCGTACTCTCACATGGTGGGAGGACTATTTCTCACTTAGCATGCTTTGGCTCTGCCTGTTTGGGAACAATAGACCTTGTTATTCCTGTTAAGGAGAACTGGATTCTTCCTTGTTCTGCCTGAGCCTGCTCATATTACTCTCCTTTTGCCATCCAGGAAGGAGGACACCAACTCCTCTAAAATGGTTTGGATCTGTGTCTGCACCCAAATCTCATGCTCAACTGTAATCCCCAGTGTTGGAGCTGGGGCCTGGCAGGAGGTGATTGGATCATGGGGGCAGCTTCCTCACGATGGTTTAGCACCATCCTCTTGGTACTGTTCTCACGATAGTGAGTGAGTTCTCATGAGATCTGGTTATTTAAAAGTGTGCAGCACCTCCCTGCTCACTCTCTTTTGCTCCTGCTCCTACCCTGTGAAAGCTTCACTCTCCCTTCACCTTTTGCCCTGATTAGAAGCTTCCTGAGGCCTCCCCAGAGGTAGAAGCTGCTATACTTCCTATACAGCCTGCAGAACCGTGAGCCAATTAAACCTCTTTTCTTTATAAATTAACCCAGTCTCAGGTATTTCTTTATAGCAGTGCAAAAACAACAAATACAACCTCATTCCATTATTTTTTAATTTCAAGAATGAGTTGATCATTGTGATGATAATATACAACGATAATAATAACTAAACTTGATTGAGATTTACCAAGCACCAGGTGCTCCTTTCAGTGCTTTACTTGCTTTACTTTATTTAATCCTTACAAGAACCCTTTGACGTTAGCAGAATTACTGTTGTTTTTCCACTTATGAAAACAAACAAAAGTTAAAAAGGGTTAAGTAACCTGCTCAAGACCATACAGAGCTAAACTCCCTGGTTCAGATTTTTAAAAAATTTGTATTTTGTTTTATTTTTAAATGAATAGTTACTGGGAATTTTTCTAATGATCAATTTTCACTGCATAAAAAAGTATGAAAAAAAATCACCCACCCTATCATTTTCACAAAGCTAGCCACTCTTAAACATATTGCTGCCACTGTGTTCCAATTTGGGTACATTTTGTGACTGTTCCAATTTGGGTACATTTTGCTAGACTTCTGGGGCATGAAAAATATTCCCAGGAGGCCAAAGAGAATAAGATGAAGCATTTTCAAGCTCTCTTTTCTCTGTGAAAAAAATCTATCATGCATTATTTAATGCTCATTCTTCTCTCTGAGCTCTTTTTAACATTTATTGACTGTTAGCAAAAGATGCCTTCTTGCGTCAATCATCTTCTGAGTGCATTGGTGGCCTGTCCTCAGCAGTCAGTGGTGCATTCATGGTGGCCTTGCTTATTGTCCTCAGCGTCACCCTCATAACCGAGCAAGATATTCCAAGCACAGGGGCTGCTCAAGAGATTATTTATTTCTGTACACAATTGTAGAGGAAGAATTCCTGCATCTAGATATTGCAAAGAACTCTCTAGACTGACTTCTGGGTGCCCTCTATTCCCCATTTCATTCATTCAATCCTCACAATTCACTGTGAGGGTCCATTCACCCCTTTAAGAAGGAGGAAGCTGAAACTCAGATAAAGTGATTTGCCCAAGGACCCTCAGAGACCAAATGGCAAAACCAGGGCTGGCAGCGAGGTTTTCTGACCCCAAGCCTGGCCTTCTTGTCCTGATATGACAGCTGTTCACTCTCTGCCACAATTACCAGGCTGTGGGAAAACCCTGGCATTGTGGGGAGGGGGCAGAAGGAGCACATCCACGGCTTGTGTCTGCATTGCTTGGTCCACTAGCTCACCGTGCGAGGCCCGGATGGGGCTCCATGGCGCACTCCTAGCAGCCTTCGGCTCCTCGTTTTTCTAGGGAGATTCTTTCATTCCTTTATCCCTGCCCCCTCACCTCCCTACTGAATACAGAAACGACCCCAGGAATAAAATGCGAGGGCTCCAGCAACATAAAGCAAAGGTTAGAAATTGAACGCCACCCCTCCCGAAGCCAGGAAATTCCAGAGACGTGGTTCTCATGGCAGGGGGACTTCAAGTTACATATTTTGCAGTCTGGCTAACGGGTTGTACTTTTCAGTGTGAGGCTTAAGACAGGGTCTGCTTGTGCCACAAGGGTGCCTCCGGGCTCTCAGACCCATATTGGATTGCACACAGGCTGTACTGTGGATTAGCTGTGAGATTTGCAAATGTATAGTTTACAATGCGGTAAGAACCTGGCGGCCAGGGAGCGTGAGTGAACTCGGAGAGCGTTTACTGTGGTTGTTCATGTTTGGGGAGGCCTGTTCAACCCTTGAGGCTGCATTAGCATAGTTGGGGCCTATACAAATCAGTCTAAAGTTAATTTACAGTGAGTTTCAGGAGTTCTCCCTCCTCTCCAAGGAACTGGCTGTGCTTCCCTGGGTAAAACTGTGAATGCCTCAGAAGTCTAGATAACCTGGGATGCCCAAGACTTTAACAGACTGTTCTATGCCTGTTGTTTGACATACATTGTGCTCTTGATCTTCCCAACAGCTCTATTGTTGTCTCCTTTTACAGAAGAAGAAAATGAGTGGTCTTTATTAGAAGCGGTTTCTTAATCAGCTGTGAGCTAAATCTGGGGGTTCTGTGGCTCACCTCATCCTGGCCTCTAGGTTCCCAGTGAGTGGGCAAAGCGCCGGTTCCCAATGTCTAAGGCTGACCGCCAACCGCCTGCCCACTGCTCCTCTCCCACCAAAGCAATGCCTGGAGAGTTCTCCCACCCATTGCAAGGCGCAAGACAGACCCTCACCCCAGCCCGAAGAATGCAGAACCCCAAGAGTTTCTCTACAAGTCACCCTAGAGTGGAAGCCTGAGGTTCCCGTGACTTCCTTTCTCTGCTCCCTGAGTTGTTTCACAGGGCAGGCCCCAGGCCTCTACTCATCACTTCTGGATCTTCAATAGTCTCTGTTTCAGCAACAGAAGCCAAGCCCAGGGGTCTCATATGCCTCCCCAGATCAGCACTTTGATTTGGGGATCTTTCTCACTTCTTTCCTACATCCCCCTTTCCCCTGTATTCCTCCTCTATTTCCCTGTGGCTTCCTGTGCCTTCTAGATCCCAGCAGCCCTTGCAGGCCAGCCTGCCTTGGACCACACTCTCATGGGGGAGGCCTCACCTTCCCTTCCTCCATCCCTCCTCCCCAGGCCTCCTGCCAGACTTCCTCCCAGCCAGCTGTCACTCAAAGAAAGATCTGATAAAATCAATTAATAATGACTGCCACTATAACCAAACTGCTCTATAACAGAAAAATGTATTTAACAAACATTCTCTCTGAACTCTCATATCAGCCTGCAATATCATTCTCCTCGTTTCACCAGTAATGAAGGAAATAAATATCCATCTCTCCAAGAGGTTAAGTAACCTGTCCCAGATCATGCAACTAAGAAGTGTTAAGATTTGAATCCAAGTTGTCTTATTCCAAATACCTGGCTCGCTCTTTCTTTTCTTTTTTTTTTTCTTCTTTCTTTTTTCTTCTTTCTTTTTCTTTCTTCTTTTTCTTTCTTCTTTTTCTCTTTTTTCTTTCTTTTCTTTCTTTCTCCCTTTTTCTCTCTCCTCTCTCTCTCTTTTCTCTCTCTCTCTCTTTCTCTTTCTTTTCTTTCTGTCGCTATCTCTTCCTTTCTCTCTCTTTCTCTCCCTTCCTTTCTCTCCCTTTCTTTTCTTTCTTTCTCTCCCTTTCTTTTCTTTCTTTCTTTCCTTTCTTTTGTTTCTCTCGCTCTCTCTTCTTTCTCTCTCTGTTCCTTTCTCTCCCTTTCTTTCTTTTTTCTTTCTTTCCTTCTTTCTTTCTTCCTCTCTCTTTCTTTCTTTCTTTTCTCTCTCTTCTTTCCTTCTCTCTTTTTCTTTTTACCAGCTGCTGCTTCCTCACCACTGTCCCACTGAGGGTTAATGCCTGCATAGGACTTAATCTGGTTCTTTTCCCAGCGGAGTTTGATCCAGTGCTTGGACCAGGAGAGTAAGCCAGCATTAGAGAGAGGCTGAGGGGCGAGCCTGGAAGGGCCTTTCCAACTCCCTTCCAAGCAGCCTCAGAGCAGAGGGCTCCCGCTTGACCTGCTCAAGAGAGAAGTGGCCATGCTCATGCAGAGCTTCTGAGGGCTCTTTTCTGCCAAATTCTAGAAGGCAAAGCAAGGGAAGGAAGACTTTGCTTGCTGTACCATTCTGAATGGCAAGCTGACATTACGGAGCCTATAGACTCTTCTTCTCTTCCTCTTCTCTTGATTTCTGGAGGTTAATTCTTCACTGTGAGGCAGAGAGACCTCTCTCAGAGACTCTGGCTGTGTTTGCAAAGCAGGTCCTGCTGCCCAGGAGGCTCAATCTGAAGTGTGAATAAAGCTAGTAATACCTGCCCCTCCCCACATTCTGCCAGAAAGCCCCCCCCCCCCGCCACCCCTTATTAAGTATTTGTTGCATGAATAAATGAATGCTGCTCTACCTCTCCGTTCATGGAGCTAAGTCACCCAGTCAACTCATTCTTACAGATGGGGCCTTAAGAGCTTAAGAGGTCACTTTTTTGCTGGAGGAATGCTCAATTGAAAAAAAAAAAAAGATTACTAATGTGAAATTTAAAGGCCCCATATCTCTTGGCTGTAGAAGCTAATTTTATCAGAAGTCATTTTAGTTTACAAGCAAATCTCATATGCAGATGAACATTGATGCAGGCTGCCTTTTACATAATTGAACTAGATGGTTGGCCATTTGGTGTAACTGGAGAAGGGCTGGAATATCTCCTCTACCCTGAATGTCACTCACACTGTTCTGTCTCATTGCCTGGGATCCTCCATTGGAGGTGCACTACCTTGTCATCTTAAGAGCCTTTGAGATAAGTGTTGTCAACAATTCAACATGTGGTTGGCATGACACTAAATATTCAGATACATGCATCTCCATTACTGGGATTGTATAAAGATAGTATCACTATCCTAACCAAATTAAAGAAAACCTACCCAAGATGAGATTCACATGCTTCTTATTTTCTGAAACTGAAGGTACCTCATGTCTCCAGAAGTGCCATGAATTCCAGGCCCCAAGCCTAGAAAAGGAAGCAAAAGTGTAGAAAGAAAAAATGGCCTTGAAATTAGAGTGGGAAACAAGAAACAAGCAAGGAGTAGGAAAGAAGAGCGGAAAAGGAGATGCTGGCAGTGGTGACAGCAAAGAGAACTATGGTGCCCATTTTCTACAGGGAAGCAATGATTTGTTCCTCATGAGCCATGAATCCTTTCTCCCTGGACTCACCTTATTCCACTTTGTCTCAGGGCCTGGAATCCCACCTTTAGGGATGAGCTCCTTTGCACACTTAACAGCCTTTTAGCAGTCACTGTTTAGCCTGGGGCTGGTTCCATGCACTTGCCAGTCTGTAGGCATCTTCTGCTTCTCTGACTGAAGGTCACATCAGGTGAGGCTGGGCTGTGTACACCTAGTCACTTGTGTAGATGCTTCGTTCACATCTTCACGGCTGTGACAAAAATGTTTTAGGAAAAACTAAATGCGTGGCTTAGATCTAATCAAGTTGCTCAGTGAGATTATTTACCCCAAATGCAGGGAGCTGGAGTTAAAGACAGGGGGTTCATTCAGCAATGACAAAGCAATGCATTTCCTCATTTGTAGCATCTGGCTTCCAAGCCTCTGTTTTCCCAGTTTTCATTCAGAGCCAAGGATTAACTGCTCCAGAGAATCAAGACGATAAGCAGATGTTGCTTTGCCTGTGTTCTTTTCTGAATCAAATCTGTTTGTAGATATTGGGTGTATGAAGATCAGCCCTGACACAATACTCTCAGATGTCAGGGCCATGCACTTGTCCACCACAGCAGTGTTTTCTAAAGCATTGGCTCTCCAGCGCAAAAGAGAGCTTCAGTCTCCTTAGCAAATGGCTACTGCCATAATCTGCAATGGGCACAGCATGTCTCACCTTTAAGCTTCTGCCAGGACTTCTGGACTGCGGGGGTAGGAGAGAACAGAACATGCAGCTTGACTCTAACTTTCAAAGCATTCTTCATGGTTCCAGGATGCTCTCTCCTCTTAACCCTGAAGAATCTCATTTCACCTCCTTTAGATCTCTGAAAATGCTCCCCAAAACTCAGGAAGAAGACTTACATCTTTAGCGTCCAACTTTTTTTTTCTCCCAGTTGCAACACACTACAGCAGCAATTTTCAAACTCTTTGGTTTCAGGACTCTTTTTCATGCTCTAACAATTACTGAGGATTCCAATGAGCGTTTGCTTATATGAATTATATCTATCAATAATTTCCATATTAGCAATTAAGACTGAGAAAAACGGACCAGTTATTACCTCATTAAAATTTGAACATTACTTCATTAAAAATAACAATAATAAATCCATTATGTATTAACACAAATAACACTTTTATGAAAAATAACTACATATTCAGAACTAGCAGCAAAATCTAGTGAGAAGCCTGGCACGGACTTCAGTTTTTGAAAATCTTTTAAATGTCTGATTTATTAGAAGCCGGCTTGATTCTCATATATGCTTCTGCATCCAGGGTGTTGTGATATAACACATCATATGAGCTGTGGAAAATGCCAGTGTACACTCATGAGAGAATGAGAATGAAAAAGGCAAATCATGTCTTAGTACTGTTATGAAGATAGTTTTGACTCATGGACCCCTTTGGGAACCACTGCTTTATAGTGTTAGAGTTGTTAGGCTTCCCAACACCAACCACTTCACCCATGTGCGTGACCACACACACACATGCACACTTGCATGTGCTTGCCTACTATTTTTGTTTTGGCAATATCATCATGTTCTTGGGATAACTGAAAACTGCACTGAGAATCAACATTCTGCTCTGCTAACTAGTATCAGAAGAGAAGTTATGGACCTCATTTTAGAGCCTCATAGTCCTGGATTTGGATCCTGTCTCTGTCACTACTAAACTCTGTGGCCTGGGGGAAAATTACATAATCTTTTTAAAGCCTCATTTTCTTCCTCTGTAAAATGGAGACAACAATAGAGCTGTTGGGAGGATCAAGAGCACAATGTAAGTCAAACAACAGGCATAATATCTGGTAGAGAAAGAATAGGTGCTTAATACATAGTAGATATGATTATCATCATTGTTATTATTATTACTCAGTAACAGTGTAAGCTCCATGAGTGTGGGGGTTTTGTTTGTTCACTGCTATAACTAAACTCTACACCTTTAGTTAGTGCTCAAGAAATATGAATGCACGGACTTTTATACAAATTCAACTTCCTTCAGAACCTACCATCCTGACTCGAGGTAAATTTAGTCACATAAGAGAAGAACAGGTGGCCCCTGTCCTGTGAGCTTTTGGACTAATTAGGGGGAGGAAAGACTGATACTTAAAAAACAGAGCAGTAACAAAGGTGTAGGGTGAAGAGTTGAAATGAGCAGAACCACCAGCATTTATTGCCATTGCTCACAGATGGGAAATTCCAACACCTGGCATGGGGATTGGTATTGGCTTTGAGGTCTATTTGCCCGCTGTTGTTTGAATTATTCTAGCAACTTGTATGAACAACCATTCAGTGGGAGGAGATGGAGTAGACAGTCCTCAAAGATGGTTACCATCAGGATCACTTGAGGCCACGAGTTTGAGACCAGCCTGGCCAACGTGGCGAAACACTGTCTCTACAAAAAAATAGAAAAGTTAGCTGGCCATGGTGGCACATGCCTGTAATCCCAGCTATTTGGGAGGCTGAGTCAGGAGAATTGCTTGAATCCAGGAGGCAGAGGTTGCAGTGAGCCGAGATTGCACCACTGCACTCCAGCCTGGGCAACAGAACAAGACACTGTCACACACACACACACACACACACACACAAATTATATATATATATATATATATATATATATATAGTTACCATCCCATCAATTCTTCCTGGCATGCTTTTCCTCCCATCAAGATCTCTATTTGATCTGGGCTGGCCTTGTGACTTGATTTAACTATAGAATGCCGTGGAAATGACATTCTGGAACTCCCAAACACAGTTTCTTTCTTTTTTCTTATTCTTTTTTCTTCTTTCTCTTCTTTTTTTTTTTTTTTTTTTTTTTTTTTTGACAAAGTCTTCCTATATTGCCCAGGCTGGAGTGCAATAGCATGATCTCAGCTCACTGCAACCTCTGCCTTCTGGGTTCAAGAGATTCTCCCTCCTCAGCCTCCTAAGCAGCTGGGATTATAAGTGCACACCACCATAACCAGCTAATTTTTGTATTTTCAGTAGAGACAGGGGTTTCACCATGTTGGCCAGGCTGGTCTTGAACTCCTGACCTCAGGTGGTCTACCCGCCTCAGCCTCCCAAAGTGCTGGGATTACAAGCGTGAGCCGCCGCACTTGGCCACAGTTCTTTCTTAAGACAACTTTTGCTTCCTCTCTCTTGGACGTCAGCAGCCGAGTAAGAAGTCTGACCACCCTAATAGAGCCACCACGTGGGGAGAAAGCCCGACAGAAGGAAGGGCCACATGAAGAAGCACCAAGGCACCAGACATTGAAAGAAGCCTGCCTTGGCCTTCCAGCCCAGCCCATCTAGCAGCTGACTGTAGTCAAGGAGTGACCCCACTTATATTTAATACTAAGTGGAGCAGAACCACCTGACTGAACCCTGACACACCACTGCAGAATCATGAGAGATAACGAATCGTTGTCTTAAGCCCTTGTGTGTTGGGGGGCATTGCTTATGCCACAACAGAAAACTGCAACAGGAGGACAGGGGCTGGGTATGAAGAGGGAAAGGTGGCAGAGCCGTGGCACTCATAAAGCTCAGGGTCTGGTAGATAGCAGCCTTCCCCTCCAACTTCTGGCACAGAGAACATAGACTCAACACCCTTTTACGAAGGTATGTCTGGATTTAAAATTATATCTTTAAAGAAAATCTTATAAGCAATTGTCAAGTTGGAAGAATGTTAGGTAACAGATAATAGAGCTGCCAGGATAGACATGTCCAAGTTCAACTTCACTAAATGATCATACCCATCCTAGTGGTAATTGTACCCACTATGGTTCCTCTTGAATATTTTTACTTTGCAGGCCACTTTCATGGGGCCAACTAATTCCTGCTGCCAGGCCTTTGCTCCTGTTTCCCCCACTCTCTAGACTGTCTTTTCTTTTTTTCTCTTTCAATCTAATTCTACCCTTCTTCAAGATTCTGCTTGGCCCATGGTCTCCATCGCAGGGCTTTTCTAACTCCAGCTTGCACTGGTTACACCAACCCCTGAAGGTCCACATCCTCAGCATATGTGGTATGTGGCATACAATTTGCCACTGAGAATTCAAGCATCAGTGTCACAGATGGTTAGATGTGACCGGACTTCAGAGATGGTGTCTAAGACAGGAAACTGGAGCTTAGGGAAAGTGACTTGTCTAGGCAAGTCACTAACTACTTGACAACTAACTACTTGTCTTGTAGTTAGTTAGTGGAATACAGAACATCAACACCGCAACTCTATAGTTTTGGTAATCCAAATTTACCAAGTACCTGAATCAAAAATAGAATCAGGACAGGGCCCATTGGGAACCAGCAATTGCAAAATGGGCTTATACCTGCTGTAAAACAAAGAGAAGACACTCAGAGGGGGCAGTTACAAAGTTGACTTCTATCAGACTATATGTTTGGCAAGGGAAGATACTCAAAACAAGCATTATCTGGGGGAAAAGATTAAGATCAAAACCATAACAACATATCTGTTGGCCAGGTGCGGTAGCTCACACCTGTAATCCCAGCACTTTGGGAGGCCAAGGAGGGAGGATCACAGGAGTTCGAGACCGGCCTGGCCAACACAGTGAAAACCCATCTCTACTAAAAATACAAAAATTAGCCAGGCATGGTGGAGCATGCTAGTAATCCCAGCTACTTGGGAGGCTGAGGCAGGAAAATTGCTTGAACTCAGGAGGTGGAGGTTGCAGTGAGCCAAGATCGTGCCACTGAACTCCAACCTGGGCAACAGAGCAAGACTGCATCTCAAAATAAATAAATAAATACATCTGTTTGGCCAGAGCCTATGTTTTGAATAGTTCTGCTGCAATGAACAAAGTCTCTGCATCACAAGGTGCCCAGCCTGTGTGACACTGCCCTTGAGCCGCAGCATTTTGGAGAGTATACTCCACTCCCTTATCCCCTGTCCTGAATTAAGACCATCCACCTGTATTTGCAACATTAGCTCAGCTGAAAAGGTAATTATGGCTCATCAGGATAGTTGAGTAGAAATCATACGCAACTCGACAAAAAAAGACCTGAATAAAAACAAAGAAAAAGAATCACATTTAAGTGTGTGGTGTTAGCCCTTTTGTAACAGACTGTGTAAGTAAACTGATGAGTTTTGCAATCATCAAATTACTGTCGATTTATTTGTTAAGGCATTTAAAACAATTAGGGGAATTTGATATATTAGAATTGTGAAGACTTGAATTGCTTATGTGTGCACGAAATGTTTACTTGTTAGGGAGAATGTAGTTAAGTTGATGTTTTTGAGTAATTAATTACTCAGTAGTGTGTGAATATTTTCAAAATCTTGATTGCTTAAAGATTAGGAAATTGCACATCAAAGTAGGTAGGAGTTGTTGTGAACACTTCTTTCCATCTCCCAAAGTTGCTGGGACATAACAAGCTTTGGCTTCTCCCAGGGGAGTTCCCCACTTCAGGGCTGGTCACCCTAACACCTCCCTTGATCACATTCATTTTCCATTGTGGGAGCAGAGATTCAGCATCCTCTCTTTTTTATCCTTCACTTCTAAGAGCAAACCCAAGTTATCTTTACATTTTAAATTAATTGCATTTAACATAATTGAATGAGACTTTTAATCCAATGATAGCAAGAGGCCAGGTTCTATAAAGAACTGAATTAAGTGCAGCTCTTGTCAAGAAACATCCTTGAGGACATGACACAAAAGGGAAGGTGTTTCCATTGCCAGAGAAGGGAGAGTCTCAACACACTCACCTGGAAAGTACTGTGCTTTTGGATGGTGCTGGTGGGCAGGTGTCCCAGGAGAGATTCTGAGGGAGGTGGTTACCACAGGCTCCAGAACTGTTTTAATAGATCATTATAAGGAGGAAGTCAGGACGAACCAAGGGACGCCAGGAGTCATGGCTCCAGCCTATCCTTCCTCACTCCCTGAAGCCCCCCACCCCTTCACTCAGGACCAGACAAGTATACCTTTCCTCAGGTATGAAGAAAGCCTGAGAAGGGAGACAGAGCAAGGCCAAGGGTACAGTGAGCTTGGTTGGAGGAGAAAGCCTGAGGGAGAAACTTGGGAAAGGCTGGTTTTGAAAGAAGAGCTCCCAGGATGGCCAAGGCTTACAACCCTAAAGGTGACAACTAGGATTTTATTCGGAAGCCAGTTGGTTACAGAGGCTGGTGATGCAGGAAGGTGCATATCGCCAAGAGAGAAGGAAAGAGGAGTAGCTTGGACCATGGGGAGAAAGCTGCTGAGTCGGGGTGAGGGGGATGCACATTATCTTGAAGAGCAAAAGGCAGCCCCAGAAGACGTGGGGAAGAAAAGAGCCCCAGGAGAAGGCCGCATCCAAGGGGTAAGAAGGGAGAATCCTGGAGAAAAGTCATGGGGTCCTTTGGCCATCAGGCAGTTCAGAAGCAGGGATGACTAAGAGACTGTGGGACTAGATTGAGGTGAAAATCTGATGTGAGAAAAAGCATTTGAGTTGCATAAATAAGGCCAGTGAAAACTGCAAGAAATCACGTTTTCCAGAATAGTGACATTTGGGACCAAATGTCAGCCTTGGTGCCAAGAAGGGTTTCTACATCCATTGCAAGACCTTTGAAAGTTAATCCTATTGTGGTGGGGAAAGCTGTCCCTTTATTTGTACAGTCTGTTATTTTGCCCTTTGGGGAAAACACAGTGATGTGAATCACACTGTGACTTCCATCTCTGGTGAAGAAGGTTGTGTTTGGGGGAGCTGGTAGACATGAAAGCCATGAACATTCAAAAAACAGCTTATGGAAGCATTTCAGAACAAATTCATTTTCATCCAAATAAAATCAGCAGATATTGACCACAGCAGGACTGGCTGATGTGGGACGGATGGGCAACGGCAGAAATATGAACACTGATCATCACTGACTGCACCGAGCACCACGTACACGCTCGGTGTTGCTTTAAGCACTCTGCATACACTGTGTCACTTAATCCTCCTGACAGTCTGTTTTGTGAGACAGTTCTATCACTCACGAGTGAGGGACCTAGGGTGCAGAGTGGTGTGGTAACTTGCCCTACAGCCCAGCACTGTTGGGGGTGTAATGCAGGTTGGTCTGAACCCCAATACGCAGCTGAGGATGGGGTGATGGGGAAGCAATAGTGACAGGCAGCACTGAGATCTGAGAGGGGACCACATACAGAGACGGCTTAAACCAAGAGCCAGTGTTGTCTTAAACTGAAAACAAGTTTTGATGTGTTTCACATGGGGAAGGATGGACAATCTGCATGTTTGTAGCTGTACCACTTATTGGCTGCCTGAGACTTCTTGCTTTCCTGTCTGTATATTTTCAGGTATTCATGTTTTGTTCCCTCAACTAGACCAACAGCTCCTGAAGGCCGGGTCTGTGCTGTGGGTCTCTTGCCTCCTGCTCGGTACCTATGACTAAGCTCAAAAAACCCTTCAGTGGAAATGGAGCTGATTAATTTTTTCAGTCTCTTGTTCTACCCTCTTTGTAAATAAAGGACGGTCAAACCCCAAACGTTAAAAAAATGTGGCAAGCAAATTTTGTAAACAATGCGATTGGGGATTTTCTAAATGCTCTACCAATCGAATGAATTTAATGATGCCCCAAATTTTAATGAAACTTTTTTCATGCTGTCATAGGGCTGATGTTTAATTTAAAAGGTTACACTAGACTTTTTTTGTATTTGTCATTCTCTTTTGTATTTGTCATTCTACTGAAGTGTTTAAAAATTTATATTCTGCCTATAAAAATACAATCCTGGGGCTATCTGACTATCCTAAGAGTTATTTTTTGCTTTAAAGACAAAAAGGTTCTAGAGTTATCCTTTAGAATTTCTGTTGGAATAACATGTTGACCATAAAATGCTGAAAATATGGTCAAAAAAGAGAGAGAGAAAAGAACACACATACAGGATAATGCTAATCCCTCCCTGATGTGCACCTGGGAGCAGAGAACTGCCCCTACCAGGTCTGGAATGGTTGAAACACTGACAACATGTTGACAACTTTCTGATCAGATTCCATTTGGTACTCTTTCCCAGTCCCGAAATGGATCAAGGACAGCAAGTCGTCCTAGCTTTAGCAATAACTAGACAGAATATCTTTCTGGTTAATGGAAATTCTTCCCCCAGTGTGATGCCAGCTTGGGAGACGCAGAGCTGCAAATGCCCCTCCGCTCATTAGAGCAGGAGTTAGTCTCGGCATTGTACAGTCTCTGAGGGGGATTAAAAAAAAAAAAAAGGGTTTCCTGAGGGAGGCCTGGGCAGTAGTGGTCAATCAACTATTGTCGTAGCTGACTTCAGGGAAGTCCAGTATCAAGAAGGCCTCCGTTTTGTGCAAACTGATCAAATGCAGATGTTTCCAGGGAGTTGACCTTATTGACCGAGACTTCACTGGAGATTGAATGGCGGACAGCCGGTCAAGAGTGGGGTGAAGGCATGTTTTGGTGGGAGAGTGTAAATGTATACATACAGTAGACAGGATGTGGATGATGCTGGGCAAACATCTGTTTTATTGATAAATACATGCTTTACTTCCAAAAGTTTGATACCAGAGAGATGTAGTGAAAAATAAATTTAGTTTCAGGCTTTGTTAGGTGTCTCATGTGCACGTCAAACGCTGAAAGAGATGAAGGGCAAACAAATATTAAAAATGGGTTCAACCTTCCATCTCCCTGAAATATCAGATTTCATATAAAACTCATCAGCTGAACTAAGTATTAGGCTTGATCAATGGCAGGAAACTAGGGGATCAAATGCTAATAAATCAGAAACAGATATCCCCTCTCAAGAAGAAAATATATCACAAAACTGAAAATGAGAAAATCATCTGATGATTTTTTAATGCACATGCATGGAGAAAATAAGCTTTTTTTGTTTTTGATTTTTAGGATCAGGGAGTGCTGCATCTTAAACACAGACAAAGAATAAGATTCTTAAACACCTTAATCAGACTTTGACTTTAACACATGCAAAAGAAACAAGAAAGATCCCTATATTTGGTGAGGAATGAATACTGAGTAGTATTCTGTTTGTGGGTGGGTAGATATTAAAGTGGCAAAGTGAACACATTCAAACCTTGCTAATAATATTTTGCCAGATGTTTTCATGCGTTTCTTTTTCTCTTTAGGAATTATATCCTCAGCCCTCAGCTCCAACCTCTCTGCCTTTTAAAAATATATTGGCTCACAATTCCATGCCTTTACTTCTTAGTATTTTTTCCCTTATTCATTTTCATTTTGTAAAGTACGCGTTTTATTCAAATAAAACATATATACAGAAAAAATGCATGTCTTAAGTTCACAAATGTGTAAGCTCAATGAGTTTTCATAAGGCAAACACACCTATGTAACAGAACATTATCAGTGCCCCAGAAACTTGTCACTGACTACTCCTCTGAGGGTAACCACTACCCTCACTATAGTGGGGCTAGCGTAACACTAGGGATTAGTGCCTGTTTTTGAGCTTTATATAAATGGAAGCATAAAGTACATATTCTTGCGTGTGGCTTCTTTTGCTCAGTATTATGTGTATGCGATTCATCCATGGTGGTTAGTTCTGTATTTATTGATATTTAAATGGTATTCTTTTTAATAATACAGATATATTCATTTCTTTAATGCAGTCTTGTAGGTATAGAAACATGTCGATTTATTTCAGCATATTCACCAGTCTCGGCACTCAGAAGAGAGTTCAACAAAGTAAGCAACCACCAGCAGAAATCACAAAGAAACCACTGAGCTGTGACAAAATTCTCAAACTGACACGTCTGTAATCAAAGGCGCGTTATCAAGAACACCTTTGAAACCTTCATATTTGGTTTCCAAGACTTTTTCTCAAAAACACACATGCAAATAACTTTTTTTTTCTTTGACTCACCTTAAACAAGAACCCAGAGTGTGGTCCTGCTCTCTGAATGGAGACTGTTTGCTTCTGTGAAAACAGAGAGCTAAATTAAATTAGAAAATCCTGGTATTCAGTAGGACTGAATTTCCCTTCCTTCCTACTTTCCCATTCCACAATCTATCACCTAGAGTAATTAAGAACAGGGAGGTATCATCTTCACTGGATTAACCTTAACTAAATTGTGCTCATTCAACATGTGCCCTTTTGATTAGTCCGAGCAGGGCCTGCTGTCTCGGATACACCCACCTTGTAATTCTACACACTTAATTAATTTCAGATGAATAGAGAGGGGGGATAAGCTAAATTCTCCAATTAATAAACTATAAGTCCTTATAAGTGTCAGAGTAGCTCAAGATTTTCATTCTTCCTTTATTTCTTTACTCTGCAAAGGCTAAATGGAGATTGAAATGGAAAAAAAAAAAAACACAACACATACACACAGCTGCAATTGTTTGAGGCTGGTGAGGGGGTGCCTGGGCAGTTTCATCATCGTAAAGGGCAGACCTTAAGAACTGTTGGTAAAATAGATTATTTTTCTGCCAAGCATAATTTTTAATGTCCTTCTCCACCTGGACCTCGATATTTACTTTTTATTTGCACATATTTCCTGTTCTATGCACAGATTCTTGGTTATGAAAATTCAATATTAATGCCACTAATTTTATATTTTTAAATGCATTTCTCAGAAGTAAAATATTATTAATAGTCTGAGAACTTTTCTGAGAAGTGGTTTGGAGTTATTTGTTTAATCATCAAATTTAACAGCTCTCAATAATATAATAAAAATTTGCCCTCATGGGCATCCCTGACAGCAAAGAAAATAATTTCCTTATAATAAAACTGATCCCAAGGATGTTTATATGCTATAATTTATCTCATACTAAAAGATGGCTAGAAAATTATATAAGATAGATTTACAGTCGCTCCTTCAACTCAGAAAATTTATATGTCTAGTTTTTAGTGACTTAAAAACTTCTACTTATCTGCATAATTATATATAAAGAGATTCCCCAGTAGCTTTTATGTCCTATGATTCAACATAATGAGATCAATTATATTCAGGGAATTTAAATTACTGGTACTTAGGGAATAAAACCAACATCACTTTTAGTTTCTTATGATGGTATACAAGAAATTCTACTTACCTAAGACAAAATAACCATCTTAATGCAGCCCATTTTATGTGTTTTAGCAGAGATTTTAAAAGGCCACTAAGAGTTTTTGTCATTTAAGAAACCGTATACTCAGTTCCTTAATGTCTTCAGATGTTAATTTAAGTCTGTTCTGATCTTGTTTCCTACAGTTAGTCTTTTGTTCCAAAATGATTTTTTTAAAAAATGCTTGAGTAATTTTGTTAGTATTTGCCACTAGTCTAGAAAAATTAACTGAAATTCTTGCACTCCATTTTTAACCACTCCAATTCCCTATTAAATACACCTACAAATTAAATAAGGATACTGCTGCTCGATAATTTACCATTAAATGAGTGTAGAATATTTGACTGATTATTTTACTAATTTCTTATATGTGAAAATTCTTAAAATGGTGGAATCATTTGACTAATTGAATGCAAATATTAAATAATTTTTTTATTGATGACATGCATGCTGATAGGCACATCATTTGATGCATCAGCTAATGCCTTGTCAGGTTTGTATTCTCTTTTTTATCTGAGGCTGGGCACATGGGCATTTTAACTCAGGAAGTCTTACTTTCTCTGCCTTCCCTAAAATCAGTGCCTACATTTGACCCTGTGGAAAAACACAAAAGCGAGTAATTTAAATCAGCCCACACCTGCACCATCAGCCAGGCTATCCTTACAGAAACGCTTCGAACATCTTATTCCGGAGCACCTCAAGCGGCTGAAAAGAACAATTTATTCCCCGCTAAAGAACAAAATACTGACATTGAGTTTGTCTTCTTTGGGGTTGGAGGAAAGTTGAGATACTACTCATGAAAAGGCAGCTATGTTTGGCCCTGTGGTGATTTAGATTTACTATACAAACCAACAACTATTTTTGAATGATGGAATTAAGTATTTACACAAGGAGACTTAGCTCTTTAGCTTGGTTATGTCCTGCTGTTTATGTTACATGATCAGAAATCTTGTGAGTGCTGTTTTAGGTGATACATCACCAAGAATTCTTACATTAGGAAAGTAACCATATTATCTGAGATCGTTTGCTGTAGGGAAACCTGCAGCAAATTTTGCACTAGCTAAATTTGTTTAGCTAAATTTTGCACTTTACAAAATAATAGAAAAATTCATTCGACTCTCCCCTCAATGTATAGCATGGTCGTCTCATCACCTTGCAGTTTGTCTCATATGCTTGTGTTGAGCTCTTTTAACAGGACTTCCACCAATAAATTCAAGTTTTTATTCTTGTTTATAACCGGCATTTCCAGGTCCGGCCAGGTCCAAAAAAAAAAAAAAGGAATTGAGGGTTTGCATCGTTTTTCAATATAACTGGAAGCTGTTTTATCACTTTGTATTTTGAGAACCGCTCCCTTTCCCGCACACGCATTGCTGCCTCCTCTCGGGCTTGGTTAATGAGTCTGTGCGCCAAGCCAGGTCGCTCCGGGCAGTTCGCGCTTCCGCGCCTCGGCACTCGGATGACCGTGTCCTATTCGTCTCTCTCGTGAATGTCGCTGAAAAAAAATAAAAGTTTGTTCTAAGCCCGTGGCATTTCCGCGCGCAGATGGAAAGGCAAGTGGGAGAGGAGGGTGCAGGTGCGGGGCGGGCGCGGCGGCCCCTTCAGGCGCCGGGGGCTGGGCTGCCCCCGGCCGGGAGCAGCTCCGCTCCGCGCACGTGGCTGTGGGCGCTGCGGACGGGGGACGGCAGGCGGGGGACGGCAGGCGGGGAGTGGAGGGTGCAGTGCCCGCAGGTGCCGACGGCTTCCTCCCAGAGCCCTTCGCGCCGCGCCTTGCCTGGCTGGTGGCGCGGGGAAACCATGGCAGCATTGCGGCTCCGGCGGGCGGGCTCTGCGCGGGGCCCCACCGAGCTTTCCGGGAGCCTCTCCCGCAGCCGATGGGCATCTAGGGGCGCAGAACGAAGAGTGGGCGCCGAAACGGGTGTAGGCGCTGGAGGCCGACGGGGAGGCCCGGGGCGGTCAGGCTTCTCGGTAGAGAGGGCCGTGCACCTCGCGGCCTGCGGGCTAAGGCGGGGAGCCGCTCCTGCGGCGGCCGGGCGCGCGGACTGGAGGGAGGGAAGCGCCACGGACTGGGGAACCGGGGTGACGGGGAGACGGGGGGGCTGGTGGGGTGAGGTCGGCGGGCAGCAGCCAAGTGTTCTGCAGCTCCGAACCCCGCCACCCTCTGGGCGAACGGAATGGCACCCGCGGAGACGGGCGGGGACGGGCGAAAGCGGGTTTGCTCCGACCCGAAGCTGAGCCCGGGTTGGAGGGCGAGACCGTAGGCGAGAATGGCCGCGCGGGCTGGGAGACCCGGGCCGGTATGGAGTGAGTGGAGCCGCCCGAGGTAGGGTAGTTGGGGATGGTAGTTGTGAAGACAGTCGGAGTCTAGCTCCGGGCAGACGAAACACCGGGGCGCGCCAGGGTCCGTTTCCTCCTTCTCTCTGCTTTCCCACCAGCCCTGTAGATACGGAGCCAGCAGTCGGGCTAGAGCGGAGGCTGAGGGTCGCGGTTCCAAGGGCGGTCTCTCGCCCCGGGTCAGGCCCCACCCCGCGGTGGCGGTCGCGTGGCGCTGTCCTGGAGTTGAGCTGTCCCCGCGCCGCGGCCCGCACGCCCAGGACCGCACACCGCCGCCCGCAGGCAGAGACGCCTGCAACCTCGCCCTCTCGCCCGGCTCCCAGCTCGGGGCTGGGAACCGGAAAGGTGCATTTCCGTGTGGGGTGGGGGCGATTCCCGGCTGTCGGCGGTGGGGCTAGGCCTTGCGGCGGATGAGCCAGACCTTCCCGGCTTTCCAGCCAGCCGGGTTCGGGATTTCCCGACGGTCGGACGGGTGGAGGCGAGGATGGGCCGCTATCCCCCAGCCTCTTCAGGAAGAAGCCGTAGGGCCAAGGAAGGGATGGGTGACGGGGCTCACACCATTCCAGCGCTGCCCTCGAACTCGCGGGCCTCCGTTCCCTTTGCAGTCACTTGGTGTGCGCCCCAGTCCCGGGCAACATTACTGCCCGCGGGCGCCTTGTGTGCATGGCTGCTGCCTGCGGCGCACCGGCCTGAGCCTGGAGGGAGGTGCGGGGCGGGAGAGGCGGCCCTCCCTGGGTCTCCCCTGCCTGTCACATCTGCACTTATTTAAAGCTCGGCTGGTGGTCCGCGCTCTCTGGAATGCCAGTTGCGGGCCTGGCCTCCTACGGCATTTGCACTGATTAGCTAGCGGGTCATGGGGGAGATGAGGGGCTTAGGGGGGCAGACCGGAGGTTCACAGTATTCCGCCTGCCTCTGTCCCGCGTGCTAATCGGAGCCCAGTGATTCCCGCTGCACCAATGGCTGAGTGTGTTAGGGAGCAGAAAACCGAACTTGAAGGATGTTGGATGCGTCTGGGAACCGGCCATTGCCACTTAGTAGTATGTTGTGGGCCGGCGCGCACACATGACCCTAAATCTCTGCAGGCTCTAGCGCTGAAGCGGGCGGAGAAGGGGAACAAGTGCTGTGACCCCAAGTCCTAAAAGTTTGTACGCAGTGTCTGGGATATGCAGTATCCTTGATGCGAAACTCTTAAATGTTTGCTGGTGCAAGTCCATACAAAACGAGGTTGGCCTGCCTCGCTTAAAATACCGTACACAAAGCGTAAAAAAGGCACGGGCAATCCGCATCGAGGACGCCACCCCAAGCGCAAGAGGCCCGGTGCAAATTCATCGCTGAAAAACAAGCTGGGTTCTAATTTACTGTGACTCCCACGGGCGCAGGGGTTGGGAGGAGAAGCAAAGGGGGACATTTTTTTATTTTTGAAGCCTCAAAAAGTTCGATCTGATTTTGCATTTGCCTTTGGACTTGGTATAATTAAGGGTGAAAATAAGGCCCCTCTGTATTTCTATTCCCCTTTGCTTTTCTGCGGAGCTTTTACCTCAGAGGAAAGTTGTTTTAGTAATCTGGGAAAGAGAAACCATGTGCTGAGTCAGCAAAAACGCGGCACCAGGCCAGTTCAGCTCAATTATACTGCTGTGTGTAATGTACACACTCTATATGCCTTTGTGGAAATAATGAAAAATATATTAGAATTCTCATGGCATAGCAATGCCCACGAAGCCTGTTGGCAGTTGAGAGCCAGATTTCCGTGTCTTCTAATACAAGGAAACAGGTTCTGAACATGTCTTCTAACAAGCCTTAGATCCAAGGCCACTTAATGTGAGAGGACAAGAAAAATGCAGTTCTCAAAACAACACAAAATATTTTACTTTTTTTTCAAATGGTCGTGTTACAGAATGCTTAAATACTCCTTTCTGCTTGTGTTCTTCTGACAAGTGTTCAAGGTGGCTCCAACAGATGGAATCTTAATTTTTATTTTGCATCATTAAATGCATTTCTCAAAACTGATTCTTGAAAAGGTCTGAAAAGTCTCCTTGCAAGTCCCGTTAGAACCTTGACCATGCATTCTCATTTGTGTGGAAGGAATAAATGTTTTCAGAGTCACTTGGAATGAAACTCTCTTAAACTACTAAGCAATTATTTTTCGGAATAATTGCTTTTAACTGTCCAAGTGTTACCTGAATTTGCAGTATGTGAACATTTCAGCTGTTAAGCAACAGTCTAAATTGTGCTTTTTAATGACACACATTCAGTATTTCTGGGGATATTTCTTCATAGTTATTTTAATTCTAAGAGTTTAGTTGCAGAAAGTGACTTTTGAAAAACAAAAATAGCATATTACATAAAGAACTAACCAGAAGTTTGCCTCAGTTTCATTTGTCTTTTCTACCTCAAAATGTGAAATTAGTACATCTTTTATGCTTTTACTATTTAAAGTCTTAAAAATATATAGTTGTGTTTCAGTATAATGCAGAAATATCTGGATGTGAAAAATTCAGTCTGTCACCCAACTTCCAGATGTTTGGTACTACGCAGACAAAACATCAGAATGAATGACCAAATTTTTTTCTCTACAATCCAGATGGCTTAGTGCCTCTTGCTTCTATAAGGAAGCATATTTTCCTTTCTCTAAACATCACATCCTACTGTAGCCCACATAAGGCATGATTTACACTCCTTCAGCTACAAAATGTTAGGCCATTTGGAGTGCAGCAAAGCAATCAGTTAATGAAACTATATGTTTTGGTGAATGTAGTCCAAGTCCAAGTGTTAGTGTGTACTTAGGAGGGAGTGGTGGTGGTGGAGTCAGAAATGGGAAGGTAGGAGAGTGAGCGCCTTGTTCAATGGGAGAATAACTTGGCTAAAAGGACACAGCCTTCCAAAAATCCATCTGTGCCATCCATAATCGTAATAGGTGAAGTGGAACATTTAGCAGCTTCAACAGGGCTGCCTTTTGCCTGAGATGCAGCTGGACTGTGAAATGTCCATCGTGTACTGTGAAGCTTTCTTTCCCTACTGTTCCTTCTTGGAGCATTATAAAATGGAACAGATGAATGTAATGTAACATTATAACATTAGGACTCATGAACATTATACAGGTGGAAAAATTCTCTGTTTTAAAAGTAAAAAGGCAAGTAAGTGATTTAAATATTCATATTGTTATATGGTGAATATTTAAGTCACTCAAAAATGTAGTGATGATGAATGGATTTCTCTTCCTATGACATGTCACCGCATTTTACAGTTGTTGAACTTGGGGCTGAAGACAGCAACATTTTTTCCTTCCCCAAAGTCAAAGAGATTTAAGATCATGAACAGAGAGCCAGAGTTTCTCTGCTTAAACATGTTGAGAAAGAAGGAATAGATATAAAGAGACTTCCACTAGAATCAGCAGATGAAATCAAACCCAGAATGAATTCCATTCTATTTATTAACCTCACACTCCCTGGATTATAGAACAGTGTTTAGATAATGAATGGCAATGAATGTTAAAACATCATAAAACCTGACCACTTAACAATCGCTGCAAGAAAAACATACCATTTTAAATAGACCTTCTTACAACTCAGAATCTGGGCCTTGGATAATAAGACAGGATTTTATACTGGCCCAAGGTCAATTTTAAAGAATAGTTTATGGGAATCTAGTAGAACCTTGGGGTACATATACTGAGTAAAGAGACTCAAAAGTCAAGTGGGAATCTTTAACACCATATAAAACAGAATCACAGTTACTTTTCTTGATTGGATGTTTTCACGACTTTTTTGGTAATTCATTTATTAGAATAATAAACTGACAGAGCTGGAATGGACTTAGAGCTCATCCAGGTCTCTGTCTTTATAGATGAGGAAATGGAACCAAAATGAAAGGACCTATCTAAGGCCACACAGTCATTACAAGAAGGGTCAGAACTAGAATCACAGAGTTCTAATTGTGAGTCACAGAGTCCAGCCCTGTCTCCAGGACAGCTTGCCTTTGAATCACTATGACGTGGCTCAGCGTTACAGATTTCCTAGTGGTGTCCAAGAAACTGACACCCATCACTGCAGGCTGGAAATGGCTCAACATCATTCATTTGTATTACACATCTAAGAGCTATAAAACAAACCCAGTGTGAAGGCAAAGTTTCCCCATTTGTCTCCAGAATAAGACAGACTATTGCAAAAACAGAGCTAATAAAACTCTGTCAACTTCAACAACTTGGTTAGAGGTCCTGATAACAAGTGACAGCCTTAGCTTTTTACAGACAACTTATAGTGCCTTGGAAGCATGTCATGTGCAGAATCCGCTACAGTGTCTTTGAAAATAGCACAGTCAAACATTCAAAATTTAAGTGACGTTAATGGGGAAGAGAGGAGGAGGTGGTGGTTATAGCCATGTCTACACTACTCTTTACAGAAGACATAGATGTCAGTGGTCCTTCACTCGTCTCAGAAAACAACTCACGACTACAGCAGCTTGCATGATGAAATGGAAGGTTAGGATGCAAGGGGAAGGTGGAGGGTGGAAGATGGGGTTGGTGGGTCATATTAGATAGCAATATGAAGCATACTGTTCCCCAGTTTTGAGGAACTGGGGATCTCACTAGTTCTCATGGTGTGAGCCAAGGAAATAGACTCTTATGTGATGTTATCAAAGCTTTTCTGTTTAATGTTTTATTCAACATCAAATGAGAACATAGAAGCATTGCTTCTAGGAAGGGAAGACAACCCCTGACTCCTACACGAGTATTCTGCTCCAGGAATTGCAAGGAAGTTTAAGGATTAGGAGAGATGGGGGTAGAAGGAATGGGTGAAGTCAGGACTCAGTATGGTTGGCCCTCTATATCTGTGGGTTCCGTATCTGTGGATTCAACCAACCTCGGATGGAAACTATTCAGAAAAAAAAAAAAAGGATGGTTTCATCTGTACTGAACGCATCATAGGCTTTTCTTTCTTGTCATTATTCTCTAAGAAATACAGTATAACAACTATTTACAAAGCATTTACATTGTATTAGGTATTATAAGTAATCTAGAGATGACAAAGTACACTACATAAGAGGATATGCATAGGTTATATGCAAATACCATATAATTTTATATAAGGGACTTGAACATCTGTGGATTTTGGTATTCTTGGGAGGTTCTGGAACCCATCCCCAGTGGATACCAAGGGACTGTGTATTTGGAGTTATGAGAAAAGAATGGTCATGTTTTGATTATCTTGTAGAGAAAGGAGTTCTTGGTAAGGCCTTCCCTCCAAGCTAATTCAAAGTTAGTGCTCCCTGAGAAGCAGGATCTGGCCAGAATTTGAGAGAGCGGGATGCTGGGAGAAGAGGTCTATATTTTTAAAAAATGCTTAGGGGAGCAACTAAACCAGCAAAAGTTAAACCAAATAAAACCATCATGCCCACTTACCTCTTTAATTTACTCTCCCAAACAGATCATCATTTGAGCTATTCCACTGAAGTCAAGCATGAAATCTATTTAGCTGGATAGCTACCCATTTCCTGTGACCTGCAAAAGAGATGCCCTATTCTTTCAGGATCCTTGGAATGCCACATGCCCAGGCCCACTGGAAAACTGGGAAGGAAAACTGGAGCCACATGCCTGGGCCCACTGAGATTCATCACCCTTCCCCTACAACCCTGTGTCAAGGAAACACAAAGATAGAGTGGATTTCAGCACCACCCAATGCAGACGCATGGCTGCTAGTTTATCAGCATAGGTCAATGAATGGTTTTAAGTTGCTATGGGTTTAAGAGGATCTCTTAGTTGATGGGAATTTTTGAATCTTTTTTTTGCGTGGGACCCTTTGGCAGTTTTGTAAAATGTACAGACTATTTCTCAGAATGTTTCTAAACGTGTAAGTTATATTGAAATTGGCCAGGCACGGTGGTTCATGCCTGTAATCCCAGCATTTTGGGAGACCGAGGTGGGCGGATCACTTGAGGTCAGGAGTTTGAGACCAACCTGGCCAACATGGTGAAACCCCGTCTCTACTAAAAAAAATACAAAAGTTAGCCAGGCGTGGTGGTGTGTGCCTGTAATCCCAGCTACTTGGGAGGCTGAGGCAAGGAGAATCGCATAAACCTGGGATGTGGAGGTTGCAGTGAGCCAAGATTGTGCCATTGCACTCCAGCCTGGGTGACAAAGCGAGACTCTGTCTCAGAAAAAAAAACAAAAACAAAAATATATATATATAGAAATAAAATTATCAAGATTTTTTTAAGAAATAAGTTTGTGATATATTTCTTTGTTAGCACATCAAATGCAAGATCTAGTGGTGAGTCTAATAATTTCTGTGATATTGAAACAATGATAAGCGTTAATGATAAATTCAAAATATCCTCAACAACTATAATGTGATATGAAGGTATCTGTGATTTCTATTGGTGAGAAAGTCACAGGTATTGCTAATGCATCTGTAGCTTGTTGTCTACATTCATAATGAAAAGAAATGCTAATTTTTAAATAATGATTGGTAGAAATGAAAATGTAAGTTTTTCATCCAAGTTTATGGACTTCTGCTTTTCCTTGATTGCATTTGCAAATCTCCTTACTTCCTCTTGAAGAACCCCTTAGAGGGAGGAAGAGGGGGCAGTTCTAATAGTACCTTAGAGATATGAAATGAGATGGTCACAGCCATATGAGTAGATTTTGATTGGATTACACTGGGCCCAAGTTTGGAGTGTCAACATTAAACCTGTGATATAAGATCTTGTTCCTAAGATGAAAAGTAACTTTATATTGTAATCCTGTAGAGTTGAGATCTTGAGAAGCATTCCCTTGATAAGAGGACACTGGAGGAAGTGTCAAAATCACCTTCAAAGTAGGAGAGTGGTAACCAGAGCCAGGAAGGACTTGATAAGGATGAGTGAATCACCTCTGCTTGGTGAATGAGCCCAGGGTGGAGCTCAGCCTCCATCCAGGGAGCTTCAGTCTCCATCCAGGGAGTCTTTGTCAAGCAAACAGAGCAAATCCCCAGAGAGGAGGGGATCTGCAGTAAGGGTGGGAGAGGCACATGCAGATCAGGCAGAACAGCCTGTAGCCTGGCAGCAGAGAGCAGAGAGAGAGCCCAAGCAGGAGTGTCTTCCTGAAGAGTAGACAACGATTGATCATTTAAACTTCATTCAAATTAAGAACTTTCACTTATCAATAGACATTACTGAAGAAAATGGAAAGGCAAACCACATACTGGGAGGAAAATATTCAAGACATATATCTGACAGAAGATTCATATCCACCATATCCACAATATATAAAGAGCTCTTACAAGTCAAAAACAAATACAACCCAAAGATCATAAATGTACAAAAGACTCCACAGACACTTCACAAAGAGGATATCCAAATGGCCAGTAAGCATTTGAAAAGGTGCTCAATATCATTAGTCATCAGGACATGCAAATTAAGCCTTCACTCAAATACACAAATTGCAGAAGGACTGAAAAAGTAGAAATTCATGATGTCAAGTGTTGGAGAGGATATGGAGCAACTGAAACTCACACACTGTGGGTGGGAACGTACACTAGTATACCCACTTTGGAAAGCTTTTAGTATCTACTAAAACAAAGCACAAATTGATGCCCAAGACCCAGTAACTCCATTCTTAGTTATAGGCCCAAGATTGGATTTGTCTACCAAAAGACAGGTACAAGAATATAGCTTTATGTATTTTATATATTTATAAATATAAATATTCATTTATATAAATATTTATCAACTTTATTCACTATAGCATCAACCTGGAAAGAACCCAAATTGCAGTATATTTACACATAGGAATATCACGTAGCAATGAAAAAGAACAAACTATCACTATACACAAAGTGGGTGAACCGTATAGTCATAATGTAGAGCAAAAGGAGCCAGATGTAAAAGAGTATACACAGTATGATTCCATTTATGTGAAAGATGAGAACAGGCAAAACAAATCTATGGTGATAAAGGTCAGGATAGAATTTACTTTTGCAGGATGGGGAATTGATTGGGAGAGGACACAAGGGCACCTTCTGTGGTGCTGAGTTATAAATATTATTGACTTTCTGAAAAGTGATTTGGAAATGCAGTCAAGTAAAAGCAGACTGCCATACTGTAGATTCACTCCCTCTGACTCTGGTTTTATATTACAAAAGGATTTCACTTGGGCCATAGGAGCATGAAGAGAGTACAAGGGCAAGCTACAAACTGGCAAACGATTCTTGCAATAGACGTATCTGATGAATGGCGTGCATCCAGTTAAAAAATGTGCAAAAGATTCAAACTTTATAAAAGAAGATAACCAAATGGCTAATAAGTGTAGGGAAAGTTGCTCAATATCTTTATTCGTCAGGGAAATGCAGATTAAAACCACAATCCCACAAAATAATACACGCCCACGAAATGACTGAAATACCAAAGGTGGGCAAGCATTGAGCAATGGAACTCTCCCACACTGCTGATGGGAATGAAAAATGGCATAGTCATAGTGGAAACCAGCTGTATCTACGAACGCTAAGCATGTGCCTATAAGGCAAGAGCCCTTCGTGACTGGTCCAGGAGCCCAGTTAAATAAGAACAGGGAGAAGGACCAGAAATCTTGTCTAATGAAGTCTGCCAGGCTTAGGAAACTCTATTTTAAATGTTTGGGGTTTTTTTCCTTAGATTTCTAGCAAAGTTCTTTTTTTTTTTTTTTTTTTTTTTTTTTTTGCAAAATCCCAGCATTATCTTGGTTTAATTAAAGGAGAAGGGGAATTGTCTGCTTCGTTCAGAATAGTAAGGGAAATGAGAAGTCCAGTCTGCTGGTGGACATGGCTGGGTCAGCAAGAATACCTGGGAACACTGTGGAGCCCTGGAGTGAGTTGGCAAGTCAGGATAGTTCAAGGTTTCTCTTGTGGGGCCCCAGGGGAAAACACTGAGAAAGCTACTCACCTCCTTCTACCACTGTCCAGGAAATGGTCTATCCCTTCTTAGAGCTCTAGCTGCCCATGGGTGGCACAAACAACATGTGTGCCTTGCACAGAGGTGTTTCTGCAGCCCTCACTTCTGTACTGGTAAGCCAGTGCTGCAGGAACTGGCATGGGAGCCTGGCAACAGAATTGAGAATCCAGCTCGGGAGGGGAGGATGAAGGTGATGGGGACGAGGACTTGGGGTAAGGGGAGCAAAGTGGCCGAAGAATTAAGATGACCAGAGCCAACAGAAGGCCCCCCTTCCAGCTCTCCTCTTGTGAGCCCATCCATCAGCATGGCCTTCTGGCCCCACATTGATGCTTCCCATGAAAATTGGTGCCGGGATGGACAAGCTCCAGGGTGACTCAACAAACAGCAAACAGCACAAGGATGGCTGGGGATTTGACATCTGTTCCATGTCCCATAATGAAAACTTATTTCTCCTAAACACTGAGGATGGCAGCTACAAATACCAACCTTTGTGGCTCACTGTCAACATATTTTTTCCTAGTTTGAGAATTTTCTCAGGAGATGCAACCGATGATGCACCCCAGACTCCCCAAGTCACATGTCAAAGTTCCAACTTATGGCAACTCAGTCCTTGAACAAAATGTGAAGTATAAGATACTAGCCCTCTTGTGATAGAAAGGGGTTTTTTTGTTCATTTGTGTTTTTTTTTAGGTTTCTATTAAACTTAGACCCCTTTCACATGTGTTGTTCTGTTCATGTGTTGTTTGGAAGACTGACTTTTCAACCTCATATTCATTGTTGTCATCATCCACCTACATGTATTAGGCACTTACTGTACGTAGAATGCTGTGTTTATCACAGAAGCGTTGTATATAAACTCATACAAGGTATCCATAGGATGACCAAGGTCTTGTTATTAAATCCCAAGATACCATTCATTCATTCATGCACTCAGAGAATCATTTTGTCAGCCTCTACCATGTGCCCAGCACCATGTGGCTGTTGGTGACACAACAGAAAGCAGCAGAACAGAAGAAGTCTCTGCCCCAACAGTGCTAATGGTCCAGTAAGGGAGGAAGATTTTAACTTTTTTTAAAAAATTTTATTTATTATTTTTTTGAGATGGAGTCTCGCTCTATTGCCCAGACTGGAGTGAGTGCAGTGGTGTAATCTCGGCTCACTGCAACCTCCACCTTCCAGGTTCAAGCAATTCTCATGCCTCAGCCTCCCAGGTAGCTGGGACTACAGGCGTACACCACCATGCCCAGCTACTTTTTGTATTTTTAGTAGAGACGGGGTTTTGCCATGTTGGACAGGCTGGTCTTGAACTCCTGACCTCAAGTGATCCACCCGCCTCGGCCTCCCGAAGTGCTGGGATTACAGGTGTGAGTCACCATGCCCAGCCAGTATTTTGACTTTTAGAAATCACTCCTGTCTGCACATTTCACATTCCCCAACCCTAAACTACCAAAAGAAGGTAGTTGTTAAGTTTAGAATCATCAGGGGTACACAGTGGGATAGAAACTCACTGCACTTTGAGAGGGTGAGATTTATACAGACTGGCAGGGAGAAATAACCAAACAGGCTGAGGAGGCTGTGACTGGTAGTTGCATCATACATTGTAGGGGGTTTGGGGCTATTTGAAGGAAGGCAGCTGTGGCATCCTGCAAACTAAGAGACGCGGCCGTGGAGGAAGAACGGCAGGGCTGTTCTCATTTGGTTGTGTGAGGTCTGTTGCCCACCATGTGGTTGAGACTCCCTAAAGCTGATTTCAGAGAGTAGGTGGAATCTGGGGTGAGGGGGTAGGAGGTGGGGTTCAGGGCAGGTGGAGACCCAGACTGAAGGGAAGGAGAATGTTGTTGTAGGCATCCCTCTGACTGGGTCTCCACAGACAAAGAAGAATGAAGGAAGAGAATTCAACAATATTACTACCCACTCATAGGAAGGGAGAGGATGATGTATTTGCAGCTGCTGTTCACTTTACAAACACCTTCACACATATGGTCGCACTTGTTTCTCTAAATAGCTTTTGAAGTAGGCAAGGCGGGCCATTTCACAGAGGAGAGAACCAAGGCATCTTTCTAATTGAGATTAAGGGATTTGCTCAATACCACACCACTTATTAAGTGGCAGAGGGGGCACTTGAACCTGCTTCCTCTGTTAGTCCTGTCTTCTTTCCATAGGCATGAATATTATTATTTAAATTTGCAGAGACCCCCATCCAGGAGCCCAGAACCTCCCAAGATGAAGGTTTGCTCCTGAACTTGGCAAATAACATTGACAATTCTGCCAGGAAGGAATCTTGCATTTGTCAGAACACTTCCCAGAAGGGCTGCCTCTGTGTGCTGAAGAGAAAACAGATGTCAGGGACTAGTTCTCAGCCTGCAACATTCAGTCCACTTTATTTTCTTCCACAGGCAGATTGAGACAGAGGGATTCCTCCCTGCCTGACAAGGCCAGTATTATGCACATGGAATATAAATAGCTGTCTCTACCATATGATTCTAGGACTGGTGTCAGTAAACTTTCTATAAAGGTCCAGATAGTAAATGTTTTAGGGTTTTTAGGCCACATGCAATTTCTGTTACAACTACTTAACTCCGCCATTGAGGCGTGAAAGCCACCATAGACAATGTATAAATGATGGGGATGGCTGTGTTCCAGTAAAACTTTATGGACACTGAAATGTGCATTTCATATAATTTTCACATGTCACAAAATGGTATTCTTCCATTGACTTTTTTTCAACTATTTAAAAATACAAACACCATTCTTAGCTTGTGGATTATACAAAACAGGTGTTGGGCAAGGTTTGGCCCATAGGTTTAGAAGACCAAAGAGCTCTCTCTGTCCCAAATATTGTCCCCATAGAGACCTGGATTTCCAACTTCCACCATCAGCTTCACCATCAGTACTCCATTCCTCTTTCTTTCTCTCTTTTTTCTTTCCTTCTCTTTCTTTTTTTTTTTTTTTTTTTTTTTTTTTTTTTTTTAGACAGGTCTTGCTCTGTTGCCCTCTGTTGCCCTCTGTTGCCCTGGCTGGAGTGCAGTGGCACAATCATAGCTCACCATAGCCTTGAACACCTTGGCTCAAGTGATTCTCCTGCCTCAGCCTCCTGAGTAGCTGGGACTACAGGCACACTCCACCACACCTGGCTGGTACTCATCCCTTTTGGGTTTCACTGTACTTTTTCAGACTCTTCTTTTTAAGAAGCAGGCATCCAGGGAGGAGGATGATTAGAAAGAAGCCTCAGTTCTCGGCTGGGCATAGTGGCTCATGCCTGTAATCCCAGCACTTTGGGAGGCCGAGGTGGTGGATCACAAGGTCAGGAGTTCGAGACCAGCCTGGTCAACATGGTGAAACCCCATCTCTACTAAGAAAAATACCAAAAACAATTAGCCAGGCATGGTGGCATGCGCTTGTAATCCCAGCTACTCGGGAGGCTGAGGGGGAGCATTGCTTGAACCCAGGAGGTAGAAGCTGCAGTGAGCTGAGATCGCGCCACTGCACTCCAGCCTGGGTGACAGAGCAAGACTTCATCTCAAAAAAAAATAAATAAATAAAACCAAAAAAGAAAGAAAGAAAGAAAGAAGCCTCAGTTCTCTCCTCCGTGAAATGCCGTGCCTACTTCAAAGGCTATTAAGAGAAACAAGTGCAATCATACGTGTGAAGGTGAAAAATGAACACTAGCTGCAAATACATCACCCTAACTTCATTTTAGAGCTTTATTAGACGTGTTAGAATGTAAGTGCCGTGAGGGCAGGGCCTTTGTCTGTTTGGTTCACTGTTAAGTTCACTATTAAGTGCCTAAGACAAGGAACTGAGTTGCATAAATACTCTGTATAAATATTAGTTGAGTGGATGAATGACTTTCCCTTCTAATTTGAAGGATTGGAGCCACCAGAAGAGATGGTTGGGGCAGTGAAGGCAAGGGGTGGTGGGTGAGTGGGCAGAGGTGACAAAGATAAAGCAATCACTTAACTGATGTTCCTGCAAGCCCTGGCCTGGGAGGTGCTGAAGTCTGCTGATGCTCTCGGAAATCAGTGGGCTTGGAAGAGGCAGGGCACAGGGTATGCCAGTGCCCATGAAGCCTGGGAAGGGAGTCAGGAAAGACCCAGCAGTTGCACATGGCACCCGGAGAAGCGGCACCAGGGCCTGATGGACTCACCCGATCCATTTCCGTGGAGTGGTGCAGTCTCTGCCAAGAAAAACTTTAGGACTTGACAAGATTTGGCAAGTCCCTGAAACATGAATTTGTGCAGTGTAAAGTTACAAGGGCCTTTTGGCAGATGGGGCAAATCCAAAAGACGGTGGAAAAATGTGCATGGGATGTCAAAACTCACTATTTCTGCAGGAAAGTGCCAAGGAAAGGGAAGGCTAAAAGAGGGCAGAGAATGAAGACACACCGTCCCCATCCCCCTAAACTGGCCACACATTTTTCTGGGTCAGACACATCATAAAATGCTATAGGACTGAATGAATGCAATGAATGTGGCATATGTTATTAAAAATAACCAGGGTTCCTCACTGCAACCACAGTGAAAAATACCAACCAGGATGCTTACTGAATGGAAAAGTTCTTGCAAATAAACTGTCCCAGTAAAGGACTCCAGCCTTGATTTCTCACCCTGAGTGTTCCTTATGTCCTTATGCAGAACAAGAATCACAACCAGCCATCCCCCAGCTGCCCACAAATCTGATCCTCATCTCTTCATTTATTTATTTATATTTGAGATAAAGTCTGCCCAGGCTAGGGTGCAGTGGCATGATATCAGCTTACTGCAACCTCCACCTCCTGGACTCAAGCGATCCTCCCACCTGGACTCAAGCGATCCTCCTGGACTCAAGCGATCCTCCCAACGTGTTGGGATTATAGGCATGAGCTACCACACCTGGCCGCTTATTGATGTTGAAATCTGACTGGGTAATTTCCCAAATTTATACAAGGATAGACCAGACCAGCCACTCTTTTTCTGGTAGATAAGTCAAGCGGGGGCCCAGCAAGACCTTCCAGATGTTGCTAGGGGGGTGAGGTTTCCACACACCTGGTCCAGGATCCCCTGCATGGGGAGGAACCACTAGGGCAAACTGAGCTCTCCATATGACCTAGAGTCTGGACCTGCAACAGAAGAGGTCAACATTTGGGGCCAACATAAAAATAACAAAACTTTAGGGAATGCCTGTGACGCATTGTGGAGACATACGCTTCAGGTCTCTTCCTTGATATACCCACAGCAGCATGGCAGAGAAGCTAAGAGTCCATTAGACTCAGGATCATATCCTGGACCTTGATCTTACTAGCTGTTTGACTTGGGGACATTACATTGCCTCACCGTGGCTTGACTTCATCAGCTGTAGGGTGGGAGTAATATTTACCTCATTGACTTATGAGAGTTGATTGAAATAAAATGTGTAATGCAACTAGTACAGTACCTGGCATATAGGAGGTATGTGACAAATAGTATTTGCTGTTATTTTTAACTGCAATTTAATAAAACAATTTCCTTTTGCTCTCAATTAGCAAGGCTTCAACTCCCCATTGCCCAGCCTCCAGGAAGAGAAAGAGGCCCTCCTATGCCTCCTGACATCGCATTCCCTACTCCCCAAACTCATCTGCTAAAGTTCTCTCATGGAGAGGATAGCAAGCAGGTGCCCAGTTGAGTATGGCTCAAAGTGGCCCTCCAGTCTCATGAAATTGTTTTGAAGTCTCAGCTTTAATTTAAATACGCTTGTCAACTTTGCATTTTACTCCATAAAATCTTTTGATATATTAAATCTTATCAGTTTGTTCTCCCAGAATTTTTGAGTAACTTCAAGATTCTGTGAAGACAAATGTTCCCCTTAAACACATATCCCTGTTGGAGAATCTCACACTAACATCACCTCTGCCAGTGGAAGGTCAGCAGGTTCGAGGAGGGAGGCTTCAAGTTAGACCAGCAAGGATGACTTCATGGAAATGGTGAGGCCTGGGCTGGCCTAGTAGGATATGGACTCATGGGAAGAAGGAATAAATGTCTTGAGCAGAGGTCTGGAGGTGGAGAACACAAATGGAACTCCCAAAGAACCATGAAGAAACACGGTTCTGGAAACCAAGAACGAGGATTCCTTCTCAGCTGAAAGTCACTAATCTTTGTGTCTCATTCCAGTAAAACCCAATCCCACAGGAGTCAGAGTTGCATTCCAAGGCCATCAGTCACCTTCAGCAGCCACACACTCCCATCTCTCTCCTTACTCACTCCGTACATGTTTTTCACCTGGACAGGAGCCCCTGCACAAGCGTGGCTGGTGCCAGGCATTGCTCTCCAGCCTCCCTCAGGACTTATGGTCATTAAGACATTTCTCATAATGAACACATAAGCCCCAACACACCCAGCCCTCCCCGCCCATCTCAGCAGCCAGCCTTCAAGTTTTGCCCTCTGCCATCCCAGGCCAGGCACTCTGTCACTGTGGGAATTGTCCTTGCTTTCCTCCCTCTCCCCTTCCTTCCTCTGTGAAGCTTCCTTCCTGGAAGTTTTAAGGAGAGGCCAGAGCCACAGAGCCACATGGGAGGCTGGATTCTGATGCTCCATAAATTGAAGCTGAGTTCTCCTACATAAGACTGCCTCAGCACGCTCAGCAAACTTGCTTCTCTTCACCAGACCACTTCCGTTTTGCTCTTCCCATTTTAGCTGTCTTCCTCCAGGATCCAGTGGAGCCATACAGGAAGCACAGCAAGGGGCAGTCAGTTGGAGGACCTAACAGTGCCTTCTGCCCCTGGCACATTCACCAGAGAAGAAGACTACTCTGGGACTCACCAGTATGGGATGGTGCTATGGCAACAGTCTCCTTGGAGCTCACTGGATCCTTAGAATTATTTTGTGATGCTTGTTCTGCATCTTGAAATGACAACCTGTGCCTCTGGGACTCAGCTGCAAGGAAGACAAGTGGAAGGCAAGTGGACATGTTTTTCTGTGTATCCCAAAACAGGTAGCAGTGTCCTTGCAGGTGAGAGCCCTCTTTCCACTTGCTCCCTACAGTGCTGAGAACATTATAGGTCTTAATAATACTTGATGAAAGATATAGTGGTTTCCAGCCAACATGTTTAGATATCTATCCCTCTTCTCCACATACACCGACATGGAGTATCGATTCTTTAATTTGGAAAGACAGAAGTTGCAATAGGGCAACATATAATGGTATTACAGGCTAGGCAATCAGATGAAACATGGAGAACCAACTTAGGTGGTCCAGATATTACAGCGTAACTCTCCATCTGTAAAATGGAGATGAAACTACCTAAATAATAGGCATGTGGTGAAACAATTTAGCAAAAGTGAACATTTAGCAAAGGGTTTAGAACATCATAGATTCCTAGTAGTAGTCATTTACTTCTTTCTCTCTTTGGTTGGTCATCAAATTCGAGTTGGTAAAAGTAAAATGGCTCCGTTGGAAGCTAGGAGAGAAAGATATATCCACTTAAGACAGTAGGAGGTCAATTTATGAAATTAACTCTTCCTAGATGTGGCCCTGATGGAAAAATATGAAGAGCTCACAGGAGTATTTGGCTATACCGTGATAGCTGTTTCTCTGAATGTTCAGTCCATGCTCTGCCTTCTGGGGTTGTGGAGATGGCTCCTCACAGTCCCATCCCCAAGCCACACCTGAGTGTCTCAGCAGTCATGAATTCTAGGCTGGACAGACCCCGGGGCTGCTGACGCCACGGAGGCCTTTCTTGGGCTCTGGCCTTCTTTGCCCCACTCTGGCTGGCTAACAGCCAGCACCCAAGCCTTAAGTTAATAGGAGACAAAGAGTGGCTTCAAAAGTCTCCTTAGGGCTTTGGGGAGGAACTTGGAGATGCTTGAAAGGGGTACAGGAAGAACAGATCCCATGCATCACTGCTTCTCGTCAGTAAGGTGGGTCATGGTGGATGGCACCCATGGTACAGTCCTTTCTCCACTCTGGCAGAGGCTAAGATGCTGCCTCTTGATCAGAGAATAAGCACTTAAGGCAATCATAACCAATGCCAGCATTCTCCATCCGCGTGGAGTGTGCAGAACTGACCACGGCTGACAGCATTTAATTTCCCAAACTAAACTGGGTAGAATTTGTTTAATATCTGTTTAGCTTCAACAACCCCATTGAACATCAAGAACAAGTCAAAAGACCAGTGAGGTTTCGACTAAACTGGATTTGTTTGTTTTTGTTTTGTTTCACTGCTGTAAGGAGAGGGCAAACACTACAGAATTCTGTAGAATGAAACCACTTGCTTAGTGAAATTGCCTTAATTTAAACAGCGATTTCTTTCCAGAAAGTTAGTAAATCAGCAGAATGTGGCCCAGAGGCAGGCAGATAGGAGGAATAGGTAAAAAGTTTAAGTCATCTGCTTGGATCACACAGCACAGGAAAGCCAAAGGAAAGAAGAAAAACAACTTCTTCTACAACAGGAATTTGTTCTCATTCCTGGTTCACAATTCTTTCTGGGAGAGGTGTATATGTATATATACGTATGTATATATATTATATAATATGTATATACACATATATATTATATATTTATTTTAATTTTAATTTTTATTTTATTTTATTTTATTTTTGAGATGGAGTCTCGCTTTGTCACCCAGGCTGGAGTGCAGTGGCGCAATCTTGGCTCACTGCAAGCTCCGCCTCCCAGGTTCACACCATTCTCCTGCCTCAGCTTCCTGAGTAGCTGGGACTACAGGCACCTGCCACCACACCTAGCTAATTTTTTGTATTTTTAGTAGAGATGGGGTTTCACCGTATTAGTCAGGATGGTCTCGATCTCCTGAGCTCGTGATCTGCCTGCCTCAGCCTCCCAAAGTGCTGGGATTACAGGTGTGAGCCACCGTGCCTGGCCGGTATATATTTTTTATGTAAAACTTTTTCACATTTGGTCTCCAAATTTAACCCAAGACAAGGCTGTACCGGTCTTGGAGGTGAAGGTCACCCATATCAACAAAAAGGCTTCCTGCTGTAAAATTCTCTCCGATCATCCGCTAAGGTCCTGTGTCTCTGGCTGTCCACTGTGGCTGCAGTGCTGGCCATAGCTGGAGGATTCCCGCCACTGGGTTCTTTGCTTCTGCTTCTGCTTCCAGACTGCCCAGAAAGGCTGGAGCAAATGTCATGACTGTGCAGACGAGGATGTTGCAGAGCCGGGCTTCCATCTTCAGCTTCTCAATGCCCTATTATTCATTCCTGCCTGACTTTCTGTTCCGTGTCCTCCCTGCCTCAAATTTCCAAGCCACTTCTCTCTTCCCATCACCTTCATCCCCAGCCCTCACTCTCAGCATAGGATCTCATTGTTTCCTTCCCCGGCAGGCTGCCTGCACCCTCGCTCCCCCTTGTCTTTACCTTAACTGTTCTCTGGTCTATCGCACCTTCTTCCTGCTGCTTTGCAAGCCCACCTGCTCCACCCCTTCCTGCCCCTCCCATGATCCTGCTCCATCAGAGTCCCCTCTTGGGTGCCTTTCAATCTCTCCCTCCTTATTATTTATCCTTGAATATTGCTCAAGGGCCCATCACCCAAAAAAAACTTTCCATGCAGTCATCATGGTGAAACTTCTTTAAAGCCAGGTGCAAAATCTTTCTGCCTCTACTTCCCACACCCTGCTCAACTTCTTTATTGCCCAACCCAACTGCCTCACCATCTCCCCTTCTTGGGTCTCCTTGAAGCATCAGAAATACCTTCCAGCCTTTCTTCTTGGAACTTCCCTCCCTTTTCCTCATGGCCCGTCTCCTACTAACCCTGCCGTTCCATGTTGTCTGTTGCACTGGCTCCCCTAGATGTGGGCATTCCTCAGAGTTCTGCCTTCCTCCTGTTTTGTTCCATCTATCTGTTTACTCTTCCCTGGGTACTCCTTCATGACAGTCACCACCAACAACTCCAACTCCATGTATCCAATTGTAACTAGTGTTTTCTTTTCTCTTTCCCCAAATCCATTTCTCTCTCAGAGTTGCCAGTCTCTGTCCTGCCCATGGTCACCTTCTCAGGCACCCCGAAGAGAGCACTTCCCTTCCTCCCACCACACCTGACTGGCTGCCCCTGACCTCTGCAGGGTCCCCAGCATCTATCCCCTCCCTCCAGGAACACTGCCTCTGCCTTGCCAGTCCTCCTCCTCTCTGACCTGGGCTACTGAAGTAGCCTCTGGTCCTCCTGCCTCTAATATCATCCCTTCTCAGCTTGTCCTTTTTATGGCTTACAGGGTCAATTATGAATATATAGGTTGGGTTGCATCACCACTCACTCCATCCACAAGTCTCCAACACCTTTAAGGGTTATCTGCGGTTTGCAAAACAAAGCATCTCAAAACTCCTAATTCCACTTTCCACTCCCACCAACACACTCACACAAACACATACACACCCCACACACACCCCACAGGTGCTTAACTTTCTCCTCCATTCATTTGGGACCACTCATCATTCCCCAGATACAATTTTTACTTTTATTCCTCAGTGTTTTGCTGGTTCCTTGCCTCGGAACATTATCCTCCCCTTTTGAAATCCTACGTGGCTTGTAAGGCTCACCTCTTCCATGAAGCTTTCTCCTGTTCCCCCTGGCACAGCACACTTCTTCCTCCTGTGAAGTCAGGTAGAATTTTGCTTGTCTCTCCATCACAGGACTTATTTCATCCTTGTCTTTGTTACGCCTGTATCCTGAAAGAGCCCAGCAACATGGATCTTACTATTATTTGATAGTGGCAACTTATTATTTGCTGACTGACTGAATGAATGAATGTGAGAAGTGAAATTATTTGCTGAATGAATGAATGAATGTGAGAAGCGAGATTATTATTTTGCTGAATGAATGAATGAAGTACTCCACTGTTTCATGGGTGTAGTAACTATGACAACTTTCGTGGTATGCTGAGTGGTAGATCATAGCGCTTTCACATATTAATAGCTCAGTTTTATCAGGAGCACAGTCAAGACCCTGCCAAGGCCCACAGAGCAGCCCCCCGGCTTCCCTTCCCCACTGCTGTCCATGCTTCCTCCTGGGGCATAGACCTCTCTGCCCCTTTACTCTGGATAAGATTAAGTCTCGACTTTCATTAATCTGCAGCCGTTTAAAAGAGGAACTTTGCACCCTTCACAGGGCTGCTGTGAAGTTGTCTGTTACCCCTAACACTTGTTCCCCTACTTCTTCGCCCTCTGCCCTGGCCAAGATTTCCCCTCCTATCGTTCAGATACTAGCTGAAATGGTTTGGATCTGTGTCCCCACCAAATCTCATGTTGAATTGTAGTCCCTAGTGTTGGAGGTGGTGCCTGGCGGGAGGTGATGGATCATGGGGGTGGCTTCCTCACGATGGTTTAGCACCGTCCTCTTGATGCTGTTCTCAAGATAGTGAGTGAGTTCTCACAAGAGCTGGCTGTTTAAAAGTGTGCAGCACTTCCCCACTCACTCTCTCTTGCTCCTGCTTTCACCATGTAGAAGCCTCACTCCCCCTTCACCTTTTGCCATGATTGGAAGCTTCCTGAGGCCTCCCCAGAGGCAGAAGCTGCTCTGCTTCCTGTACAGCCTGTGGAACCATGAGTCAATTAAACCTCTTTTCTCTGTAAATTACCCAGTCTCAGGTTTTTCTTTATAGCAGTGCAAGAACAGCTAACCCAAGTTCTTTTTCTTTCTCCCTTTCATGATGGGCTTTGCCTTGCCCTTCACGTACACCTAAGTGGAGACCTCAGTCCCTATGTCTGCTTCCCAAGGACTTCTGCATCCAAGCTTCTTTTTGAATGATAAAATGAAAGGCGTCGTCCCCTAGGAAAGGCAACTCAGGACTTAGGAAATGGGCAGGGGAGTTCTGAGGGGCTGAGATCCTTCCTCCTGCTCCTTGAATGCCATAAGCAACTGTCTCTCTCCTCTATCTTGCCCTGCAATAAATTCAGGGTGGCCAGGACCACACAGAAGCCCTTCCCCCAAATACCATCCTAAAAGCAGCAAGAGGGAGCCATGCGGAGGGGAGGACAGCCTGTGATTCTGGCCTGTCCCAAGGGTGAGTCAGCACTCATGTGGTCAGCCCTCTGGCTCTTCTCCCCCAGCCTAGGGAGAAAATGCTGAGTCGCACACCTTGTGGGCAGCCACGGAACCAGGGGCTCCCCTGTTGCTCTCCATCTCCCCATGCCCCAGTCAGCTCCAGACCTCATACCCGCTTCTTGGCCTTTGATGAAGGGGCCTCGCAGGCTCCAGACAGCCGCCACCCTGGGAAGCCATCCCTCTAGCGGTCAGATGAAACGGAGGCTTCCAGGGAAGGGGCAGAGAAAGAGCCAAGAGTCTTGTGTCCCTCATCTGTACCTGTGCAGGCCTGAGCAGGAGACACAGGGCCCCCCTCCTGGGCTGCAGGCAGAAGTGGAGCGGCCAAGACCACAACCCATCCATCCAGGTTTCCATTCATGAACCTTCTACAGGCTCAAGGCTGGAAGGCCGCCTCCTTTGCTGTGGCTTGAAGTGGTTTGCGCAGACCGAGTCCAGATATGTAATAGCTGTTCGCTATTTTCTATGAGAAGATTTATTCAAAAATAAATTTAGCTAAGGGGGGAGGAAAGTTAAAAAAAAAAAAAAAAAAAAGGGAAAACAGAAGGACAGATTTTCTTACTGACTCACTGCCAGGGATTGAAACATGGAGGCAGGCCTTCCTTTTGGAGAAGAGAGACAGCTGCAACATTTCACGGTGTAAAGTCAGCGAATTTCCACAGGCCTGCCAGCCAGGGACCACAAAATGGTTTCAAACAACGGCTCGCTTCATGCTATTTGTGTGTGTGCGCGCGCATGTGTGCGTGAGTGTGTGTGTTTAGAAAAAGGCAAGGGTGGGGGGTGGGCAAAGGGGAAGCTAAAAAGTGTCCTTGCCCGGCCAGAGTGGGCAGGGGCGGAGTGAGCAGATTAATGAAAACGTTTCGCTGGCATGAGGGGTTTGATTGCCCCACTGCAAAATTGCTTGCAGATTCAAAAACAGCATGTTTCATTTCAAACTCATTCTCTTGCCATACATTAGCACTTGTCAATGTAACCATTAAGCACAGGCAGTGCAGAAATTTAATTACAAAACCATTTATTTTATTGAAAGAAAAATAAACCCAAGCTACCTCAAATGCATTAGGTAGGTTCAAAACATGTTCAGCTGATAACACCCAAGGGTAGGGAGGCTGCTGCAGGAATAAATGCGTCTTTCATGTGCGGTGGGGACTCGATATTAGAAACAGCTGCCTCTAGGTCCTCTTTATTTAAGTTCAATTAGGAATTAAAAAACAACCGAATTAATGAAGGGACTTTTTATATCTGCAGTCACTCGGCTGTATTCATTCTTCTCTTCCCAATTCGCCTCCCCTTTTAAGTATTTGGATTAAAAATGCTAATTACTCAAAGTGAACTTTTTATGGAATGGATCCCCCTCTCCACCCATTCTCCATCCCATCTCAGGCTTGTCTTTTGTTCTCCTAATGGGAGATTATGCAAGGCCTATCGTATTAAAGGAAATCACAAAAATGTGCTAAACACATCAAAAAGTCTCCAGTCTGTATCTTATTTATGCCTTCTTCCCTCTCCCCCACTTACGTCTTCCACACAGTTGGAAAGCCAGCAGCGTTAGGCTCTCTGGTGAAATACTAGATTTGGGTCGAGCCGCCGGCTGATGTCATGCTGGAGACCGCCTCTCCTGAGCACTAATGGGCTGCCAATAACAAGTCTGTTTTACTGTTCTTCTGGAAAGGAAAAAAAAAAAAGTTATAACCTTCGTGGTTTGGACTGATTTGTCAATTTAAAGTGCACTTTTTTTTTTTCTGTCTGAGGTATCTACCCACAATTTCTTACAGACATCTCCTCATGCAGTCCACTCGCAGGAGGAATCTGGAAAGGGAAGATTGGTTATTTTTTCTAATTTTCCTAGCAATAATACAAACCTCTAAAATTTCAGAGAGGCGTCTGTATTAGTTCGTTCTTATGCTGCTGATAAAGACTACCCAAGGCTGGGCAATTTAAGAGGTTTAATGAACTTACAGTTCCATGTGGCTGGGGCAGGTCTCACAATCATGGCAGAAGGTGAAAGAAAGTCATGCCTCACATGGTGGCAGACAAGAGAAGAGAGCTTGTGTAGGGAAACTTCCTTTTTAAAACCATCAGATCTTGTGAGACTTATTCACTATCACGAGAACAGCACAGGAAAGACCCGCCCCCATGATTCATTTATCTCCCATTGGGTCCCTCCCACAACACATGGGAATTATGGGAGCGACAAGATGGGATTTGAGAGGGGACACAGAGCCAAACCATATCAGCATCATTGGATCATTTGCCTGGTGGGAGGTGGGGAGTGGGAGGCAGATAGGCATGGAGGGGGCTCTTCTCCTGCAAGTTCATTTGTAGGTCTTGTAACTACACTGATGTGCAGTAGCAGACCTTTGTGACATTTATTCAGTGATGGTTCTGCCTCTGTCACTACTGTCCAGTGTGAGACCTAGGGAGGGCTTCCTGGCCTGTTTCAGAAGGGCCTCCAGAGCTCTGTTGCCCCTTGCAAGACCACGGCCAATGCTTTCTGGAGCTACCCACATTGTCATCTAAACTGCTCTGAGACCCACCAGGCACAAAGCCAGGCAGCTTGGAAATTGGCTGGACGGGCACAGCTGCCTCTGACCCAGCTGCCTTGATCTGCCCTTGACACGTACTCTTCATGCCAAAGACCCAGGGAACCCGAGGCAGGGAGAACACATTCAGAAAGAGAAATTCACCATTCCAGGGAGTAACCCTTTACCAATAGATTGTAGATAAGCACTTGCTTGGAGAAGAGAAAGGAAGGCAGAAGGAAGCAGGAGGGAGGAGTGGGTCATATTTTAATATTCTAAGAGACTTGGCATCTAACTTGAGCCCTGCAAACCAAGGAGGCACCAGGGTAGAGTGGGCCTCCGTGGTGTTACCATAAGTGCATCCAGCAGAGAAAATAGCAAAATACTGCAAACATTCCCTGAGGGGTTCAAAAAAGTGATACCCTACCCTGACCCAGCCCTGGAGAGATGCTCTTCTAAAACCATGTATATGAAAGAGCAAAGGGTCTGGGGGCGGGGGATGGGAGGGAGGTGGTAGGGTGGGGGTGTGTGGGAAGAGAGGGCTGGATTGTTTAATGCACTGTTACTGAAGGAATTTCCACTTGGGTACGTATGTGCTGTAGACTTTCTGAACATCACATCTCACTCAATAAAAGTGCACGCCAACACCACGTGCTCTGTTTATATCTCTCCCTATCCAGTGCACTGGATGGATGGATGAAGGCACTCTCCCAGGCTTCCAACTCTTGGTAAGTGTGCATTTTCTAATTACATTTCTCAGCCTGGGCTTCAGACAGGAGAGCTCAAAAAAATGTATTCCAGTTTTACAAATAACAATGGTTTTTTAAAGAAAGCAACTCAATGATTCAAGAATGACTTCCTTTCTCTTATTCTTGTCTTCAAGAGTAAGAAGTAAACTCCCAGGAAACAGAATTGGTTTCCTCTCCTAGGAGTTGGGTTGTAGATGGAGCATGCAAGTTCTTCAAAATGATCCCATGGCTTAGAAGCAAGAAGAGGGGAAGGGAGAATGAGCTTGCATCCAAGGGGCCTTCTAGAGAGTGTGGAATCCTGAATTGTGCATAACAGAGTGTGCCTGGGAAACAGGAGAGCTGGATGTCATACCCAAAGCATCATTTTCACAGGCAAAGCTACTCCTTCTCCCTAAGGAGCTACAAAACCCATAGCAAGATCATGTGGCAACTAGGGCCACCTGCTTCGAATAGGGTTTTCTCTCCCTGTTTTGATCCTTTACCCCCACTCATTTCCCTGCTCTGTGACACACAGAGTAGATAACACCACCTTAGCATTGAGTTTTAACCATTTATTCACATGTATTGTTGAGTACTATATTCTGGGCATTATACTAGGCATTGGGGATTTAATGAAGAACAAGACAGACAAAGTTCTTGCCATTGTCATTTAAATCCCAGTAAGGGAGGTAGACATGAATCAGGTAAACAAATAAATGAAAGGGCCACAAACTGTTAATGCTTTGAATGGAATAAATTGAGCATTAGAGTGGGCTTTAATGGGAAGGTTTGTCTGAGGAGGAGAGTTATGCTAGATCTAAAGGCAGAGAAGGAGCCAGCCCCATGGAGAGCTGGGAGGAAAGTGCCAACAGTGACAGATGAAACAGGCAACACAAAGCTCTAACGCCCATGAGAGTGTGGCCTGACTGGGATCAGCCAGAAAGCTGTTGTGACTAAGCGTGATGAGTGAGGTTGGGCAGTAGCGTGGACACAGAACATTCTACATGTAGTGAGAAGCCACTGAATGGATTTTTAACAATGGATGAGCATATTCTGATTTTTGTCTTAAGAAGGTGATTTTCTGCAAATATGGAAATGAACTGGAAGTGGGCAAAGGTAATAACAGGGAGACCCTTCGGAGGGTATTGCAGCTGAAGTGAGAGATGGTGGCCAGAATTGGAATGGTGGTGAGTGTTCTGCCTCGTTTTGTTTCATGTAGGTTGATTTGTTTTTTTAGGCAGTTTGAGAGTTCTTTGAGAGCAAAGAGCTTATTTTATTCTTCACAGGATAAAGGAGGAGCCCCACTCCTCACCACCAGTATGTTCATATGATGCAACAAGAACATACTCCTTCTCTGCTTGGTCTTCAGTGCAGGGCAGCCTGACACACGCTATTCTTCTGACCTCCTATGCCATCACTGCCCTTTTGGGGGGACATGATGCTCATGTCCCCCAAATACTTCCCTTTTTCCCCTCTTCCCAAACTATGACAGGACTTTCCCAGAGCCCTTCTACTTAGAATGTTCTTCTTTCTTTTTGGCAAAGCCTGGCTTTTCTTGCTATCTAAATTTTCTAATAAAATACCAACTCTCTGAAGGCTTTTCCTGATTCCTGGGGTAGTGGCAGCAATGTGCACCTCTGTGCTCCCATGGTGCTTTGTTCACGTCTGGAGTTTTGCACCTGCTCACACCATGTTGTACACTCTCTGCTTGAGTGTCTGTCTCCTAACCAGATCCCTAGCTCCTAGTTACAAACTCACTGCCAAATCTCAGCCTTTCCTTTAAAGAGAAGTCAAGGTGAGGATAGATTTTGAATCATGTTATATTTGAAATCATGGTATTACATGGTTAATAATAATAAATCTTATCATTATAAACTTCCATTGTATTTTACACTTCTATTAAACTCTTAAATAGTTTTAAAAGTTTAACTTCTATTAAACTCTTAGTTTTAAAAGTTTAACTTCTATTAAACTCTTAACTTGAAACTTTTAACTTCTATTAAACTCTTAAATCTTATCATGATAAACTCCTATTGTTTTTTAACACCTAAGCTGTGGCCTCAAATTTAAACAGAAAACAGGCCTGGTAGAATGTAAATCCACGCTCCTAATGAATGGCTGAGTGTGTGAGCTAGAAGATTGATCAATAGAAATTATCTAATCTAAAGACAAGAGGAAAAAAAAGGTTGAAAAAATGAACAAGCTTCAGGGACATGTGGGACAATATCCAAATGTTCCATATGCAGTTAATTACAGTCCCAGATGCAGACAACAAAGATAATGGGGCAGAAAATATATCTGAGAACATACTGGCTGAAAAACTTTGGAATTTGTTGAAAGACATAAATTATAGATCCAAAAGCACGGGGAACTCCAAACAGGATAATTTTGAATAAAATCCTATCTAGGCACATCATAATTAAATTCCTAAAAACCAAAGATAAGGAGAAAATCTTGCAAGTACCCAGAGAAAAATGACCGATCACTTACAGGGCCATGACTCAAATGACTATGGACTATCAGTGGTGGTGAGGGAGTGGAATATGGACTTACACTGTTTCAAGGTTTCTACATTTTATGTGAAGAAATGCAATATTAACTAAATATACTGTGAAAATAGAAGGATGTTTGTGTGATAATCAGATCAGCCATTTAAAAATGAATCCAATGTGATGTATCTAAAAATCTAACAAATAAAAAAGTTAAAACAAAATTATAAAATGTATTCAATTGAAAAAGGTAGGAAGGGAGAACAGAGGAACTAAAAACAAAGTGGACAACTAAAAAGAAATACAGTCTTAATACAATCATATTAATAACTACGTTAAATGGTAGTGGACAAAATATTCCAATTAAAAGGCAGAGATTACCAGAATAGACTGTTCTTTAAAAAGCAAGATCCAACTATATGCTGACTAGAGGAGATGAGCTTTAAAAACAAAGAGTCAATTAATAAGGAAGACATAATCATAAATGTATATGTGCCTAAGAATAGATCCTCAAGATACATAAAGCAAAACTTGACAGAATAAAAGAAGAAATAGAACATTTTACAATTATTGTGGGATATTTGAATACTCTCCCTGCAATTGGTAGGCTGCAGGACAAAAATTCAGTAAAGTCATAGAGAATCTGAGCAGCCATATCAACACCCTAGCCTAACTGATGTTTACAGAACACAATACCCAGCAACTGGAGAATAAACATTTTTTCCAGCTGTACATACTCACCAACAAGGACCATATCCCAGGCTATAAGACAAATCCTAAAATAAATTATAGGATTGAAATAATAGTAGGATAGATCCTCTGATCACAATGTAATTAAATTAGGAATCAATTAAAATAAGTTATCCAGAACAAATCCAAATAATCAATTAAAACAAGTTATCTAGGACAAATCCAAATAAATATATTGCACTTCTAAATAATCCATAGATGAAAGAAGAAACCACAGAGAAATGATAAAATATTTAAAACTTAATGATAGGGAAACTACAACATAAACTAAAACAGTGATTAGAGGGAGTTTTATGGCTTTGAATTCTTACATTAGAAAAGAAGAAAGGTTTAAATTCAGTGATTTAAAATTCCTCCTCAAATCCAAAGTAAACCAAAGTAAGTAAAACAAAGAAAATAATAAAGAGCAGAAGTCAGTGTAATAAGAAACAGATAAGTAATTTAAAAAACGAGTAAACCCTAAAGTTAGTTCTTTGTAAAGAATACGAAAACTGGTAAATTTTGTCAGACTTTGTAAGAAAAATGGAGAACAAAAATTACTAATATCAGGAATGAAAGAGGACTTATCACCACAGAAATCACAGACATTAAAATGTTAAAAAGAGAATATAAGAACAGTATAAGGAACTTTATACCAATAATTTCTGCAAAATAGTTGAAATGGACAAATTTATATAAATATAAATCATCAAAATTTACACAAGATGAAATAGAGAATCTGAATTATAGGCCCGGGTAATTTCACTGGTAAATTTTATGAAACATTTAAAGAAGAGATAACTTCAAACTTACACAAACTCTTAAAAATTAGAGGAGGACAGGGTACACGTCCCAATTTGGTTTATGGTACCAGCAAAACTCTAATACCAAAGCACGACAAAGACATTGCAAAAGGGAACACTGCAGGCCAACATCCCTCATGAACATAGATGCTAAAATTTATAACAAAATATCAGCAGATTAAATCCAACAATATATAAAAAGGAATAAAACATCATGACCAAGGGAGATTTATCCTGGGAATACAAGGTTGGTTTAATATTCAAAAAATTAATCAATATAATATACCACATTAAGAGAATAAAGTAGAAAAGCCATACAATCATTTCAATGGATGCAGAAAAAGTATTTGACCACATTTAATATATGTTCATAATAAAAACTCTCAGCAATCTAGCACAGAAAAGAACTTCTTCAACCTGATAAAGGGCATCTTTAATGATGAAATATGGAACAGTTTCCCAGCAAGTTTGGAAACAAGGCAAGGATGCCCACTCTTATGACTTCTATGCAACATTGTACCATCAGTCCTAGCCATTACACTAAGGCAAGAAAAAGAAATAAAGCTTTTAAAGATCAGAAAGATAGAAGTAAAATTGTGTCTATTTGCAGGTGATAATTTTTTGTATAAACAGTTCTAAAGAATCTACACAACTACAATTAGAACTAACAAATGAATTTAGCAAGGTCACATGTTACACGGTGAATATATAAAAATTGATTTTATATTTTATTAATTTGCAGCAAAAAATTAGAAAAAGAAATTGAAAACCATTAATTTACAAGAATGACAAAAATATTTAGGAATAAATTTAACAAAAGATGTGCAAGACCTATACACTAAAAAATGACAAAATATTGCTGAAATAAATCGAAGAAGACATAAATATATGGAGAAATATACTGTGTTCATGGATTACAAGACTCCATGTTGTCAAGATGTCAGTTCTCCCCAAATTTGTCTATAGATTCAATGCGAAATTTTAGTAGGCTCTCTTTGTACCAATTAAAAGTCCATTATAAAATGTATATGAAAGTACAAATGACCTAGGATTACCAATATATTTTTTATAAGGAAAGACAAAGTTGATAGTCTTCTTGACCGAAGAACAGATGTGTAGATCAGTAGAACAGAATAGAGGGTCCTAAAATAGATCCATAAATATACTATTGATGGGCTTTCCACAAAGGTGCAGGGACAATTCAATGAAGAAAGAATGTTCTTTTCAATAAATGGTACTGGAACAATTACATGTTCATATACTCAAAAAAAGAAAGAAAGAAAGATGAAAGGAAGGAAAAAGGCAAAAAGAGAGACGGAACCTCTCTCTACCCTCCTTACCTTGTAGCATATTCAAAACTAAAAATAGATCATAGACCTAAATATAAATCTTAGACTATACAATATCTAGAAGGAAATATAGGATAAATTGTTTGTGACCTTGTGTTATGGTTTTAATGTGTATTCTCTTCAAAACTCAGATTGAAATTTTATTGCCAATGTAATGGTATTGGGATGTGGGCCTTTAAGAGGTGATTGGGCCATGAGGGCTCCACCCTCATAGATGGGTTTAATGTCTCTGGAAAAGGGCCTTTGTGGGTAGGTTCTCTCCCTTTGCTTTTCCACTCTTCTGCCATGTGAGGAAAAATGTTCCTTTCTCTGGAGGATGCAGTGTTCAAGGCACCATCTTGGAAGTGGAAACCAGGCCTTCACCAGACACCAAACCTGTTGTTGCCTTGATCTTGGACTTAAGAACTATAAGAAGTAAATTTCTCTTCTTTATAAATTACTAAATCTCATGTATTCTGTTATAGCAACACAAATTGGACTAAGACATCTTGGGCCATATTTCTTGGGTACAAAACCAAAAACATAATTTACAAAAGAGAATAAGATAAATTGGACTTTATCCAAGTTAAGCAGGGAGCAAAGTATTACTTTATTAATAGCTTAAAAACAGGCTTGCCCAGATCCCATAGCCAGCAAATGGCAGAGTCTAGAAATGAACTCAGGGCAGTCTGACTCCAGCATCTACAGTTTTATGCACAGTATTCTCATACAACTCTACTTGTAAGTTACAGTGTAGGGAGCATAGACTTCAACAGCACAGCTGTGCCTCTGAGCTAATTAGCCAAGAACTGCCTGCTGCTCCCCACCCTAATCCTCCGCTTGGACCTGAGGGATGCCTGAGCGCTTAAGCGTTAGCAACACTGAATGAGCTTTCAACAAACCCAGTGATGCTTCATCACCAAAGAAAAATGTTATGACAGAAGTTAGGACCAGGCTGTCTTCCCTGAAGATTTGCTAGCTCAATCTTGATAACTCGTTCTTGCTGAAAACAAGGGTTGTCCATGTGACTGGTATCACTCCAGGGGCTATGCTACAGTGAATGCAGTTAGGCAAGAGCTTACACCTCAGTGAGAGCTTGCACAGGGAGGGATGAGCAGGGTGTAGGGCTGAAATCCACAGTGTGGGCCCTTTCCTGCCATTCCTGCCTCTGCTTTTTTCCTTCCTACAGTGCTTCCCTTGGGACTAGGCACATAGTGGGTTTCAATAAAGACTCATTGCAGGCCCTGAGGCCAGTATATGGAGCTGCCTGGAATCCATGCAGTGGCATTGCTCCAGAGAGGGATCTTCTGTTGGGTGAGTTCATATACCCCTAAGACCAAAGAGCTGCAGCACAACAACATTTTGAGAGCCCAGCCCCCATCAGACTGCATCCTGTCCTGGGGTCCAACAGCTCCTGTGTCTTCACATCCCTAGAGCCTCACTGACATCCTCCTTCATCCACCCAGAGGACTGCAGTGGCATGATTCCAGCTGGACCCAGCAATATGACAGGAGCACCAACACTCTAGCACACCCAGTGTCCTGCACGTTGCAGCACACTGGGGAGGCTACCCCAGGACAAAGGGAGCTGAATGTCATGCTCTCCAGCACATGACAGTCACCTGCCTGGGGGCACTGCCTCTGATAGCAACCCCAACCCCCAGCAGCAGGGCTGCAGCACACTTACACATACCCTGAGGACAGGCTCTCTCTACCCACTGCCACCATTGCTGCCACCATCCAGGCACTTTACCTGGGGATGGGGCATTTCCCCACCCTGCCCATCACAGCCTGCACCCATGCAGGCCTAGGGACAGGCCCATCCCACTTGGCACCACCCCTCTCAGTGCCCAAGCATGCTTCCTGGGGATCTGGGAATCACCTCGCCCCATCCACCACTGCAGGGATCTGTGCATTCCTCCTAGGGCCTGAGGATGGGCCCACCCAGCCTGCCACCACAGCTGGCACCAACTCACACATGCTACCTGGGGCCCTAGAGACTGGCCGACCCAGTCCATCACTGCCACTACTAACACCAGCACCTTCTACCTGGGAATGTCAGGATTGTTCCACCACTGTTATTGCCATCGCACGGTGCCCAGGGGACGGAGGACCTTCCCATCTGCCTGGCTCACCACTGCCACTAATGGCAACTGAATATGCTGTCTGAAAGCCCAAGAATCAGCCCACTTGGGCCCACTAACAGTGGTGTCCATGTATACCACCTGGGAGCTCAAGGACAGACACATTTGGCCCACTACTGTCACTACTGGGGCCTGAGAGCTGGCCTACCTGGCACCTCAGTCTCTGGCAAAGCCTCACCACGGCCTCTGCTAACAACCACAGCCGAAGCCACTGAGGAAATCACAGACATCACTGACACTGCTTACAGCCAAAGAAATCATACAGAGAATACACACCTGCATGCACCCAGAACCAAAGCTAATGTACTCTACCCAACCAACACCAGAGATACATCTATAAGAAAGAGTCTTCCCCATGAGAGCCAATTCAAAAAATTGGAAGAAATTATTATTACACCAGATGCACAGATATCAATGTAATGGCACAGGAAACAGAAACAGCAAGGAAATATGACACTTCCAAAGGAACACAATAATTCTCCAGCAACAGATTCCAGTGAAAAAGAAATATATAAAATGCCTAGAAAAGAATTCAAAATAATGATATTAGAGAAGCTCAGTGAGATACAAGAAACACAAATAGTACCAAGAAAGCAGAAAAACAACTCAAGATATGAATAAGAAATTCACCAAAGATATAGATATAAAAAAGAACCAAATAGAAATCCTAGAATTCAATGAATGAAATAAAAAATACGATCAAGAGCTTCAAAAATAGACTAGATCGAGTAGAAGAAAGAATTTCTGATCTTGAAGACAGGGCTTTTGAAATAATCCAATCAGACCCCTCCCCTGCCAAATAAAAAAGTCGGGGAAGAATAAAAGAGAATGAAGAAAGAGTATTGATATATGAAGCAACACTATAAAGTGACCAAATATTCATGTTTGGGGATTTTCTCAGGGAGAAGAGATGGACAAAGGCTCAGAAAACCTATTTAACAAAACAATACCTGAAAACTTTCTAAGTCTATCAAGAAATTTAGACATCCAGATACAGGAAGCTCATGGAATCCCAAATAGATACAACCCCAAAAGGTCTTCTCCAAAGCACATATAGTCAATTGTCAAAAGTCAAAGACAAAGGAAGAATTCTAAAAACAGCAAAAGAAGAGCATCTAGTCACATATAAGAGTGTATTGCTCAGTAAAAGCCTAGGAGAGAATGGGATGATATATTCAAAGTGCTGAAGGAAAACCATTAGTAGCTAAGAATACTATACTCAGCAAAGTTTCCCTTCAAAAATAAAGGAGAAATAACATATTTTCCAGATAAGCAAAACTGAGGGAAATCATAGACCAGCCCTACAAGAAATATTCAAGGGAGCCCATCACCTGGAAGCAGAAGAACAATACCTACCGTCATGAAAGCACACAGAAGTATAAAACTCACTGGTAGAGCAAACATACAAATGAGGAAGAGAAAGAATTCAAATGTTACCACTACAAAAAATACACCAAACCATATTGATAAACAATGAGGGAAAGGAACAATGTTTATACAAAACAGCCAGAAAACAACAAAATGACAGAAATCAGTCCTCAAATGTCAACCATAACCTTGAATGTAAAAGCATAAAACATTCTACCAAAAAGATACAGACTGGCCGAATGGATTAAAATTTTAAAAGGCATGACCCAACTATATGCTACAAGGAACTCACTTCACCTGTAAAGACACATATAGTCTGAAAGTGAAAGGAGAGAAAATGATATTTCATGCAAATAGAAACCAAAACCAGGCAGGTATAGCTATACCTACATCAGATAAAACAGACTTTAAGTCAAAAATAGTAAAAAGAAATAAAGAAGGTCATTTATATAATGATAAATAGATTAATTCAGCAAGAGGATTGAATAATCCTAAATATATATGCACCCAATACCAGAGCACCCAGATACAGAAAGCAAATCTTATCAGATCAAAAGGGGGAGATAGATTCTAATACAATAACAGTTGGGAACTTCAACACCCCACGCTCAGCATTAGACAGATGATCTCAACAGAAAATCAACCAAGAAACATTGGATTTAAACTGTACTTTAAACCAAATGGACCTAACAGACATCTACAGAACAATTTATTCAACAGTTGCAGAATACACATTCTTCTCATCAGCACATGGAACAGTCTCCAGGATAGACCATATGTTATGCCAGAAAATAAGTCTCAAAAATTCTCCTAAACATCAAAGTCATATCTAGTGTTTTTTCAGATGATAGTAGAACAAAACTAGAAATCAATAACAAAGTGGAACTTTGGAACCTGTACAAATACATGGAAATTAAACAACATGCTCCTGAACAACCAATGGGTCAAGGAAGAAATTATAAAGAAAATTTAAAAAATTCTTTAAATAAATGAAAATGGAAACATAACATATCAAAACCTGTGAGATACAGCAAGCAGTGCTAAGAAGGAGGTTTATAGCAATAAATACCTACATAAAAAAATAGAAAGATGTCAAATAAATAACCCAATGATGCATGTCAAAGAACTAGAAGAGCAAGAACAAACCAAACCCTAAATTTGTATGAAGAAAGAAATAATAAAGATTAGAGCAGAACTAAATGAAATAGAGACTAAAAAAAGGACCACCAAAACAAAAGTTGTTTTTTGAAAAGATGAACAAAATTAATAAACTGAACTATACTAACCAAGAAAAAAGAAGACTCAAAAAAATAAAATAAACCAGAAATGAATAAGGTGACATTACAACTGATACTGCAGAATACAAAAAAAAAAACCCTCAAAGACTATTATGAACAACTACAAGATAACAAACTGGAAAATCTAGAGCAAATGGAAAAATTCCTGGACACATGCAACTTACCAAGATGGAATCTGGAAGTAACAGAAAACCTGAATAAACCAATAGGAGTAATGAAAAAATCTCCCAACAAAGAAAAGTCCAGGACTGGATAGCTTCGTTGCTTTATTCTACCAAACTTATAAAGAGGAACTAACACCAATTCTCCTCAAACTATTCCAAAAAAATTGAAGAGGAATGAATTCTCCCTAATTCATTCTACAAGGCTAGCATTATCCTCATACCAAAACCAGACACAGACACAACAACAAAAAAAGAAAACTGCAGGCCAATATCCTGATGAACACAGATGCACAAGTTCTCAACAAAACACTTGCAAACCAAATCCAACAGCACATCAAAAAGATAATACATAATGATTAAGTGGAATTTATCCCAGGGATGCCAGGCTCATTCAACATTTACAAATCAATAAATGTGATACATCACATCCACAGAATTAAGGACAAAAACCACCATCTCAGTAGATGCAGAAAAATGATTTTCATAAAATTCAACATCCCTTCATGATAAAAACTAACAACAAATTAGGCATAGGAGGAACATACCTCAACATAATAAAGGCCATGTGTGACAAACACACAGCTAACATCATACTGAATGGGGAAAAGCCAAAAGCCTTTCCTCTAAGAACTAGAACAAGACAATGATGCCCACTTTCACCGCTCCTATTCGACATAACCATACACCAAATATGCTCATGCATTGATCTTGAACTTCCCAGCCTCCAGAACTGTAAGAAATAAATTTCTTCTGTTTATAAACTACCCAGTTTATGGTATTTTGTTATAGCAGCTAAAACAGACTAAAGACAATTCTCTTCAAACAAATCTGGGCACATGCATTTAAAGGTCATGCTGAGCTTTGCCTGGTGAAGGGAAAGAGTAGCTAAGTCTTCATTCTGTCTTCTTGACCAGTTTGGCTCTGGGCGAAACTTGCCAACCCCTCGGGAAAAAATGTGTTGCAACTATCTATCGGGAGTCCTTGAGCATCTCTCGCAGCCACACTTTGCTTCTCATGAGATAGATCAGAGTTTAATGCTTCCCCTTCACAGTCTCCGGGAAGAATCCAGTAAATATGTTTTCCATCGTGTGTGTGTGTGTGTGTGTGTGTGTGTGTGTGTGTGTGTGTATTAGATCAACATCCTGGGGAAAGGCCTTGGCTGACCCATCTTTTAATCAGTATAATTATATCTTATGCACCTACACTACATACTAGCCCAATGCTGACAAAACATGCTCTTTGCCTTCAGCAAGCTTTCCATCTTCATAAGGAAAGGAGTCTCACTGGTAAGCATCGAGAACGTTCAGCCAAGTCCTGGGTCATACTGTACATGGTCTGTCTCTTGTAGGAGCAGAGACAAGCCACTGTGGCCTGGAGGAGCTTGTGGAAGCCTTCACGGAAAGGGCTGGGAAGGTCTTGAGGGACAAGAACATAATGTGAAACCAGAAAGCATGAACTAAAGCCAGGGAGGAAAAATTGCTGTCTGGACAGATGCACACATGACCAAGCCCGCTGGTGGTTGGTAGCCAGTTCCTCTGGGTTTTTGGGGCCTCTCTAGCCACATGCTCCTCTTAGCAGGGCCAGGCCAAAATTTCCACAAACATTTCCATCCTGAATTCAGCCAGGTTGGGATATTTCATTCTACCAAAAAGAGGAGCCAGAAGCTTTGACCTGAATGCATAAAACTAAGGTAGAAAAACAATGTTTGAAATTTTTCTTCAGAAAAAGAAAGCCCCACCAATAATCCGGAAATTCTTCATAGGGCAGAAATTCAAACCAGCAGCTTAAACTCCTTGACAGAGGGGAAAAACTCTGTGAAGCGCCTTCCCGAACTTCGATCATGATCCTGTTGTTCCTGGGAGAAAGAGAGCCTGAGACATGGCCTTGCTGCCTTGGGTCTTTACGAATTTGGGTCTGCCTCCAGTATCTGATGCTACAGCCAAGCCCTGGCCCTTCTCTTCCAATGCACCCGCAGTAACACTGATCCCAGTGCATTCCTCCCATTCTTCTGCCTCACAGCAAGCTTCAGGTCAGAGCGGTTGTAAGATCAGATTTGTTTGTGGAATAAAATGCTTTAATAGTTCAGCAGAGGGTGGAGGGAAAGATGAAACCAAGATGGCTGAAGCACTTATACCCGATGGAATGCTGTTTGCAAGATCACGGAAGAATGGTTGGGCAGTAGGATAGAGGGAGGCCTAGGGCCCTTAGGGTCAGCCCTCAACTCTAGGCAGCTGCCCAAAACCTATAGTTGATAAGGTCCCCTTGGAAGGGCAACTGAGCAATAAGGAAGTCCCTAAGTTTACAGTAACTGCAGTGTCAGAGCCACAGTATAGGCGAGCTGCCTGTCGGGTGGCCAAGGATCCCAGACCCCTTCTGCTTGGAGCTCTGTCTGCTCCAGAGATCTTTGAGCACCTTGGCTGCCTGGGTGTTCAGATTAGCAGAAGGAGAGACAATGGCAGGGACAACATTGCAGTACCCTCCCATAGATTCCCATGGCTTATGGGACATATTACAAGCCCGTAATAATCAGGAAATCAAGGCCTTTAAATTTGGCCCTAATCCATCTGCCCAACCTAGGTGCACCCTTGCACATTCCCTGTGCTTCAGCGAAGCCAATGTTCTCAGTTCCTCCCTGTTCCTCCCTCTGAGCATAACCTTTCCTCATTTCTCCCCTTTCTTAATCCCACTGTCTTGGAGGTCCACGAAGCATTCTGACTTGATGGGTCCAGAGAAAGCTCTTCTTTCTTCAGGGCTGGATTACACTAACTGAAGATCACCCTAGAGTTTACACCAGCAAAGCATGAGCAACTACAAGTATTGTTTGGCAAGAATTTGTTCTCAGAAATTTTCCTTTAAAAGTACTGAAATAATCATAATGGGAAAGACATGAACTTTCTTGGACTTCTTTACTATAATTTTGTTGTTTATAGTATCACTTATTTTTAATGACGTGGAAGGGTGCCCTATAATTTTTTTCAGAGTTTCTAAGTCCCCTAGATCTGAACCCAGACTGTCTCTCTCTGACCACTTTGCCAAGTGGCAGCCTGTCTTGCACATAGGGGCGCTTAATCACACGTGCCTTGCATATGGTTATGTAACTGTTTCCGATCTCACTTCCCAATTAGATAAGAATCTCCTTCAAGGCCAGCAAGAAGTATTCTGCATAGTAAAGAGGTGTGCTGTGTGGATGGCTGCTAGTACAGTCCCTGGCACAGTCAAACCTCAACACATTAGATGTTTCTGTTATTATTATTTTACTTCTTTGTATCACCCCAGAGATTTTTATTTTCTTCAAAGATTGAACATGGCAACTGACAGGAGCTTAATGGATACTCGTTACATTTTATTGCAGTGATATTGTACCTACTAAATTAAATGGTGGACCAGAGAGCCAGTGTGGCATGATGAAAAGCAGAGTCTCCGGAGATGTGATACTTGGGTCCACATGCTGGCACCACCACTTGAGGCAGATGACCTGGCCTCGGGGGTCTCTGTTTCCTTGTCTGTAATGCCTACTTCATAGTTTTGTTATGAGAATGAAGTGGATTAATACTTCCGTGGTGCTTCACACTGTGCCTGGAACATAGTAAGCCTGACGTAGGTATCTTAAATAGAGATATCACCAAATAGAGTTGGGGAGAAGTTTACCTAGGGAAAAAGTTTTCAAAGTCGTACCAAGAAGACTGGTGCTATTTTACTGATTTGAGAGACCAGGTCCCCCTTTTTGGTAATACCATTTGCATATAAGCATCTAGTATGCTAATTCCATCGACTCTCATCTCTTTTTCAAAACAGACGCAGCAGGATCTCTGGCAGGATTTGACTAATGACTGACCTTAAAGTACATACCTTTAAGTAAAATACAAATATTTTTAATTCAAACCCTCCGCTCCTTTAGGGCTGTGGATGCTGTGATATAACACCCTGACCTCTCTTCAGGACTTTTGGGAGTCCTGCCACCTGTCAGCGCTCTCTGAAATCTGCCCTCAGCTGGAGAGAGCTCTTGGGGCAACCAAATCCAATGACTGGTTGACATGGAGAATGGAGGCCCATCTGCCTCACCCCAACTTGGGGCAGCTCTGCAGGTCATCCGGGCCCAGAGTTCCCCATGGGGTCAGCTAAGGCCTTTGATGAGACTGCAGGACATTCCAGCATCTCCTTTTGTCCAATCCTGTTTTTCTCCCTTCTCTTCCACAGATGTTGATCCTGGGTACACTCTCTAGTTAGTATCCTGCACACTCATCTCTATCTCAGAGTCCACTCCAGGGAGCTCTGCCTGCACCGCCAGTTGCAGCAACACCAGCAAATTCACTCGTTTTTACTAATTCTGATTTGACCTCTAATTTACAATTACCTGGATTGCATCCATAACTAAGATGACCATACAGACTGGTTTGCCTGGGACAATCCTCTTGTGACTTTCATTACCAAGAGATTTAATTATTATTAATAGCAATGCTTTTTACTTTTAAAATATCCACAGTTTGAACAATAAATTATATAGCCACCCTACCTATATAAACAGCCCTAATGTTCCCAGGCCTCACTGCCAGCATGAAAAAATAGTACATTGATGTAGTGTAAATTTCCTGAGCTTAGAGCTCCCACTAAATATAACTCCAGAACCTCAGCCCCCTTGCAAGAGCTCTCCACACTGACCCTACCCTGCTTTCTCCCCAGAACACCTGAGCGACCATCTGGAGCCCACACATCCTCAACAGATCACACTGCTGCTTGGCCACTGCTCTCCACCCTCTTCTGAGGCTGCTGCTTATACCACAGTGTTGATGGCCTCCTCTCTGCTCCCCAGAGCAGATGCTCCCACCAACACTGCTGCTCTTGGGCATCAGATAGGTTCTGCGAGCTTCACCATTGTCAGAAGGCCCAGATGGCTCCGGGAGGTCCCATGGATGCTCAGCCCAAACCAGGTTTTGAGTCTTTATTTCGGTTGTAGCTTGATATATCTATACACCCCACCTCCGTACAGTAAATGAAAAAATCATCCCTTTGCATAGACATTCTTCTCTCTGGATCCCACAGCAGAGTGGTGGGCTCTATATGGGTGCAGTTGGGCTCATTTTATCTACAAAGCTCTTTTCCACTGAGGGCCACACATAGGCCATCAAGGTGGCTGGATCAGGTTAGGGTTTAATAGCCTCCAAACTATACCTGGAATCCCTATTCCTGCCTAACCCTATGGTTCAAATTATTTTTTCCAGGAGTTTTCTCACACTCCATGCAAGTGAGTTGGCGCAGATAGACGTGCGGAAATTGGAATCTAACTCCACATAAACCAGTTATGTATACGGGAAGTCCTTATTTTGCATAGTAATGCAAGACCATAAAAATGACTGTGTAAGCTGAAACCCTGCAAAGCAATCTTAATCGAAGGGAATAATTACAGTTGTTCTGTGACCTTTAAACATTTTTGTCAAAACATTAAACATTCTCTTACTGTTGTTTATAAATGCATGGGGAAATGAAAAATTAACAAAACTAATATTTATTTATTACACTGTAATTTAAAACATTAGAAACATTGAGAATTAAGGTGTTTTATTTCTTTGTAAAGAACATATCAAAAGTAGTTTGCACAGTTCTTGCCTTTCTCCCCTTACTGTATAGCTTATGATACAGCTGGAGCAACTTTTCTATGCCTTGGTGAATTGTCGTACTTTGTTGTAAGTGTAGTCTAGTTCTAAGTCAGGTCCTAATGTTTTATCCTTTGCTCTTGCAATGTTACAAAATATCTATAAGAATTCCTTGAAGGTGAAGTTTTTTGCCAGTGCCACTTCCACTGGCACATCTTCATTTTCTTGGAATCTGGATGCAGATTTCCCAGCTGCATGCTTACATGTGCTAGCAGCTTCATCACTAGCTTGACATCAATCAATTCATGCTAAATTCTGGAATGAGGAAACAAGCCTTTACTGGCAGTAAAATATTCTTCTTCAGTATCCTTGTAATTACCATTTTCTTTCAATGTGGCAACTAAGATCAATGCTTTGGCCAGGATGCAAGCCAAACTACTTCGGATTTTGAAATATTACAGTCTTCAATCCAAAGTAGAAAACTCTCCAAGCATAAGCAGCTTTCTGGTCCTATTGCAATTTAAACTAAGAGATGAAGCAACGTTACCTTGCTTTTAATACACATTGGATTTTTCCAGTGCAGTTTGTTCCATAGCTCCATGCAGGCCATGGTGCATCCAGTCTTTGCTCTGCTCTTGCCAATTTCACATCTTCAATCTAATCACATCCAGTTTACTGCCGGCATTATCACTTTTTGTTTCTTTGTTGCATTTTTATTTTTGTTAGCTTACCCTCTATCCAGTGATCCATTTTTTGTAAAATTTTCATCACATGGATTTATCACTGGAAGACAAGGAGGCAACACAACTTCACATTTTGCTGTCTGGGCATGAACTGAGTAACAGATATGCAATGACTAATCAAGGACAGGCTTTGAAAGAAGTGATGTGATTGGTTCATCATGATGTGCATCTGTTGTTTATATCATGATTTGCGGACTGGCAAGCAGGCAGTGAAGTTTGTACTTTATGCAATTATAGTTAATATATACTGTGGTGACTGAAATTTGAACTAGTTTTTGGGAACGGGTATTATTTCGCTAAACTGAAACTTGTGCACATCAGTGCCATAAAAAGCAAGGACTGCTTATTAATGTGTACCAACCAAATACTTTTGGGCACATTCACAGCACAGCACTTCCTCCTCCTTGTGGTTGGACGGTTCCACGTGACCAGTCTAGCCAATGGATTGTGAGCAGAAGTTACATGTGTCAGTTCCGTGCCAAACCATTTGATGGACAGTCAGTCGTGTCCTAGCCCCTGAGGATATCGGAGGAGGTGGCTGCTCTGTTAGCCTAAGTCTCTGAGCAACAAAGGTGAGCAGAGGCCCCCTGCTGAGATATGATGGACATGTAGCATAAGCAAGAAGTAAACCTTTGTTTTAAGCCACTGAGATCTTGGGGTTATTTGTTTCTGTAGCATAGCAACTCGTTATGATTGATATAAAATATCATCAGGAGGTAATCTAGGAAAAGGAGGATAGGGAGCTGGGCAGAATTTAGAACTCAGAAATTGGCAGCTGATAGTAAAAGGGCTCCAAATTTGTAGGGGTAGGAGGAGAGGAAGAATCAGGGGCATGTACTTAAAAAATCTTTATATGATAAAAAAAAAATTAGCACAGACACAGAAAATAAATGTATAGCTTAATAAATTATTAAAAAATGAAGGTTATCCATTTATGGATTAATAGATTAATGGACTATCATGGGAGTGGGACTCGTGGTTTATAAGAAGAGGAAGAGAGACCTGAGCTAGCACTCAGCCCCCTTGCCATGCAATGCTCTGTACCAGTTTAGGACTCTGCAGAAAGTGCCTACCATCAAGAATGTCTCTCGCCAGACGTGGTAACTTGACCTTGAACTTCTCAGCCTCCATAACTGTAAGAAATAAATTCCTTTTCTTTGTAAATTACCCGGTTTCAGGTATTCTTTTATAAGCAATAGAAAATGAGACTGTTTCCTCACCCCTCCCTCTTTGCCCTCAAGAGGCGACCACTTACTTGCCTCTTATGGAAACACCCTCCTTCCTTTCCTCATGCCATTATCAGTCCACATGTGCATCCTTCAACATTGTGGTTTAGTTTTACTTTTTAAATATTTTAAAGTCTCTTTTAATGTACAGACTTCCCCTTTACCACACTCCTTTCCCCTTGTGAATGTATGTGTTACAAGAACTAGATCATTGGTAGAGTTTCCCACAGCATAGATTTTGCCACTTGTACCCCCACGGTGCCATTGATGTGTTCCTCTGGCCCCTGTATTTCCTGTAAATTGCTAGTTGGATCTATAGGCTTGATCCAATGTGGGTTTGATTATTTTTGGCAAGACAACGTCATAGGTGGTGGTGCCTTTGTTCTCCAGAAAGTGTAATCATCTTTAAAATAATTATTATTTTAATAATAACCATAGGTGTTCATTTATTTGGGGTTACAGAATGGCAAAATTCCAATTTGAAATGTCTCCTGTTCCACTCTGGTTACCAATGATGCAGTTCAAATGGGACCATCAGGGTAAATGCTTGATTTTTTTGTTTGTTTGTTTCTTCAGAATTCAAAGCTTTGTCACATACATGTACTAGTTGCTAAGATCTGAATGTGGCAAAACTGTTGTAAAGGTCAACCTGGCCTCGATTGGCCCAGCCTTCTCTCCCCAGGTCCTTTGACCTCCTGAGAGATCATTCCAGGCCCTGTGAATCTCAGTTTTTCTTCCCATCTCCCCACCCCGTCAGAGCCCACCTTCATGGAGGGAAGGTCCTCATGCTCACTCACCTTAGGAGGTAAATTGTGGGCATTGTCCACTCTAGGGAATGTGGATTTTAAGGCCTCTCTCTCAAATATTGTCTCACTTAGTCCCTGTGGAGTTCAAAACAGGTAGCTTCAAGCCCAAACTCACCTTGCAATGTTTTGTTTTGGCCATCACAGAGTGTTTTCACTTGTTGTTTGTTTTGCTTTTAAGTGGAGCAAGACTGCATTTAGGCAGGGGCATATTCTCTGCAGTTAGATCAGAGCCCACCGCCTCCCCTTGCATTGTACCCGCCCTGTGTTCTGAGTCCCTTTGTGTTGCAGAACCTTGTAGGTAGGTGTTATTAGCCCATTTTTCAGGTGAATGGACAAGAACTGGAGAATTGATGTGGGGGACCTAGGTGAGGCACAAATGGAAATGGAACAGCCACTGAGTGCTCTGGGAAGGAGACCACAAGCCAAAGGAGAGAGTCCACACTGGGAAGACCCAGCTACAGGGCCCTCTCCATCCAGCCTGGTGCAAACTAAAACCCACATTCTTTTTTCTTCCCTTTTACAGAGACAGCTCAAGGAAGCATGATAAAATGAGGCCTAAGATAATATTTGAGGGGAAAGTTTATTTTTTTATGGTCTGTTTGCATTACACCATCGGGTGAAGAGAGGAGGAGAAAGACTTGTCCCAAATGGCAGAGCTGGAGAAGCACAAATCCAATGTCAATAGTTGGAAATACAAGTGTGTGGTTTCATTAAACTTCTTTTTTTAAAAAAAACTTTGTTCTTCCTTTTCCTGAGGCAGTCCAAGGGAAGGGGACACAGAGGTGGAAACAGACAGGGAGAGAGGAGGGAGCAAGCCAGGGCCAGCGAAGGGGGCTTGTCTTAAGGAACCTGCTCCCGCTGTGAGTGTCCTCAGCCAGCCCAGGAGGCTGGCAGGCCTGATCAGAAGCAGCCAGCCAGAGCCTTCCGCTGATTCCAATGACGGCTGCTAAGCAGGGGCAGGCAAGTCAGAGTTTCAGCATTTGTCCAACAGCTTTTTTTGAAAGGATTTTTTTTTGTTTTTGAAAACCTGAGTGAAAATGAACAAATAATCAAATCCAGGTCACCCTGAGGAAAATGATTTGACTTCTGTGTTCTCCTGTGGCCCCATTTGGCCATAGCTGGCCCCTTCCCCTTCCCCCTACTACCACGCTGGCCCTTGGCTGCCCCAAGGCAGAGACCATGTCTGCAGAGCCAGGAGAGGTAGGTTAAGAATGCAGGCTCTAGTCAGACAGCCTGGGGGTTCAAGTTAAAATATTAGCTCTGGCACTTATTAAATAGGCCACCTTGGACATCTTCTTTGTGCCTCAGTTTCCCCATTTTAAAATGGAGATGTGATAATACCTCATGGTCTGCTGAAAGAATTCAATGGAAAAAGTGCTTACTACAGTGCCTAGCATGTAGTTTTCAGCAAGTATTTGCTGTTATTCTATTATTTTTAGAGCCTTTTCTGTCTCCCTTCCTTTGTCTTTCCATTACATGCCACTCCTTAGCAGTCCCACTGGATTTGTCCAAATAGATAAACTCACTCAAAGAAATAAAAATAGGTGTTATCTTGCAAGGTATTTTGCACACTGTCCACTCAGACCTTCTCTCTCAAGCAGTTTCTGCACAGCTCTGTGGATACCACATCCTTCCCTCATCAACATGCCCTAGTTCTTGTGGCACAATCTGCATGGATTGCCCTCTCTATTCATTTCCACCCACCCAAATCTAGTTCAAGGCCCACTTTGCAACAGAACGTTGGATCAATCTGGGAATGGCTTGATTCAGGGTCTTGCCTAAAGTCACTAGGATCTGGTTTCATCTCTTGGTTTTGCTTTCTCCATGTTGGCTCCACTCACAGACTCTACACACCTGGTGGCAAGAGGTTTGCAGGCAAAATGGGCTGCAGATTCAAGCCCAGTGAGAAAGATAACTTGCCTCTTTCCTAATAGCCCCAGCAGACATACCAGGTGTTCCTTGGCTATGATTGGGTCACAGACCCATCCCTGGACCAATCTTATGGCTCGGGGATAGGGAAGGAGTGTTGTGCTTCCACCTGCAGTTCATGGGCTGATGAGGAGGAAGGAGTGCTTCCTAGAAAGAAATCAGGATAGTTTCCAAAATAAGGGAGAAAGCGGAGCCCAATGGAAGCAAATGTTCACCATACACACAGCCTTTCCAATATCGATCTCCAACGATTCCAGCCTGTTCTCTTCTCTGGATTCCTGACCTGATACATCATGATGTCATTCATCTTGGCAATGTGTTTTCTACCCATTTGTTGAGAATAAGTCTCACTATATCCCCTACTTTGCGAACTGCTTTTATCTAAAGATTGTTCCTGTGTCCTTCACTTGGCAATGAAGCATGCCCTGCCTTCTTGAATGGCACTGTCATCTCTCTTACTGATATTGTATTTCCCATATATACATGTCTTACCTTTCTCACATATTGTAAATTCCTCCTGGGCAAGAAACAAGAATACTTCTTGCCTAGCACCTTGTATATAAGTGCTTGGTTATATTTTGTTGATTTACTGAGAATTTAATATTTCTTTTCTTATACCTTCCCTTGGTTAAATGCCTAGTAGGTACTAAATAACATTTTTGGAACCATAAAATCTAGAAGGAGCACTGAATTTGGACAGACTCTTATAATCTAATGCAGCTCCCTCTTTTATTGGGGTTAAAACAGCCTAGAGTAATGAAGTGAGTATATAAGCAAGTTAGAAAGACTAAAAACCAAGATCCTTTGGATCATAGTTATCACTTTGTATTTGTTGATTGACTGATTGTCAATTCAGTCCCTTTTCCACTGAACCTCTTTGTAAGATCAGGAACAAGGCAGGGATGCCTACTGCTGCCACTTCAATTCAACATAGTACTGGAAATCCTAGCCAGAGCATTAGGCAAGAAAAAGAAATAAAAAGCATCCAAATTGTAAAGAAGTAAAATTATCTTTGTTCACAGGTGTCATGGTCTTACATGTGGAAAACCCTAAAGATTCTGCACCAAAAAAACCTGTTAGGATTAATAAACAAATTCAGCAAAGTTGCAGGATATAAAATGAGTATACAAAAATTAGTTGCATTTTAATGCACTAACAACAAACAATCCAACAGTAAAATAAGAAAAAAATCTCATTTACAATTGCCTCAAAAAGAATAAAATACTTAGGGATAAGCTTAAAGATTTGTACAGTGAAAAGTATAAAATATTCCTGAAAGAAATTAAAGTGACACAAATAAATGCAAAGACATCTTTCATAGATTAAAAGAGTGGTCCCCAACCTTTTTGGCACAAGGGACCGGTTTTGTGGAGGACAGTTTTTCCAAGGACTGAGGTGGGGGTGTAGAGATGGTCTCAGGATGAAATGGTTCCACCTCAGATCATCAGGCATTAGATTCTTGTAAGGAGCATGCAACCTAGATCTCTCCCATGTACAGTTCACAATAGGGTTCACGCTGCTATAAGAATCTAATGCCACCGCTGATCTGACAAGAGGCGGAGCTCAGGCAGTAATATTTGCTCGCCTGCCGCTCACCTCCTACAGATCTCTAGATCTCACTCACTCTCTAGACCCACCCACCTCCTACAGATCTCTAGATCTGTGTGGCCAGGTTCCTAACAGACCAAGAACCAGTACTGGTCCACAGCCCAGGGATTGGGAACCCTTGAGTTAAAAGACTTAATATTGTTAACATGTGCATATAATCCAAAATGATCTACAGATTTAATATAATCCTTCTCAAAATCCAAATGCCATTTTTTGCAGATATAGCAAAAACAATCCTAAAATTTATGGAACTAAAAAGGACCCTGAATAGCTAAAACAATCTTGAGGAAGAAGAACAAACCTGGAAGCCTCACACTTCTTGACTTCAAAACATATTCCAAGCTACAGTAATTAAAACAGTATGGTAATGGCATAAGGTCAGACATGTATAGACCAATGGAACAGAAGAGAGAGCCTCAAAATATACCTATGCATAGACAGTCAAATGACCTTTACCTAAAGTACCAAGACTACACATTGGAGCAAGGATAGTCTTCTCAATAAATGGTGCTGGGAAAACTGGAAAACCACATGCAAAAGAATGAAATTGGACCTTTATCTTACACCATACACAAAAATTAACTCAAAATAGATTAAAGATCTAAACATAAGTTATGTGAAACTATAAAACTCCTAGAAGAAAACATAAGGGAAAACCTTCACGGCATTAGATTTGGCAATGATTTCTTGGCTATGACACCAAAAACAGACAACAAAAGCAAAAATAGACAAGTGGACCAACATCAAATGAAAAAGTTTCTGCACAGCAAAGGTAACAATCAATAGAGTGAAAAGGCAACCTATGGAATGAGAGAAAATATTTTCAAACCATATAACTGATAAGGGCTTAATAAGCAAAATATATTTTTTAAAAACTCCTACAACTCAATAACCACACAACAAAAGTAAAAATAACTTGATTAAAAAGCAGGCAAAGGACTTCAATAGAGTTTTCTCCAAAGAAGATATACAAATGGCCAATAAGTATATGAAAAGATGCCAACATCACTAATCACTGGGGAAATGCAAGTCAAAACCACAATGAGTATTGTACCTGTTAGGATGGCCATTGTCAAAAAAATAAATAAATAAATAACAAGTGCTGGTGAGAATATGGAGAAATTAGAACCCTTGTGCTCTGTTAGTGGGGATGTAAAATGGTGCAGTGGCTGTGGAAAATTGTATGAAGGTTCCTCAAAAAATTAACAACAGAATTATCACATGATGCAGCTGATATAGTTTGGCTCTGTGTCTTCACCCAAATCCCATGCTGAACTATGATCTTCCGTGTTGGAGGAGGGGTCTGGTGGGAGGTGAACGGATCGTGGGGTTGGTATCTAATGCTTTAGCAGCATTCCCCTCGTGCTGTCTTGTGGTAGACTTCTCATGAGACCTGGTTGTTTAAAGGTGTGTAGTGCTTCTCTCCCTTCACTCTCTTCCTCCTGTTGCCATGTGAAGATGTGCTTGCTCCTTCTTCGCCTTCTGCCATGATTGTAAGTTTGCTGAGGCTTCCCCAGCCATGCCTCCCGTACAGCCTGCAGAACTGCGAGTCCATTAAACCTCTTTTCTTTTCTTTCTTTCTTTTTTTTTTTTTGAGACAGAGTCTCGCTCTGTTGCCCAGGCTGGAATGCAGTGGCGTGATCTCGGCTCACTGTAACCTCCACCTCCAGGGTTCAAGCGATTCTCCTGCCTCAGCCTCCTGAGTAGCTGGGATTACAGGTGCACGCCACAATGCCCAGCAAATTTTTTGTATTTTTAGTAGAGACGGAGTTTCATCATGTTGGTCAGGCTGGTCTCAATCTCCTGACCTCGTGATCCGCCCACCTTGGCCTCCCAAAGTGCTGGGATTATAGGCATGAGCCACCATGCCTGGCCTAAACCTCTTTTCATTATTAACTACCCAGTCTCAGGTAGTTCTTTAGAGTAGTGTGACAATGAACTAATACAGCAGCAATCCTTGTTCTGGGTATTTATCCAAAAGAATTGAAATCATAATCTCAAAGAGATATTTGTACTCCCATGTTCATTGCAGCATTATTCACAGTAGCCAGAGATTCCTGCTCCCATGAGAACCTAATGCTGCTGCTGGTCTGACAGGAGGCAGAGCTCAAGCAGTAATGCTCGCTCACCTGCTGCTCACCTCCTACTGTGCAACCTGGTTCCTAACAGGCCACAGAGAGTACTGGTCTGCAGCCCAGGGACAACCGAAATGTCCATTAACAGATGAATGGATAAAGAAAATGTGGTCATACAAGCAGTGGAATAGTATTCTGTCTTAAAAAAGGAAGGAAATCCTGTCATATGCTACAACATGAATGAAGCTTGAGGACATTATGCTAAGTGAAATCAGCAAGTTGCAGAATGGCAAATACTTCATGATTCCACTTGTATGAGGAATCTGAAGTACTCAAACTCTTGGAAACAGAAAGTAGCTGTCAGGGGTTGGAGACGGGAAAAGCGGGGAGTCTCTGTTCAGTGGGTACAAAGTTTAAGTCATGCAGGATGAAAAAGTTCTAGAGATCTGTATTACTATATAACACTGTGCATTTGGTTAACAATAATGCACTTAAAAATTTAAGAAGGTAGATTTCATGTTATATATTTTTGTACCACAATAAACAAATAAGTTACTAATGGCCTAAAAAAAGTTGATTGAAGAAGGGACCTTACATCTACTGGTGTCATTTAGGGTCATCAGGCATGTGGAGTCAGGAATATTTTGGGTCAAGGAATTGATCCCAAGCTCCCCTAATCACACATGGACTAAAGAGTGGGCTTCATATTCTAACAGCTGAAATGATTTTGCATCTGGGTCCAAACATCACTAGAACTCCAGTCTGCCAGCCCGCAGCCTGTGGGCTGGGGGCCTAGAGTGCAGACCAGCTGAGCCCAGCACAGGAGGCAAGCACAGCCCTTAAACAAACAAAACAAACAAAGGAAACCCCTATCCAGACATTCATTCTTCAGGTAACAGAGATTAAGGCAGGGCAGGTTCTTAACAGGTGAATGAAATAAACCCACAAAATAAGAGGCATACCAAGAAGGTGTTAAACCAGTTTGGACACTTCATCCAGAGCCTTTGCCACTACCTGCGATGACAGCCCAGCAGGGCTCCTTTATCCACAGGTAGCTCCATGCCAGGCCAAACACTCCTCTTTGGGACCTGGCCAGGTGCTTGGTCCCACTCTAATCCACACTGAGCTCACAGAGAGCCCCAAGGTGAGACCTGCCTAAACGGGTTCCCGGGCCAGCCAGAGGGTCCTCAGGGACACTGCTCAGCCCTCACCCCAGGGAGATGGGGACCCAAACGTCTCTCCAGTTCTCCTCAGTCCTCTTTACAGTGAACCAGATGGAGGTAAAGACCAGATGGAGGGGAAACCAAGGAGCCAGAGCCAGGGCAGGGGCTGGCGATCAGTCAACACAGCCCCTCTCTCCCGGGAAATCTCCAACAGACACCTGCCACTCACCACCCCTGCCACTCACCACCCCTGCCTTCCACTGTGGGGCCTTTGGCTTGTGGGGGCCGGCAGGGACAAAAAAAATATATGGAACAGTTGACAGGATACTGTCAGGAGACCTCGGATCTGATCCTTGCTTTGCCATTTTCTAGCTGCATGACCCCAGGCAACCTCTGCAGGCCCAGCTGCCCTAACCTTAGCAGGGCGTCAGGTTCGACGAGATTCCCCCCCTGTTCCAAGTGAGTTGATGGTTGACTCTGATGCCATGCTATCACCTGTGCCAACTAAATATCCACAGATTACATCTCTAGGACATTCGGGTTCTTTGGCGCATGATGCAGGCCAAATCTCCACCCTGGCTTGTGCTATGGAGACACAGGGCAGTGCCTCCCAACAGTGAAGGGCACCGCTCTGGAGCCAAACTGCTATATTCTTATGCCAGTGCTGCCCCCTTTCCATGCCTCGGTCTCCCCATCTGAAAAATGGAGATAAACCCCATCTCATAGAGCTGTTATGAGGATTCAATGAGATGAGTTAGACAAAAACTCTCAACAGTGCTGGCACTTGGGAAGTGCACTGTAAGGGCGGGCTGTTAGTACCGTTAGTGTGGTGGCTCCTGACGACTTCACCTCCAGGAAAGTTGAGCCTCGCAGGGAAACTGGGGCTGGGAAAAGGTGGCCTTGGATGTTCTCCTTCACTCTGGCAGGAGAAAATTGGCCTTGTGGCCTGGAGATTGGACCTCCCTCCCACCCCCGGCTGCAGGGGGTGGTTGGGAACATGCTGTTGACACTGACCAGCCACACCCCATGTCTGCATGGTGCAGCCTGGCAGGCCGGATGTGGCCTCCTTTCCCAGAGGGCTCGAGCCAGATGCAGCTCGATTACCGTGGAGTGCATTTCAGGCATTGTCGCTATTATCAGCTTCTCACTTTCAGCTGCTGGATCAGGGGCAGGAGCCTTCCCTTCCTCCCTCTGCCCCATTGCTGGGTGTTTGTTTTCACTGCAGGTGCAGATGTGAACGTCTCCCGTCCTGGAGAAGAGCCTGCTCAGACCCACCCCAGACATTTCCCCACATCTTCTAAATTGGACTCCAACTCTCACCTCCCAGTTCCAATCCAGAATGAATTTGTCCTGAGTGAGAGCTGGGAGGTGAGGAAGGGGCTTGGTCACAACTGTCCAGTCCTTGCTACCAGCAGATTGAGGTCTCTGAAGAAAAGAGTCTTTGCTGTGGTGATGACTAACACACCAGGAAAGATAAAAGAGAGGGAGAGGAAAATGACAAAGAAGGACAAAACAAAGATTTCTGCTAAAGCTATAAACATTAGCTTTCCCAAATTTGCCATTGTCGTCCTACTCCTTTACTCATGCGGCACCCCCTGCCCTTTCCCCATCCTCCCCGAAGCACCCTCCCCTCCTCATGGCACCTCCCCTAATGGACTGTAAATTCTCTCCCTTCCACACCTAGGTTAGTAAAAATTACTTTTGTCAGATTAATTCCTTAGAGGATGTGGGGGTGGATGGGTGCATACAATTTTGGCTTTGAACAAACAAACAAACAAACAAACAATTCTTTCATCAAAGTGCTCCAAAGAGAAGTTCTTCCAGGAGAAGGGGACAGTTTGACAGATGGTCCCATATCTTCCCCAGGTTTCTGTCTCCATTGGCACTGCCCTGTTGTTCTCACTGCCACCAAGTCACCTTGTCTGCCTTGTTCTCTTGCCCAGGTGTGGGCTGTGCCCGCCAGCCCACTTTGTGGAGCTCAGACAGGCTGGAATTCTCCAAGAATAACCTCACAGGAAATCAACGAAATGAACAAAGAGAATACGAACAGCTGAACAACAGACGTGCTTACTGAATGCAGGTACCTAATCCTAAAACAACCAAAGTCTCGCCACCATGGCTGGCCAGGTCTGGGTTCCTCCCCGCCTACTCCTAGACCCCACCAGAAAAGACCCTCCCAAGTAAAGCTTTTTGATATCCCCCACCCCCTGCAGCCCCCAGCCCAGAAGTTGGTAAAAGAAAGGATAGGTGGTGTGCATAGCGCAACAAACAGCTGGCGTTGGGTCTGAGTCAAGGTCCAAGGGTGGGTGGGGAGCAGAACCCTGCTCCTGGGAATCCTCCCCCTGCCAAAACTTGGGAGTTTTACTAACCTGGGTACGGTAGCGGGGAAGCCACCCTCACCCCCCAACTTGGTGTGATTTTTGGAGAAGCGAACCCAGCGAGGGGATGGGGGTGGTGAAGCCAGGCTTGGAGCTGAAGCTGAGGTCTAAAGTTTGGGGGCAGGTGCCTGCCTCCAGTTCTGCCTCTGTCACTCTGGCCCCCTCTTCTCTGGGCCTCAGTTTCCCTGTTGGTAAAAGGAGGAAGTTTGAGTAGGTGATCTTTGAAGTCTTTTTCACCTCTAGCATTTTCCAGTTTTTCAATTCTGTCTCTTTGACCACCAGTTCCTACAAGTTAGAAAACTCCAGTCCACCCAGATAGGTCTCAGTAAAGATGTAAACTCCCAACACAAGAGTGACAGCTAACCTTCCTGCATGTTGACCAGGTGACAGAAACCACTATAGCTACTTTATCTGTGTTGGCTCATTTCCTCCTCACAGGAGCCCAAGCCTCGTATCCCCATTTCACAGATGAGAAACTGTAGCAGAAAGAGGTTAAGACATGTACCAACATCCCAGGTGGTAAGATAAAGGACGAGGCCTCAGGCAGTGTGCTCCAGAGGCTGTGCTCTGACCCCCCAACCCAGACTACACTTCTTCTTCATAGATGAGTGACTATAACGCCTCTAATAGACACAACAAGCCAAAGGTGCAAACAACCCAGATGTCCATCAACAGACAAATGGTTAAACAAAACTTTCAGTGGAATATTATTCAGCCTTAAAAAGGAATGAAGTTCTGATCCATGCTACAACATGGGTGAACCTTGAAAACATTATAACTTTATATGCTTTTAACATTATAAGCTTTAAAATATTATAAGGCTAAGTTAAACATGCCCAGCCACAAAGGACCAACACTGTATGATTCTACTTACATGAAATATCTAAAATGGACCAATTTATACAGACAGAGAATAGATTACAGGTTATCAGGTGCAGGGGAGAAGGAGGGATGGGGGAGTAATTGAAAGAGAGTTGCTGTTTGGGATGATGAAAAAGGTCTAGAAATGGATGGTGGTGATGGTTGTACAACAGTACGAATGTACTTAATGCCACTGAATTGTATACTCAAAAATGGTTGAAATGGTAAATGCTGTGCTACATTAAAAACAAATTTTGGCCGGGCACAGTGGCTCAAAAGTTGTAATCCCAACACTTTGGGAGGCCAAGGTGGGCGGATCACCTGAGGTCGGGAGTTGGAGACCAGCCTGACCAACATGGTGAAATCCCGTCTCTACTAAAAAAATACAAAATTAGCCTGGTGTGGTGGCACATGCCTGTAATCCCAGCTACTTGGGAGGCTGAGAGAGGAGAATAGCTTGAACCCGGGAGGCGGATGTTGCGGTGACCCAAGATTGAGCCATTGCCCTCCAACCTGGGCAACAAGAGCCAAACTCCATCTCAATAAATACATAAATATTAAAAATATCATAATAAAATAGATCTCACTTACTGAGCTGCTGTTAAGACCCTACTGTGCTCAGTGACTTACAGGCTCTGCCTCGTGTAACCTTTACAGCCACCCTGTGAAGGAAGCTCCCCTGTCATGCCACCCACTTCACAGGCAAGACGGCCAAGGCTCAGGGAACAGATTCCCTCAGGACCCATGGGTAGTGAGCGGCAGAGGGGACACATACACCCAGGTAATGCTGAGAGCAAACTCAGAGAGGAAGGTAGAGGACGATCTGAGAAGGCTACGAACAAGCTGAGACGAACCAGGGCGTGGGGCCCATACCCTACCTGTGCCTGCCAGGTGCCAAATTCCACATTTATCTTTTCTCACATTTCTCCCTGTATTCGTTTTGTGTTTTCTTCCCTGTTTTACATCCAAGCAACACCTTTCTGCCTCATTCCTCCACTGATATCACTGCCTCTGCCTTGTGTGCTCAAGACACCTCCCATTCGCCATCCCCCCAACCCCCCGCCGCCACAGCATGGCAGGACAGCCTGTTGGGTTTTGGGGGCGGGAGGGAGCATAGGCCTGTGAAGCCTCATTCTATGCTGAGGGGGAAAGAGGCCCAGATCTCCACTACAGGGGACGAGAAGCGAGCAGCTCCTCCCACACCCCCACTGAGGAGACTCCCAAGGCTAGGGGCAGCTGGCTGATGGTTGAGTGTCCCCAGGAGAACCTCAGGGAGACTGGCTGGGTGACTCCATGGGATGCCAGGCCCTGGTGCGTTACTAGTTTCGCCCAGTCTTGGCTGACCCCCTATGTGAGCAGTGTCAGGGCAGTGAGTTTCCTTTGCCCCTTAACTTTTTCTGTTTAGAAAAAAAAAGTGCAGCTCGCTGCAAGCCTCATTTAATTTTACATAAACATGCTCTTTGAGGCTGAAGCAAATAGACTGATTTTCAATGCGAAAATGAAATATAAAAACTGTTCTTGGAGTCATTTCTAAACACAACTAACCCTGGAATCATCTGTTTCAGAAAACTCAGATTCATCAAATGAATCTTTGGCCAAAAATTGTCCAAGAACGATATTAACATCACTCATAAGAATGCTACGTTTTCAAGGATTTGACATTTTCAGCAATCGAGAATTGCTATACATTGTGAATGGAAATACCACTACTAAAAACAGAATGCTACAAATAGAATGATGGCTTTTGTTGCCAAAGTCGACAACAATAATAACAGCGAGATATTCTGTGGCAAAGTTATCTTGGGGTAAACGTTGCAGCTGCAAGCGCTGCCGGCAAGTATTCTCAGGGCAAACAGGAAAAGGGTTAAATAACTGAGAAGTGCCTGTTCCCACCGAGGCACGTGACATTTTGCATGCAGGTCACCCAGAAAAGCCAAGCACATCTACACACAGACTGCCTCACTCATGTTCAGTTTGTAGCCCCCACCTAAGGCATTAGCCTGGCCCCGAAGGGCCTTAGAAACTCCTCACATGAAAAAGCTCAGGCAAAACTGTCAGATGACAAAGGCTGTGATTGTGGGGGCTGGAGGGGATTTTTGTATGTCTACGACTTGCTCTCCCCACCTGGCATCCCCCGAGACATTTCTGCGGCATTCTGTTCCCCCTGCACCCTGCAGCCTGTGACCCAGATGTCTGCGGATGAGCTGTGACTCCCCTCAGCTGGGATAAATGCCTAGTTTATCCCAAGAAGGGTGACCACTTCCAGATGATAGATTTCAAACGTAGGCTTCCATGCCCTCAGTAGAGTCACTATTGCCTAACAGAGAGGACTCTGGTGTCCAGCTTCTGGGGTCTGACTCCTGACTCTATCACTGAGCAGCCCATGGATCTTGAGCAAAGCTGTGGCTGAATTTTCCTCATTTATAAACTAGAGCTGATGATATTACCTACCTTGTATATTTAAGAGAATTAAATGGGATGAAGCATATAAAGTATTTAAACCAGTGCCTGGCACAAAGGTCCTATTTAATCTATATTGGCTATCATAATGGCAGACAGACATTGTTAGTCAGTCAGCCTCAGCCCCAGATTCCTTCTCAATATAAGTAGCAAAGTAAAGCATCCAGGCTAGAAGATGTCTAACTTTGCTTTCAGCTTGAGAATTTTCTGACTGGTAGTATCGTTCCCTTCTCCCTGAGCTGGGACTCCTCTATTCCACCCGTCTCCTATTATGCTAATGCAAGAACAACTACCCTGCATCCACCCCCAACACGCACTTTAGATCCAAAATTGGTCCCCGGTTTTCCCATGCATAATTTTAAACAACTTTATTAAGATAGAATTCGCATACTATAAAATTTATCCATTTAAACTGTAAAATTCAGTGCCTTTAGTATATTCAGAGATGTGCAGCAATCACCACAATCAACTTTAGAATATTCTCCTACCCACCCCCCAAAAACCTTATACCCCTTAGCCATCACCCATCAATCTCTCCATTTCCCCACTCCCACCCCACCCCCTGGAAAACATGAATCTACTTTTTGTCTACAGATTTGTCTCATCTGGGCATTTCATTTAAATGGAATTATATAATATGTGGTCCTTTGTGACTGGCTTATTCACTTGGCATTGTTTTCAAGGTCCATCCGTATTGTAGCATGTATCAGTACTTTGCTTCTTTTTATTGCTAACTTCAATTCCACCGTACAAATATAGCAATTTCATTTATCAGTTAATAGGTTGGTGGACATTTGGATTGTCTCCACTTTTTGACTATTATAAATAATGCTGCTATGGACATTAATGTAGAAGTTTTGTGTGGATGTATGTTTTCATTTCTCTTGGGTTGATGCCAAGGAGTGGAATTGTTGGGTCATGTGGTAGCTCTATGTTTAACCATTTGAGGAATTGGTAGAATGTTTTCCAAACCAGCTGTACCATTTTAAATTCCACTGGCAGCATATGAGGGCTTCATTTCTCTACATCTTTGCCGACACTTTTATTAGCTGGGTTTTTGATTATAGCTATTCTAGCAAGTATGAAATAGTATCTCATTTCCCTGATGGCTAATGATGTTGAACATCTTTTTATATGCTTATTGGTCATTTGTATATCCTCATCAGAGAAATGTCTATTCAAATCCTTTGCTTTTTTTTTTTTTCTTTTGAGACAGGGTCTTGCTCTGTCACCCAGGCTGGAGTGCAGTGGTGTGAACATGGCACACTGCAGCCTCAACCTCTGGGGCTCAAGTGATCCTCCTGCCTTAGCCTCCCAAGTAGCTTGAACCACAGGCACATGCCACCATGCCTGGCTAATTTTATTTTTTTTAACTTTTAGTAGAGATGAGGTCTCACCATGGTGCCCAGGCTGGTCTCAAATTCTTGAGTTCAAGTGATCCTCCTGCCTTGGCTTCCAAAGTGCTTGGATTACAGGTATGAGTCACCACACTGGGCCCTGTTCTCACTTTTTGATTGGGTTATTTGTGTTTTTATTATTGAGTTGTAAGAGTTCTTTGTATATTTTAGATACAAGTCCCTTATTAGGTAGATGATTTGCAAAAATTTTCTCCCATTCTGTGTGTTGTCTTTTTACTTTCTTGATTGTATCCTTTGAAGCATAAAACTTTTTAATTTTGATGGCATGCTGAATAACTTTTGTATTTGATATGAGAAGCAGAGGCAAAAATATCATGATTTGTAGATGACATGACTGTATATCCTGAAAACCCAAGAGAACCTATTGAAAAACTGTTGAAAACAAGAGAATTCGGTAATAAATCCGGTTATTAAATTAATATACAGTAAACAATAGCCTTTATAGAAATAAATATGTAACAGAAGATATAGTAGAAGAAAAGGCCCTATTTTCAATAGCAAAAATAGTATAAAATACATGAAAATAACTTAAAAATTTCAAGAAATATGTGAAGGAAACTTTAAAATACTCCTGGGGACGCAAAAGGAGCTTGAAAAGAATAAAAGGTATATTATATTGTTAGATATGGAGATTCCACATCATGAAAATTTCAATTTTCTATTCAGTTATTTTATAAATAATGTAAATCTAATATGATTGCAATAAAGACACCTATAGGACCTTTTTCATGGAACTAGAACAGCTGATTGTAAAGTTCATATTAAAAAATAAACAAACAAGTATAGCCATAAAAACCGGGGAAAAAAGGGTAGTGGGCAAGCTTTGGAGTGAAAATCAAGAAACCAGGGCTCTAGGCCCAGCTCCGCCCTAACAAATGGAAGGACGATTCATCATTTCTATTGGGACTGCAGTTTCCTCATCAGCAAAGTAAAATATCCATGTTAGACAATGTCAAACCTTGCCTTCAACTCTAGAATTTTCTGATTGATTCTGTTACAAGACTGCGAGTTCAAATACTCCAGACTTGGCCAGTGCCACGTCCACTCTAAATAAGTCAGGACAGCTTAGCTTGGCAAGGCAACTAAGAGAATGCTTGGCCGTGTAGATGAGCTTCTGGGACACCAGGGAGGCCCTTTGCCAATAAGCAGGCTTAGCCTTATTCCCATTCTGTTTCTGGCATTGCTCTATGGGGTTTAGATGGTTGATTTGACCTGGCCTCTCTCTCCATTTCCTGCCCACTGAAGAAGTAAGCAATGTATTTGGGTCTTGATGCAGTTCCTCTGAGATCCTTTCTTAGAAGCCAATATGAATAAGAGAGGGGAGAAGAACAGGGGAGCACAGAGACTCCACCAAGGGAGGGTGAGCCACCCAGGGGAAAAGAGAAAATGGAGGCACAGAAAACCAACACTGCAGATCTCTTAGTCCCAGAGAGACTGATATAGTTTGGCTGTGTCCCCACCCAAATCTCATCTTGAATTGTAGCTCCCATCATTCCCACATGTGGTGGGAGGGACCCCGTGGGAGATAACTGAATCACGGAGGCAGCTTCCCACAGACTGTTCTCATGGTAGTGAATAAGTCTCACAAGATCTGATGGTTTTATAGGGGGAAACCCCTTTTGCTTGGCTCTCATTCTCTCTTGTCTGCCGCCATGTAAGATGTGCCTTTCACCTTCTGCTGTGATCGTCAGGCCTCCCTAGCCACGTGAAACTGTGAGTCCATTAAACTTCTTTTTCTTTATAAATTACCCAGTTTAGGGTATGTCTTTATCAGCAGCATGAAAATGTACTAATACAGAGTCCATTCCAAGAGGATTACCCCCATTTAGCCTGATATTGGAAACATACACTTAAGCAGAGAACCCAGATAAAGGTCAAAACCTAAACTTAAAGTGAAATTAAATAAATTAATACCTTTATATAAAAAAGAACACATGCATCATCAACTAAGTATTTGTTGCTTTGAACACAGTAGAATAATTTGCACAAGAAGAAAAGGAAAACTATCTTCTCTACCCAGACAGGAAGGACTTTTTAGGGAAAGGAAGCTGTAAAAGAATTCCTTGAAGGAACAAGAAGATAATACTTGACAAAGCTTGCTAGGATTTGCTTTCTCCAAAATCCAGAGAAGACATAGGAGAGAGCGATGAGAGTGTGACAAGAGAGCAAATAAAAAGTTGAAGCTTCACTTGAAGATAGGGAGGAGCCGAGGAACTGGGGAAGAAATACTAGCCACCATGGCCAAGCACAGTGAAAGGTTCTGTAAGTGTACTGACATAAAGTAGGTTAGACAACTCTTTTTTTCCTCTGGGAGTGGGACAATTCCCTAATACCAGGGCCCTGCAGGGAGTTTTGGAGGTGACATTCTGGGGACTGGCATAATTCCCTATGATATCATTGCAGGACATCTAGGGAGCTGGGGGTCTGATCACCTCCCAGCATTCTTTACCTAACCTCGGAAATGTTCATGCTATTATACTGCTAGTGGCCGAGCAATGACTTGAATTTAGGTCAACTCAAGTAATTGCTAAACTTCTACCATGAGTCCAGGTTCATGCTAAGGACTCCCGTAAACAGAAAAGAAGCCAGAGTATGGTCCTTGCTGTTTAAGGAGTTTACAGCTGGAAAAAATTATAATTCCATATTGGAAAAATGATGATTTGTAAAATTCACCCAAGTCTAGCATTCAATGTAAAAATGGGTAGAATAGTGAGTGAAGCAGGAGTTCAAAGGGTCAGAGGACTGAGTGGCCAGGGCAGACTTTACAGAGAAGGTGGAACTTGACCCTGCTCCACGTCTCTGACAGGAAGGCCTGTCTTCCTTCCCGTCTGCCCCCAGGCATGCAAGGACCAAGCCAGGGTCAAGGAGTGGAAGAGCAGCTTATCCTCCAGAAGCCTAGAGGTGAGGCTCTAAGTGGGAACTTTCTCCTGGCCTATCTTTTTCAGTGCTGTTTGTTTGGCAAGGGAACAGATTTTCCTGTTACAACAGCCAAAAAACAGAAAATAAATCAAGGAAAGAGTGGCAAGGACCAGCCTGGAAATGAAGTTAAAATATCTAGGCTTGCTGAAGACAACCACAAAATGGTTTTCTCCTCAAAGTGGCTGCACAGCTTAGAGGGACGGCAGATCAGACTGCTCTAATGGATCTAGGGACATATTCTTCTCCCTGACAACTCCACCCACACCTCTTCCCACCCTATTTCCTCCAAAAGCCTTTTGCAGATGGTGCCTCTTAGTTCCCAGAACCAGTCTGGAGCAGTGATTAAAGGACCAAAATTCCAGGAACCATTTTTTTTTCTTGTTGTACAGTTTGGCAAATGCTTCAGCTATGCTAAGACACAGTGAACCATTTAAGAGTGACAATCAAGATGCTGGAGGGAAATTAAGGATTCCACTGAGCATGGGGCCAGTCTTCAAAAAAGTGGTTGTTAGTGAAAAGAAAGGATTCTGTGAACACTCTTTCTGGGCACCCTTCATCCCCATAGGCACTCAGGCCACACTTTTGCCTCCTTGGATCCCTCCTTCCTTTCCCTATTCCTATGGATAAGAATCATTTCCATTACTACCAGGTCTCTACATATTCCAGATTTATAATATAACCATGAAAAAATATATAATGAAAGTCTCAGAACCTTATAGGATCAGATAACCACAAATAGTTCTCTATACCAGGGGTTCCCAACCCCTGGGCTGCAGACCAGTACCAGTCCGTGGCCTGCTGGGAATCAGGCCACACAGCAGGAGGTGAGCAGCTGGCCAGGGAGCCTTACCACCTGAGCTCCGCCTCCTGTTAGATCAGCAGCAGGATTAGATTCTCATAGGAGCACAAACCCTATTGTGAACTGTGCAAGCGAGTGATCTAGGTTGCACACTCGTTAGGATAATCTAATGCCCAGTGATCTGAGGTGGAACAATTTCATCCCAAAACCACTCCTCCTTCACCTTCTGTGGAAAAATTGTCTTCCACAAACTGGTCCCTGGTACGTAAAAGTTGGGGACTGCTGCTCTATACAACATCCAACATTCCACTGAAAAGCCACCAGGTCATCTTTTGCCCATCTCAGTCTTTCACAATGTTTCCTGACATTGGAGAAGCTCTCTCAGAATGCAGAGCTAAAGAACAAACATATCAAAACAATTAGAGAGAATATAAAGGTAAAAGACAGAAAATAGAAATCATACCTGTGAATTCTACGTGATTTGAAGAAGAAATGAGGACAATAAAGTACTGACCTAAAAAGGTTTGTAAATTGAAGAGACTCCTTCATCCAGACTGAATTAGTCACCCAGGGCTGCTGTAACAAACTGAGTGGGTTAAAACAACCGAAATTTATTCTCTCATGGTTCTGGAGGCTGGAAGCCCCAAAGCAACATGTCAGCAGGGCCATGCTTTCTCCAAAGGCTCTAGGGAGGAATACTTCCTTGCCTCTTCCAGCTTCTGGAAGCTTCCTTGCCTCTTCCAGCTTCTTGGCTTGTGGCAGAATCACTCCAATCTCTGCCTCTGTCCTCACTTGGCCTCCCCTGTGTGTCTCTTGATGCATTCTCTCTTTAGAAGGACACAGTCATTGGATTTAGGGACCATCATGAAACCAGTATGATTTCTTCTTGAGATCTTCTAACTACTTCCATCTGCAAATAACTTATTTTCAAATAAGGTCATATTCTGAGGTTCTGGTGGACACGAATTTTGAGGGACATTACTCAACCTGCTATACAGAACAAATCAATTAAGACACCGATAGGTAGACATATCTTGGCAAGATTCTGGAAATAGAGGGATATTTCCTGTCCTGGCCCCATTGTTAGCTCTAGTCTTTTTCATGTTTTCATCTTCCCCGAGCCTATCGGGCTCCAATTGTGGTTTTGCTTGCCTTTGTGTCCAGCCTATGCACATTCTTGTTGGCAAAGGGAAGTGGAGAGAGGTGGAGGAGGCCAGGAGTATCAATAGATGCACAGCTTTTCTCTATACATTTTTGTCCTCTCCTGCCTCGGGGTCTAAACTGATGCCGCTGAGCAGGGATTGATGAGGATGGGTGTGTCAGGGGAGGTACAGGCTACCTGGATACTTCCCAGACTTTTAGGGCAATGTATGCTATTTCTAATTTTTTATTATCAACAACATAGCAGTGAACAATTTTACACATATTTTCTTTGAAACACTTATAATTTCTGTCACTGCATATAGAGTGAGACTTTTCTTCTTAACTCATAGAGCAACCAGGACACAAAACTGAGAACAAAGAAACTTCAAAATTTTTAAGATGGCTCCCAATGATCTCTGCCTCTCAGTATTCATGCCCTTATGTAATCTCCTCCTCTTAAGTGTGAGCAGGACCTGGTGACTTGCTTCCAACAAATAGACCCTTATAGGGGTGTGTTTTAGTCTGTTTAGGCTGCTGTAACAAAATGCCATAAGCTGGGTAACTCATAAACAACAGAAATGTATTTCTTACAGTTCTGGAGGATGGGAAGTCCAAGATCAAGGCACGGGTAGATTGCTGCATCTGGGGAGGGCACCTTCTCACTGCGTCCTCACATTGCGGAAGAGCAAGGCATCTGTCTGAGGCCTCTTTTAAAATGGCACTATTCTCATTCATGAGGGGTGTGCCCCCATGATCTAGCCACCTTCCAAAGACCCCACCTCCTAATATGATCACATTTATGCTTAGGTTTTCAACATCTGAATGTTGAGGGAACACAAACATTTAGACCATAGCAGGGAGGGAAGACCTTCTTCACTCTCCAACGTTCAATAACTGGGTCTATAAAATAAACTGATGACAGGCAGGTCAAAAGGACAAAGGTATACAAATTCATTAATTTGTAACACCACATGCAGGGGGTCATCACAGGGGAAAAAAGTGAATACCCAAAAAATGATGACATTTAAGAATTTATATATCATCAATAGGGGAAGGAGAGGGAGGACATAGGCCACTCTGGAGAGAGTAAATGATTTTTAAGAAAGATGCATGGGCCCTTAGAATAATGGATGGTAGATATGTTAGCTTAGGGCAGTTCATCTGGGTGTGGTGTTGACTTCTAGTCTCTGCTCCTGTGATAAGGGTAAATCTTCCTCAGTTGATGAAACCCCTGCAGAGGGATTTAGGACACTTGAGTTCCTTTTGGGGCATCTGTCTTCAGGCAGATTAAGGGAGTTCAGAGAAAGCATCTCCTTGTGTGTACGGCTTTTCAAGTGCCTTCAGCTCAAGATAAGCAATGGACATATTTTGAGCATATTACTGAACTCCTTCAACTCCTTGTAGGAAGTGATAGAGCATACTTTTCCCCAAAGGATCCAGCCTGTGCCTGGCTCTCAAACAATTTTTGGTGAGTGGCATTATATGTGGAAGGTGAGAGGCAATGTGGTCTTCTTACAGATCTGGCCATACTGTCACTCTTAGGGTTAGACCAATGGTCTTCAAACCAAGGCATGATGCCTGGCCAGGGGTAACCCAAGACTTCCCAAAAGATATATAAAGACAGGTCATTTTAAGGGAATCTAATTCTAGATATTCGACTTCTATGACTATCTTTCCTAAGAATGTCTCATGGTCAGGGCTTCTGTGGGTTTTCCTTTCCCACTTCCCTTTTGCAGTTCCACTTCACAAAAGAAAGGGATCCCCCTAAACTGTCCTGAGCCTTAATTAGTATAGTGCATTGTTCCCAGGAGATTAAAACCTCCAGAGTATCAAATGAAGGAACACAATAAGATATGCAAGAGGGCTTCAAAAAATTTGTGGAAAAAATAAAATTAAAGGCTAAAAATAAAAAATATAAGCTTTATTTCTCAAGACAAGCTCCGTCAAGTTCAAGACACTTTTGTAAGCAATGATACCAGCCATTGAGTCCATCCCTAAAGAACTGAGATCCCAGGAGTTTAACCATGCCAATGTAGTCTATTACTCTTGTAACTGAAGAAAAATGAATGCCCTTTAACTATTTGTTAAGATTAGGAAACAAAAAGAAGTCAGAGGAAGCCAAATCAGGAATGTAAGGTAGTTGCGTAATGATTTCCCATCAAAACTCTCAAAAAATTGCCTTCGTTTGCTGAGAAGAATGAGCAGGAGCATTGTTATAGTGGAGAAGGAGTCTCTGGTGAAGATTTCCCAGGCACTTTTTTGCTAAAGCTTTGGCTAACTTTCTCAAAACATGCTTATAATAAGCAGATATTGTCATTTTTTCGCCATCCAGAAAGTCAACAAGCAAAATGCCTTGAGCATCCCAAAAAACTGTTGCCATGACCTTTGCTCTTGACCAGTCTCTTTTGCTTTGATTAGGCCACTTCATCTTTTGGTAGTCATTGTTTTCTTTGTGCCATGTCTTCAGGATGGTACTGATAAAGCCATATTGCTCTGATAGGGGCTACAATTATTTAAAGAAATTCTTCAGGATCTGGATTGCACTTATTTAAATTTCCACTGAAGCTCTGCTCTTTTCTGCAGTTGATCTGGGTGCAATGGTTTTGGCACTCATCAAGTGGAAAGTTTGCTCAACTTTAATCTTTCAATCAGAATTGTGGAAGCTGAACCAATTGAGATATCTATGGTGTTGGCTATCTTTTCTGTTAATTGTTGGTCCTCTTCGATTAGGGCACAAACAAGATTAAGTTTTTCCTTGCAAATTGATGTGGATGGTCTGCTGCAGTGGGCTTCATCTTCAACATCATCTCATCTCTTCTTAAAATGAGTTAGCCATTTGTAAATAGCTAATTTCTTTGGGCCTTGTCCCTCTAAACATTTCATAAAGCATCAGTGATTTCACCATTCTTCCACCTAAGCTTTAGCATAAATGTGATGGTTTCTTTTGCTTCAATTTTATCAGAATTCATGTTTCTCTGATAGGGGCTCTTTTCAAACTGATGTTTTATCCCTCTTAGTGCCTCAAACTAGATCCTGTGTATCTATGTTATAACAAGTTAGCATGGGTTTATTTTGGTGCAAAAAAAAATCAGAAATCCATGCGTAGTTACCTTATATTACACATTTCCATGAACTTTTTGAAGACTCCTCGTATTTCATTTAACAACGGAAGAGTCCATTCCCTTACTAGTATTGTCAAAGAATGGTCCTTTCTGTGGGAGAGCAAAGCACACCAAAGAGAGAGTTGGAAGAAACACTAAAGGTGGCAGCACCTACTTCCTGCAGGTGACAAACTCATGGCAAGTCTCCGTACCTTATCTTTCACTCCACCAGAAAGAAAATTCATTAAGTGATGAATGTTGACTCCAGGATGCCTGTTGACATGTTTCATTGAATTTTAAAATGCAGCAAAAGTCAAGCTTTTTCTTACTGAAAGTCAGTTTGATTGACGGTGAGTTTGGCTTTACTAATTAAGTTAAATGGTGGACAAAATTTATAAGTGAATGAGCTAAATCTGCAGCTCCGTGTGTGTGTGTGTGTGTGTAAACTTATTTTTTAAAAATTATACTAGTAAGATATTTCAAAATTAATAATATCTTGATTATTCTAACCCTTTCAGAGTATATCAGATTAAATGAGGCACTTCTTGTGGAAAAGTGACACAATATAATTGCCATGGAAGAGATTTTTAAATATACTTTCTAGAAATTGAGAATATGAATGAGTGCAATGACCAAAAATAAATGTTCACAGTTAGTTGATTCTCCATTCTTCAAAGAAGTTCAAATTGATGGAACACCTAATTGAATTGTCAGCTGATAGATCATTAAAAATAATTTTTGATGATAGATGACCATGATTTGGGTATATAACTGGGAAGGAGTTAAAAGAATTGATTATCTTTGATATAACAAAGCTTTTTCTATTTCAATCATATTTTGTGAACATGTTTTCTCAGCAGGTACATATATAAGAAAGAAAAAATAGAAGTAGAATTGAAGCTAAGCACTGCCTCATTTTAACAATAAGTAATATTCATCCATGTATAGAGAAGAAGGCTGAAAAAAGAAAGCCCTCCTATGTCATTAACAGATGCATTTCCAATAACATTGCATTTTTGTTATTTATTAAAATTCATATTATATTGGCTGGGTGCGGTGGCTCACGCCTATAATCCCAGCACTTTGGGAGGCTGAGGCAGGCTGATCACGAGGTCAACAGATCGAGACCAACCTGGCCAACATGGTGAAACCCTGTCTCTACTAAAAATACACACATTAGCTGGGCCTGGTGGTGTGCGCCTGTAGTCCCACCTACTCGGGAGGTTGAGGCAGGAGAATCGCTTGAACCTGGGAGGCAGAGGTTGTAGTGAGCCAAGATCGTGCCACTGCACTCCAGCCTGGCAACACAGCAAGACTCTGTCTCAAAAAAAATTCATATTATGATATTTTGATCAATAAAATTGTTTTAATGAATAATATAGAAATTGTTTTTTAACACTTAGAGCTAATGATCACAGGAGGTTTTCAGTTAATTTCAATACCTACACAGTTTTATTACAGTGACTATAATAAGCATGAAGACATATTAGAATAAAATTCCATGGGGGAAGTGGGATGGAAATGCAGATCCAAAGAGAAATAAGAACAATATAAAAGTTCTGATGGCCAAAGAAGACCTGGTTGGCATAATTTTTAAACAAGTGATGGTGGCTAACACATTGTTATAGTATGTATGTTTCACTGGACACATTAAGGAGTATTATTACAATTTTATAACTGTCAAATTTTCAGTATGCCAGAGATTGTACTTTTTGTGATTACTGTTTAAATTCCTGATTTAAAAAAGTGTAGTTGTCAATGTGCTCACACTGCCTCAGCCTCGGCTTAGCCCTCCCCTCGCTGGAATACTCTTCCCCTCCTGGCCAGGACAGTGTGTGCATGGAGGCCCTGGAACTGGTGTGGCCCAGCCATGTACAGAACCCAGGATGGGGCATGTGGTAGGGGTAGGGGCACCCAGGACTTAATGTCTGCATCACAGCTTTGCCAGAGCTGTCCTGACCACACCATTCTCCAACAGCCAAGCAGAGGGAAGTTTCATACCTTCCTTCAGGGATTATGTCCTCCATGTGAGCTGAGGACAGCAACAGGTGGCATCCCTGTTGGGACAAAGAGTCTCCAGGACTTTCAGGCTACAGACCCTTGCAATGTCCTCTACCTTAACCGGTGATGCTTGGATTCCTACAAGAAAGTGTACTAAGGGGCCTGGGCTCACACACATACATGCATACACACACACACACACGTGTATACACACCCACATACCATTTACCCCATCCACTGCACAGCCTACCCTTCCCCCTAGCAAACTCTGGATATGCACTCCAGGGAGAAAGGGAGGGAAGACTTAAGCATACAGGCTAATGGAGAAGACAATCCCTACACAAAGGCTGAGAGAGGGCATCAGAATGCCTACCCCCTCTATCCCCAGTCAAAATGAGGGACAGAATTTGTTTTCTTAAAAAAAATGACGGTTTAAAGGGTCCAGAGCCTGAAATATTTACCATGCTTCTTTAGGACTAGCTGCAACAGAAGAGAACCACTTATATAAATAGCAAGGCCATCATAAAGAAAGCAACGTCTTAGGGAAGAGCAATCCATGAAGGACGCCTGGAGGAAAAGAGATATTTAAATGAGTTTTTGAAGGTGGTTTGAATCTCACAGAGGCTACTAAGCAACAATTCCGATTTTTATTGTCCCCTAGAATGTTCCCTCTGTGGTGAAGAGATAGTATTGAAAATACTAGAGATCGGCTGGAGACAGATAAGCGGAAATTTGGGGAAGGGAAGTGAGAGGGGTGGAGTGGGATGAGAGAAGAAAACTCCTGTCTCAAGTCTAGTAACACTGCCCTACTTCGTTTCATTATCAGAGAAGAACGGGCCTTATAAATGATGACGTTATAAGTCTAAACACCAGCCCCAGGGAAAAGCATCTCAGCTGCCTCGGTAATTATAGATCTGCTTCCTGCCTGCCTTCGAGAGTGATCTATGTGAGCACCGGGAACTGACAAGCAGGAGAACTTTCCTCCAAGACCAGTGAGGTTTTAGCTGTAAAAGCATAACCTGGCACAGTGCTGAGCCTTGTTGGGTTGTCCTGGCTTTGGGCCTCGGTCAGTGAACCCACAGGATGTGGGGCCAGCGGGTCCCTGGACCCAGTGGCACAGCCACGGGGGACCACCAGGCCCACTGCTCAGTCCTCTTCTCCTTGGGTGAAGTGAGCCACAGCAGTGGGTGGTCACCCACTTTCCAGCCCAGTTTGGTCCCTCTCTTCTAGGCACTCTTGGTTCTAGCCCAGCCAGGGGGCTTGCTCTAGCCCAGAACCTCCCTGCCCCTGTGTTGTCCTGCTAAAGCCACTTCCCTCCCAGAAATGCCCTTTGTCTGTACACCCCCATGTCTACCTTCTACCGTTCCGTCAAGCCTTCTCTCTAAAGTCCCCCACCTACCCCCCCGATAAAGCCTTCTCGGAGTCCTTATCCACCCACCCAGCCCTTGAGCTGAAGTCAGCTATCCTCTGAGCTGCAGCCCCTGAGTTCCTGACCTGTAATTCTCTCATGGTTATTTATGTGGTCTGATTGCCCCTCCTAGCCTGGGGCAGGGATTATCAGTTCCTCTTCACTTCAACTCCATGGACATGAGCTGAGCACCTTCAGGGCACCAGGAACTGTGCAGGGTACATTAGTGAGGGCGGGAGACCTGGCCTTACAGCCAGGAGCTAATATCTCCGTAGGAGAACTGAGGCTTAAACAGCCTGGCCAAGGTTGCCAAACAGCCCAGCGCACCACCCTCCATGGCCAAGCTCCACTCTCTCCCTACAGCTGTAGCCCAGAATGTGGTTTAGTACCAGAAGACTGATTTCTCTTTCGCTGTATGCAGACCAACTGTTGACGAGGTGATGGTCCAGGAAGCCGTGGTTGGAAGGAGGTACAGCAAATATTGCTCAGTGCTTAGTCACTGGGCATGGGCCTCCCAGGAATGACAGCTGCACCCTCTGTCATAACATTTTATCTATCTGGAGGCCCAGGAGGGACTCTGGGAGCCAAGATTCCTACTGGCCCCAGCAGAGTACAGGGAGAACATTCAGTTCACAACCAGCAGGTGGTTCCTAACTTTCTGAGAAGGTAATGAAAGTTCTGGATGTTCTCCCCAGAAATGCACAAAAACATATGCACATACTGTTTTGCACACAGCTTCAGGGAATCACCCACCCTCAGAAGCCTATCCATGGAGCCCTGCACTAGTACTTTGATCTAAACTATGGGTCCTTTAGTGTGGGTGCTGAGAAACAATGGGCAAAACATATGTATTCTGGGGAATGGGTGCTCAGAAAATGTTAATGAATGACCTTGACTTTGACCAGGCCAAGATCCTTAATTGTGGTCACTGATGGGTATTTCTTATACTCTCTGCTAGAGCCTGTGTGAGCCCTTAGCTGGAGCTCTCCCAGGGTTCAGGTAGAATAAGCAGCCCACTGCATGGGGGCATCTGTGGGGTTCAGGGAAGGCCCCGCTCCTCAAAAGCCCCTTCCTCGAACAATCTGCCTTTGGACTCACCATCCCTAGAACTCTGCCGTTAGCATAACATCCTTTTGAAGGATCCTTTTGAGTTTACGGAGCCCCTTTGCCCCTCCCAGAAAGAGCTCAGGGGTGAAGGACAGATGTGTACAGAAGAGAAAGGATCTCAGCAAATGAAGGTAGAGAGCAAAGAGACTTCCCAATCTGGACTCAGCCTTCCCTAAGGGTGATATTCAGACCAGGAGCCTGCAGTCTTTAGAAAGTTTGGATTTATCCAAGCTGGAAAGGCTTTCCCAAAAGGGGTGTAGAGGGATGAGGATGCAGATTTATTGGGTTTCTATTATGTGCCAGATGATTTCCACATATTATCTCATTTAATCCTCACAGTGTCAGGAAGAGCAAGTATCATTTTCCGCATTTACAAGTGAGGAAACTGAGGTAAATGTGCCCAAAGTCACACAGCTAGTATGTTGCAGAACCCATAAGCTTTCCTACCATATAATAAATTGAGGGAGTTTTGCTTTATTTTGTTTTAGGACAGAACACAGATTGAGCCTGTGGTCACTTCAGCTGAGAATCAGGGATAATTTGCGGAGACTAAAGTTGCCCTGAATTACCTCAACTTTAGAAACTGGCAAATAGGCAAAAACCCTGTTTCCCATGGAACCAGTACTAGTTTGCACAGTGATCTTGAGAACTAATCATTTTTATTTTTCAGTAGACATACCCTGCAGCTCTTAGGATGCTTATAAAAATCTGGCTGGACACAATGGCTGATGCCTGTAATCCCAGCACTTTGCGGGGCCAAGGCGGGTGGATCACTTGAGGTCAGGAGTTCGAGACCAGCCTGGCCAACATGGTGAAACCCCATCTCTACTAAAAATACAAAAACTAGCTGGGCATGGTGGCGGATGCCTGTAATCCCAGCTACTTGGGAGGCTGAGGCAGGAGAATCGCTTGAATCTGGGAGGAGGATATTGCAGTGAGCCAAGATTACGCCACTGCACTCCAGCCTGGGCAACGGAGTGAGACTCCATCACAAAATATATATATATATATACACATATATATGTGTGTATATATATATATACACACATATATATGTGTATATATATATATATGTGTGTGTGTGTATATATATATATATATATATATATATATATATATATATATATATGAGAAAGTGGAAAGATTTTCCCTAAAGACCTAGGGCCAGGTCTTCCAGAAGCTGGGGATGATGCTGTCACACACACCTCTGCTAGGATGCCGTGTTTGGGAGCCCAGGGGAACTCAGAAGCCAGGCCCCTGCGAATGTGACCAGGGACTTAACTGTCCATACGCTTTATAGTACAAGAAAATCACCAGCCTGGGAAAATATTCACTTCCAACACATTCGTTATTTCAATATTTTTTTTTTGGGAAGTATTTTTATTTACTTTGCCTCTTTGGCTTCTCCTGTTATTTTCAAAAACAAGCATACTCCCATAAATGTGATAGTCATCATGGACATAGCAGCTAACATCCAGGAATCTACTGCAGACTAAAAAGCACTTTCCTTTGAAAGAAAAATTATGATTATGGAACATCATCAAGGCTTTATAAGACAGTCAGTGTTCACATGGACACAGGGAGGGGAACATCACACACCAGGGCCTGTTGCGGGGTAGGGGGCAAGGGGAGGGAGAGCATTAGGACAAATACCTAATGCATGAGGGGCTTAAAACCTAGATGACGGGTTGATGGGTGCGGCAAACCACTATGGCACATATATACCTATGTAACAAACCTGCACATTCTGCACATGTATACCAGAACTTAAAGTAAAAAAAAAAAAAAAAAAAAAAAAAAAGAGTCAGTATTGAAATAAAGATTTTTTTTTTTGTAATAAGCAACTTTTAGTATGTATATTTCCTCCTGTTTCTCTTATGGATAAATTTATTTTTAACTAGATGTTTTAAAATAAATCACTCTCCTAGTGACCTCATTAGACAGGAAAATAGGGACCAACCAGGGCATCTACATGCAAATAAATATTTTTGCACACTAATATTTGCAAACTAATGACTTTTGAGGTCAGTTAGAGAGGTTTCTCAGGCAAAACCATCTGGATAACCTCTCCAAAAAACAAAACCTTTTCCTACTTAATAGAAGGTTCTGCAGTAAACATTCTTGGCACCTCAAGTTGTCTTGTTGCTAATCAGCTATTATTATAGGGGTTCACTGCAGAACAATGTCCTAAAAGCTCTTTATCTCAGTTACATAAGCAGAATGGCATTTCAAAATCTCATTTTTAAAAGGCATTAGTCACCAGTATAACAAAACACATGCTCTGTACCAATAAAATTTAATGTTCAATAAAAAATGCTTGTTTACGTGCATTTTTATATGCCTCTATATAAAAGAAACCATGTTTTCATGAGATGAAGTATTTTCCTTAGGTCAGTGGACACTCCCTCCCATTTCTCTGTCAAAACCCATCCCATCTCATTGTCATCTTCCCTGGAAAGAAGGCAGAAATTCAAGAGAGGAGGAGGAGCAGATTCGGGAGTTATAACTTTGTGATTTGAAGCTAAACGGTAGCTCTGCCTCCCTGCTCACCTGACCCAGTCTGATATGAGTAACTACTGCAGGCAGATAGTTAGAACAAGCTTCATCACATCTCTGCACCCAAACCCACCAGGTTGTGAACCTGCAAGAGGGTCCCCTTCCTCTACGCCAGCAGTAAAGAGAGAACCAGAGCATGCATGAGGACAAGAACAATGATAAAGGGTGGTTTACTTTATTTTTTTTACATTCCCTTTGTTATTCTTAAGTCCAGAGGAATCAATCAAAACAACTGCTTGTTAAATTAAACATTTGCTCCATCCAAAATACTTGACTTGTATGAAGTAGGGTAATAGTTCACTTTAAGCCACTATAGCTCTATTTGATATCTTTAGGCTAAAATTTCTCCTTCAGTCTAATTTAAACTTCCTAATTGAAGTTTATGGACTAGCAGTATCTAATTTTTGCCTGTGTTACTAGGTTTGATGTATTTCTTACACGCATTCAGAATTCACATAGCACAGCATTGTAAAGATAATACTAGGTCATTCACAGACTTGTCTTATGTGCTTAGCAACCATGGGAAAAGGTGGTCAGACTTAAGGGTAGGATCTTGTAGGTAATATTTTTCTTTTTGGTACTATAAACAAAAATGTGTTGTATTAAGTAGTATTTAATTCTAAGAGCTTAAAATTTTATTCAATAACAGGTTAAATGATTCATTAGATACCAAAACCCTAACAAATAAAAGCATTTTAAAATTAAGCTTCATAGTAACAGAGTGGAATCATGAGGACAGAGAAATATGTCCTGGCAACTATTTTTTGTGTTGGCAAACAAGTCCAGCTCCGACTAACTCTTCCTTTTCCTTGCCTGAAAGCCTTTTCAAATTCTAGACAAACTACTTCTCTGTCAGAGTTCAGAAAAAGAATGGAAAAACAAAGCTAAGCTGACACCATTTTTTGCCCATGATGTCATTTTCTGTCTTCCAAAGCCTGTGGGTCTGATTTTGATGTCAGGGTGCGTAACTCCACAGTGACAGCCCCAAATGTATTTGGAGGGGGAAATAGCCTTTCAGCTCCGTGGCATTTTCCCCACGAAGACAAATATAGCCCGGGCTGAAATCACTTAGTGTCAATCAAGGTAACCAGATCAGCTCAGCATTAGTAATGAATTTGGTCACGTGCCCCCACAGAGAGCAGAGTGTGAGATAGCTGAGCACTTGTTCCATGTGACACCCACTGGCTTCTATGTCAGGCCACAGCTCTCCCAGCCTAGCTAGGAAGCAACATGGTAATTTAATCTGCCACCCACTCTAATTACCAAACTCAGAGAATTATCAGGGCTGCCAGGAAAGGGTTTTCAGAGCACTGGGTCTAGGCTTGGTGGCTGGTATGCAAGTCATGCCTGGGGTTGTCATTAGGTTTTGTGGGGTCCAAGGTTTATACAACTTGAGGTCTCTTTTTAAGGAAAAGAATACAAAACTACAAATACAAAATTAGGAGCAGGGCCTGGGAAGGGGACAGTGGAAGTGAGAGGCCCAGAAGCTTGTTTCATTAGCATCATGGTAAAGCCACCTCTGGTTGTCATGGAAACCTAAAGATCATTAGCCTTTTGCCTGTGTCCTGGATTCTGAATTGACTCCATGTTGGTCCATCCTCTCTACTCTTCTGTAATCTTTTGTAGTTTCCCATGTTTCCTCACTTGAAGATGAACTGTACAATACTATCATGGATCAGCCCTCTTCAAATAAATATAGGATTATGTGTCTGACAGGCACCAATCACCAGTTGGTATGCTTTGGTTGTTCTCTATGATGTCAACTTTTAAAAGTCAAGGATATAAGGGGCTGGGCACGGTGGCTCACTCCTGTAATCCTAGCACTTCAAGAGGCCGAGGTGGGTGGATCACCTGAGGTCAGGGGTTTGAGACCAGCCTGGCTAACATGGTCTCTACTATGAGTAGAGACGGAAACCCTGCCTCTACTAAAAATACAAAAATTACCTGTGCGTGGTGGCAGGCGCCTGTAATCCCAGCTACTTGGGAGGCTGAGGCAGGAGAATCACTTGAACCCTGGAAGCGAAGGCTGCAGTGAGCCTAGATCGCACCATTGCACTCCAGCCTGGGTGACAAGAGCAAAACTCCGTCTCCAAAAAAAAAAGGTCAAGGATGTAAGGGAACAGGAGAGGCTGTTCAGTGGGTACAAAGTTACACTTGGAATGAATAAGTTCTGGTGTTCTGTTACACAGTAGGGTGACTGCAGCAAATAACAGTGTAGTGGATATTTCAAGATAGCTATAAGAGATTTGGAATGTTATCATTGCAAAGAAATGATAAGTGTTTAATGTGATGGATATGGTAATGACTCTGATTTGATCATTATGCAATCTATACATGCATTGAAACATGGCACTGGCCCCCATAAATATATAGTTATTACCATTATTGTGTCAATTATAAATAAAAAAATCAATTTTTTAAAAGTTAGGGATATGTTCCAAATATCTTTAGTTTCCCCTAAGTAATCTGCAATAAAATCCTTGGATAAGAATGACCACAGACTCAATTACCAGAAGCAAAAATAATAGAACAACAGAGTCAGGGAGGCCCTTAAAGAGTCAGTTTTCAAGGCAAAAGATTGCCTGTCCTATTTAAGTACCTATAAACAAATTAAAAGCATTATTACCACAAATGGGAAAAATCAAATAGAGTTTATTCTCTAAAATGCAATGTTGGTTCCACATTTCAAAATAGTGTTAAATTAATAGACTAAAAGAGAAAAAGTATATGATGATTTGAACAGAGGCAGAACAATTATCTCATGAACCATAACACCCATTTCCAGTAACTCTTAGCAAATGGAAATAGAAGAAAATTTTCTTTTCTTGATAAAGAATGTTGGCTAGAAACTTGAGCGAGTGTCATATATTAGAAGGAAATAAGAAAATTCTTCCTATTGATGTTAGGAATAAAATGAAGATCCTGTCATTATTATTCCACATTGACCTGAAAGTCTTAGATTTTTAACTGATAAGAAAAAGAAATAAGATATACAAATTTAAAAGGAAGAAACAACTGTCAGTATTGACAGACAACATCACTGTATACCTAGAAAATCTAAGAGAACTCTCTGAAGTAAATGATCAGAATTTACAGATTTCATTAAGTTAGGAGGCCAAGCACAATATTAACATATAAAAACTATGGCTTGCCTCCATTCTATAGTAACTATTACAAAATGTTATGAAAAATATCCTATTCGCAAAAGCCACAAAACTACAAAATACCTAAGAATAAACTAAAAATGTATAAGAGCTAAAGAAAGAAAAATGACAAAACTTTACTAAAGGACATACAAGAAAAACCAAATAGAGATAATGTTCATGTTATCTGGTTGAAAAATCCTGGCACTGTGAAGATGCTTATTCTCCCCCAGATTATTCTATAATTTCAGTGGAATCACAGTTAAGTTCCCAGTGAGATTTTTCAAATACGTTACACACTGATGATACAATCCTTCTAGAGGAGAAAATGTGAAAGAAAAATCCAAGAAAATTTTGAAAAACAAGTTCTAAAAGAGAGAACGTGCTGTTCTAAGTTTCTGAAGTAGCCCAGAAGAGCCTGGCTTGCAGATGAGTAAGAAGGAACTCTCAGACACATAGTGTATACAAGTCGCATGTCATTGATATGACCTTCAAGGATATGAGGTTGTAACAAGCAGGAGAGCTTGATGAGCACAGCTTCTTGGGTTTTCCCTAATTCCACTATGACAGACAGGCCTGAGTGCTGGCCATAGCCAGCCTGCCAGGAGAAACTGCCAGGTGGTAAGTTCTAAACACTGCTTTTTTTTTGGAGCTCAGAGATTCTCAGCCATAACATCTGAAAACTCCAGAAGGGTTTCACAAAACCACTCTTGGCAAGCCACATTTTCTAGATCTATTATCAGGTTCAGTTTCTTGCCATATTGTTATGTCATATTGCTGCATTAAACACAAATTAAATTATAATAACTAGGCATCATACATGTCTAGTTACGCTAAGACAATACAACAGGCCATCTGTAATGCCTGGTTATCATCACTATTCCTCCTCAAACCATCCTCTGATGGACTACATCAGAGTGTAGGAGAGCATATTTTCTCTTTTAGAACTCTCTTTTCAAAATTTTAGGCAGGTATGTCATTTATCTACTGGAAGGAGCTGACCAAGATAGGCCTGGCCATTGCCTTTTATGATATCAAAACATAATATAAAGCTATGAGAAATAAAACACTGTGCTATTGGTGTAAGGTTTAAAAAATAGCTCAATAGAACAGAAAAGGGAATCTAGAAGTAGAGTCATGGATATATGGTGAATATATTATATGACAAATGTGGCACTTCAAATAAATGGGGAAAAGATAAACTGTCCAGTCGGGAAAAATTAATTTACATCACTACTTTTAACTATTGAAAAATATAAGTTTCAGAAGGTTTAAAGACCTAAACAAAGTGCAACACTATAAAATATTAAAGAAAATATTAGAGATGCCACATAGGGTAAGCCTATGCAAAAACTATAGAAGAAAAAGGGGTTAAATTTCACTTTGTCAATAAAATTCTATCAATGAAAGTGACCATAAATATACTACAAGAAAAGTAACAAATTAGGAAAAGATATTTGCTCATATACAACAAAGGGTTGATATTCAAAACATATAAGGAACTCATTCAAGAAAAAGACAAATAGCTCAATAGAAAAATGGGTGAAAGATATGAATTGGTAATTCATATAAGACAAAGTACATATCCAGAATCTACAAGGAACTTAAAAAAATTTACTAGAAAAAAAATCCCCATCAAAAAGTAGGCAAAAGCTATGAACAGACACTTCTCAAAAAAAAAAAAAAAAGACATTTACGTGGCCAACAAACATGAGAAAAAGCTCATCACTGGTCATTAGAGAAATGCAAATCAAAACCCCAATGAGATACCATCTTACACCAGTTAGAATGTCGATTATTAAAAAGTCAGTAAACAACAGATGCTGGCAAGGCTATGGAAAAACAGGAACTCTTTTACACTATTGGTGGGAGTGTAAATTAGTTCACCCATTGTGAAAGACAGTATGGCAATTCCTCAAGGATCTAGAACCAGAAATACCATTTGACCCAGCAATTCCATTACTGGTTATATACCCAAAGGATTATAAATCATTCTACCATAAATATACATGCACACGTATGTTTATTGCAGCACTATTCACAATAGCAAAGACTTGTAACCAACCCAAATGCCCATCAATGATAGACTGAATAAAGAAAATGCAGCACATATACACCATGGAATACTATGCTGCCACAAAAAAGAATGAGTTCATGTCCTTTGCAGGGACACGGATGAAGCTGGAAGCCATCTTTCTCAGCAAACTAACACAGGAACAAAAAATGAAACACCGCATGCTCTCACTCATAAGTGGGAGTTGAACAATGACAACACATGGACACAGGGAGGGGAACGTCACACACCGGGGCCTGTCAGGTGGTGGGGAGCAAGGGGAGGGATAGCATTAGGAGAAATACCTAATGCATAGGGGTCTTAAAACCTAGATGATGGGTTGATAGGTGCAGTAAACCACATGGCACATGTATACCTATGTAACAAACGTTCTGCACATGTATCCCAGAACTTAAAGTAAAATTAAAAAAAAAAGACAAAGTTAATATTACACATTTAAAAAAATACCCTCACTGCCCACTAGTAATAGATTAAATGATAGTGAGTTTTTTTTTTTTTTACTGTGGTCAACAAGTCTATTGTTTGTCTGAGCAAGCCTTTAATTTTTCCTTATTACTGAAAAATATTTTCATGGGGTATAAAATTCTGGTTTGACAGTCTATTCTTTCCCCCTCCCCTCCCCCCCAGCACTTTAAAGATGTCACTCCATCATCTTCTGGATTACAGAGTTTCTGGCAAGAAGTCTGCTATAATCTTTGCTCCTCTGTATATAATGTCATTTTTTTTCCCCACTGCCTTCAGGCTTTTCTCTTTATCTTTGGTTTTCAACAGTTTGAATATGATAACCCTAGATTATTTTGTTTTGTTTTATTTCTGTATTTATTCTAATTGGTGTTCTCTAAGCTTCTTAGATCCATGGTAGAGTGTTTGGAGTTAACTTTAGAAAATTCTCAAGCACCATTTCCTTAACTATTCTGTCTTGTTCCTCTCATCTCCTTCTGGGGTTGTAATTTACATGTATATTAGACTATTTGATATTGTCTCATAGATTTTGCACTCTCTGTTCTGTTTTTCTTTCTTTTCACCACTCTTTTCTTTTTGTGCTTCAGTTTGGGTAATTTCTACTGATCAATCTTCATTTTCACTGATCCTTTCCTTGGCTGTACAAGTCTACTAATGAGCCTGCTGAAATCATTCTTCATCTCTGTTTCTGTGTCTTTCATTTCTAGCATTTCTATTTGATTCTTCACTATTATTTCATCTTTCTACTATAATAATCCACCAGCTACTACACATTGTCCATCTTTTCCATTGGCACCTTTAACACATAAACCATAGTTATTTTAAATTCTCAGTCTGATCATTCCATGTGTCATATCGGAGTCTTACTGTGTTGATTGCCCTGTCTCTTGAGAGTATATTTTTTTCCTTGTTTTTTGTATGTTTCATAATTTTTTGTTGAAAGCCAGAGACATATATAATAGAAATTAAGGAAAATAGTTTTTATGACTGGAAATGAACATACCTGTCCCTCTTCTAGGTCTTTGGGATGGGGTTTGAGTCAATCTTTTAGGAAATGCGTTGTGGCAGACACTGTTGGTTGTCTCCTTGGCAATCATCTCTCCTCTCTTCCTTGCTAAAAACTCCAGTTGTTCCAGTATGGGGTGATGATGCTTTTCCGAAAGATAGGGGCTTCTTCCAGTTTCAGAAGATGAATCATGTTTGGTTTAAGCTAATCACAGAAATCTGATTCCCCGTTTCAGTGTTTAGTTTAAAAGTCGGCATGTGACTTATTCACACTAATGATATGTAGAATGAAGACTGCAGGAGGGAGTCTGCAAAAGGTTCTCCCACATGATAAAAAAAAAAAAAAAGAGGTATATAAAAGAGACCTTCACCTGCTTCTACCCTCTCTACCTTCCTGCCATGTGAGGATATGATATTTGAAGCTGTGGAAGCCAAACTGTGACCATGAAGGAAAAACCAAAGGAACTTCGGAGAAGTTGACCCAAAGCCTTGACATGACTGAACTGCTAATTAAATCAACCCTGGAATCACCTATCTCTGGAGCTCATACATGAATCACCTATTTGGTATGAAATCTGGAGGTAGGTGGTTCCTGGGTTATTGGTCCTGTTTCTTAGAGGGGAAGCTATCCTAAAGAATATAATGCTTAAAAAGCATCCATTGACAAAATGAACACAAGCCTCAGGGCCCAGGCCTCTATTCACTTCCAACAGTGTTCTCATTGCTTCACCCCACCCACTCTGTGCCCAGGCATCCTGACCTTTGACTTCTTCTAGTGCTCCATGACTTACCCATGTGTTAAGTCCTCTCCAACATCTCTGCCTAGCTAATTCCCATCCATTCTTTATGGGGCACTTTTTTTGGAGGCCTCTCTGGCCACGAGCACAGTTAAGTGGTCCTCCTATGTTCTCCCATAGCACTCAGGACTGCCCCCTAAATAGTACTTGTCACATGGAATGGTTACTGTCCTTTGCTAGATTGTAAGCTCTATAGGGCAGGGACCATGTCTGTCACACTCACTACAATGTTCCTGCATACGGCTTAGGCCTTCATATGTACTTGCTCCACAATAAATATTTGCTGCTGAATAAATGAATGAAATCTCACCATCTAGAAGGAAAAAAAAAGGTACACACAAAAGGTAGAAATAAACATGTAAGTCAGTATATAGGCTAAGTATCAAATAACTCCCACTGAAGTTCAAGGGAGCTGGATGGAGTAACTGAGGAAAGTGTTCCAGAGGAGGCGGAAGTGAGATGGACCTTTCAGGAGTTGTGCTAGAGGGAGGAGGACATTTCTGGCAGGATGAACATCAATGTGCCAGAAATGGGAACAGGTGGGAATACAACATGAAGGCTGGATCCAAGGTTTCAAGTTAGGTGAGTGCGAGAGATAAAGTTGAACCAGTTTGTAGAGTCTTGAAGACCAGGGAAGGGGTTTGAGCTTCATTTGGTTAGAAAAGGAGAATCTCGGAATGACTCAGAGTGGGGCAGTGACATATGCAGATCCCTGCTATGACAATTAAATCTGAGACCACACAGGATGAATGGGAGCAAGTGGGATGGAGCCATGGTGACCAGTGAGGCAGCCACCGTGACACTCTAATGTCTGTGCGAGGAGATGGGAGCATTTGCTTGAGTAATGATCTCTCTACCATTGTAAGCCCATGATTGTGGAATAAAAACTGTGATTAGGCCTAGGCGTGGTGGCTCACACCTGTATTCCCAGCACTTTGGGAGGCCTAGGCAGGGGGATCACCTGAGGTCAGGAGTTCAAGACCAGACTGGCCAATATAGTGAAACTCCATCTCTATCAAAAAATACAAAAAAAATTAGCTGGGCATGGTGGCACATGCCTGTAGTCCTTACTACTTCGGAGGCCGAGGCAGGAGAATTGCTTGAACCCGGGAGGCGGAGGTTGCAGTGGGCTGAGATCGCACCACTGCACTCCAGCCTGGGTGACGAGAGTGAAACTCTGTCTCCAAAAAAAATAAAAATAAAAATACTGTGATTAGTATAAAAAGCAAATACAAAAGATAATTTTCTCAAGACCAGTGAAAGTCTAGAAAAATCAAAAGTTTTTAAGGTAGTTTTTAAAAGACCAATAGAACAAGTCAGGCAAAGATGACTTCCCACCATGACCTACAGACAGGATATCCAGACCAGGAAAAGGAAAGAAGATCCCCAGACAACTCCTTTGGCAACAAGACTGAGTTCTCTTTAGAAGTCATCTGTTTCTGCTGAGGCTGTGAAGAGAAACTTGGTTCATTTTTGCAAATTCCAGTGTCACTCACAGTTTGTAGTGTTTTCAACTGCAGGACAATTTTCCTGCTGTCACTAAATGTGAAACTTTTCTTAAAACTACAAAGTTAAGGTCAAAACAATACCAAAATGGATGAGGGTTGGTTTTCTCCAGAAATGCCTTTTAAAAGAGGGTGGGAGGAGAGATATTCAAGTAAGATTTTTTTTATCATCCCACAGTCCTTTAATTATGGTAACAGTTTGAACATTCCTCACACCTTTCATGTGAGGTGATCAAAAGCAATTTTATCGCACTCATGGTTTTATTTATATGCAGAAAATCTCTTTGGATTTCAGTAAAGAGGTGAGATTTATTACATATTTGCATCAAAGCTACCAACTCATATACCTGACAGCAAGTCATATTTTACCAAAAATTGAAGCCTTAAAATTTTACTGTCATGAGGTTTCCAGTCCCCTCATTGTGTTTTAGCATTCCTGCCAAACTTACCCAGAGAGAAGGCGCCTTGAACTCTCCTGACCCCGCTGTGTCAAACACGTCTCTCCTGCACGCCATACTCTGTCTCAGTGCTTCTTGACAGTCGGGTCTGAGGTTTAAGAAATTCTCCACAGGAAAAAGTCTCAAACCACAGAGCATACCTTCCCCTCACATCTGGAGCCGTATATCAAAAACTGCCCTCACAGATCAGCTGCCGGCTTTTCCTGACAGAAAGGAAAGGATGTCCATCTCCAGACTTAGGAGTTGGCTCTGCTGGGTGCCTGTCCTTATCTTCTTTCCCCCAGTCAGAATTCTCATTTTCCCTTTGGGAACACCCCTTTTCCTTCTGGTGTTCAGAGTCTTTGGATGGTCTGCCCGTGATATTCTAAGAACCCTCAAAATAATTCCTCAACCAAACTGGTCTCTGTAGCAAGGTTCAGCCACTTGTAATCTGTGCCTTCAGGCCCTAACCTGTGAGGTCAAATGTCTTCACTACTAAAGAATATATGTATTTTAAAATACTGAGGCCCAGTTGAGTCTGAATCTCTGGGGGTGAGGCCCAGGCGTCAGTTCAATTTTTAAAGCAGCCCAGGTAATTTTAATCTGCAGCCAGGATTCAGGCCATTGGGTGAGATGATCTCTGAAGTTCCACCATCTTTTACATTCCATGATTCTAGGGGGTGCTAATGTATAACTAGGGTATACCAACCTCCTTCTCCTTTCATTGATAGACACTCTGGGAACATGATGGTTAATCCTAGAATGGCAAGAACCTCCTTCAGCGGCTTAGCAGTGATTGTCTAGAGATCTGTGGTGAGGTTTAAGCCAGTATCGGGCTGAATGGGAAAGAGAGCTGTGATCAACTAGCAGTGACTGCCATGAACAACGGGGAGAGACAGGCACTCAAGAATGTCCCCAGCCCATCCTGATCCAAAGAGGAGACCACACAGGAAGAGATCTCAGACACTAGTGTAGATCAGTACTATCCCTTTTTCAGGTATGCCTTGCCGTGTGACAAAATGTTCCAAATCGTACTGGCTCAAAACAACAACCAGTTACTCATGGTGGTGAAATGTGAAAAGGGTATGTGAGAGACAGGTCATCTCTTTCCAAGTGTTATTAAGGAGGGATCATGATTGGTACTGGAGGATCCAAGACAGCTTCACACTCCCATGTCTGGTGCCTTGGCTAGGAAGGCTGGAATGGCAGGGGGTTGATCACGCCCCCTCTCCAGCAAGGTGGTCTGACTTCCTCACTTGGTGGCTCAAGGCTCTAAGAGAGTGAAAGTGGGAGCTGTCAGGCTTCTTAATGGTCTCTTACAAGCAGACTTCTCCTGGCCAAAGCAAATCACAAAGCCAGCCAGGTTCAAGGGGAGGAGAGATACACTCCACTTCTTAACGGAAGGCCCAACATGCACATCCGGAGAGGGGAGGAATTGTTGGCAATCATCTTTGCAGACAGTTTACCATACCATTTACTAGCCCATCAGATGGCTCCTATCATGTGTCTATTGGCCTGAAAATCATGTTATAAAATAGGGGAAGGGAGTGTGTTGACATGCTTGATTATCCATCCCTAATTTAAATTGTTTAAATATTAATATCACTTTATGCATATACAATATAATATGCATGTACGTATTATATTCATAAATACATATCTTTACATCATTGCCTTAGCCAATATCTAGATATCATCAAATGTGATCATTTGTTAGGTTATTATCTTCACCAGTGACTATTGGTAAAAGAGAATGTGGTTGAAATTGGCCCTACAATCCCTTGACGGAATTGTCTTTTCTTGTATTTCACAAAATAATTGGAAATAGAAAATTAAGAATATAATAGGAAAATAAAGAATATAATTATATATAAGAATATAATTCTTAACAGGAAAATTAAGAAAATAATAGTTGTTTACCCCATAGTACTCTCACCCTAAACCCAAATTGGCAGATGGGCAGTGTGCTAGGTGTCAGTTTCAGGATATTGTACCCAGCAATTAGGTTAAGAGCAGAAGTGGAACCAGTGGCTTAAAACCCACTTCTTCCAGGAAATTATAACCCCAACTCCACCGTGACCTCACCCCCACGCCGCATCTGCTTAGCTTGCCTGTCCCCTTCTGGGGGCCGTGTCCACTTGTCTAAGCCCTTTGTTGTACTGAATCACACCATATGATCCCAGCAACCTGGGGGGATCTTCTTTTTTAAAAATTACTCTTCAAACAGAACCCAGCCCTGACTCTGTTCTTGAAACCATGTCAAGAACAGTGTAACTGGGACCACTACTCCAAGTGGTAATTTATTGCCAAATGAGTTTCACTTGTTTTCATATTATAGTTCTACTGTTTAAAATTCCAGGACAACTTTCTTTTGTTATTTATTTAAACAAAATGCCTTGAGTGTTTTTTAAATCCCACAATGATTCATACAAAGCCACGGAGGTATAGACTGTTTGTCCCACGAAATTTACTGGGAAAAAGTTGACATGAATGATGTCACACACTTGACCATGTACACTGTACCCAATTATTTATCCAACAAACATTTATTGAGCACCTAATATGTTCCTGACATGATGTTAAGCACTAAGAAAACAGAAAAATAAGACTCTCGTCTGGCTCTATTAGTCTGAGTAGGGAAGGCAGATATGTGATCTATTATATTATATTGCATAAGATATATTAAGTACTCTAATAATAATAGCAGAAAATACTTAAATAGCACATGTCATGAATCAGGCATTGTTCTAAATGCTTTAACTTATACTGTTCACTCTTCAGAATAACCTTATGATATAGATTCTTTTATTATCCCCATTTTATCAGTGAGGAAGCTGAGGGACAGAGAGACTAAATGACCTGCCCAAGGCAAACCCCTAGTAAGTGGCAGAGCTGGGACTTCAACCCACATGGTCTAGCTCTAGAGTTCATTCTCTTCACCACCACACAGAGGAGATGGCAACTAATTTGTCCTGGGAAGTAGGAAATAGTCCTAGTGAAGAAGGAATGCTAACATGTTAAAGGAAAGGAGGAGTTCCCCCAAGAAAAGAAGAGAAATTTCCAGGTATAAGGATAAACTTGAAGGCGGGGAGTACCTGAGGACTGCTGAGAAAGCTGGCGAGGCTGTCAAGCTGGGGGTGTGATAGAGAGTGGGGAGTGAGCGGGAGAAGAAGCCCTGCGTAGATGACCATGAAGGCCAGGGTCCCATGTCGGGCCCATTTGAGGACAGCCGGCTTTCTCACATCCCCTGGTCCAAGACCTCACCTCTAATTAAGAGCCATGACCTCACAAACACCACGTTGGAATCTGGGAAAGAGAGATGGAAAATAATGGTCATAAAATCTGCATGTGTAGTTTCAGTTTTCAGAGTTCCTTAGCACACATTCTCTTAACTATACTTCATGTTTTACAGTTGAAAAAACAGACGAAAAAATAAACGTTACTCAGGAAATAAGTGCAGAGCCAGGCCTCGGACCCAGGTCTTCAGGTTCCTTAGCTAATGTCCTTTCCACTGTGACCAACAGAGTCCATCTCCATCACTGTACCCCCAAAAATCTCCAAGTGTCCATTCTGCTAGTTCTGGGCCCAGGAGACCATAGTCACACAGATAGGAAAGGACATTGAGAACACTGAGACTCCAGAGGAGGCAAATGTACCCATGGTGAAAATGACATTGGAGTGGGAACCAGGAAACTGAAACTTCAGTCTCATCATTATCACAAAATCACAATGTGACCCACAGGCCTTGGTGTCCTCACCTGTAAAAGAAGAATGCTCAGGATAATTTCCAAAGGGCCTGTCTCGGCCTATCTTTCCGCCTCCGTCACCGTCTACATGTAGCTTAATTAGTTTAGTCAACTGCTGTTTTTAGCCATCACTGAGTGTTCAGTTCCACTCAAAACAGAGCTGAGTTGACAGAACGTGCCATCAGAGCTGGAAGCTCAACATCCGGGACACAGCATCAGAGATGTCTGTATTCTAACCAAGTTCCTCTCTTCAGTTTAAGCTAACCTCGAAGGGCCCAGCATTTCCATGCCCCACTGTGGGGTCTGCTTTGTAGCCTGAAATGAGATATTTGTCTCCTTATTAATAACCTCACACTCTCTGAATGCATTTTAAAAGCTCACCCGGTTCAGCAACCTGTGGGCCTGTCTTTGTTATTGTTGGTTGGAGTCTTGCATACTTGACTTAAAAGTTAGCACCAAATGCAGCTTTATCTGATCAGGAAGGCATGAAATAGAAGGAATGGGTAAATTTCCTTTGCAAAGCAGACACCCCTGGATGTGTTTTTCATGCTAGAGATATGAATAAATGGCAGACGCTGGTTCTCACCAGGCAAAGTGAGTGCCAATGAGGTCACAGGGAGAGCAGTGAGCATGCAAAGATGACAACAAGGACTCCATCTACCTGACCCAAGGGAAGGGACAGAGGAGACCTAGGAGGTAACCAGGGCATAAGTAATTATCTCCAGTGACAGAAAGCCAGGGTTTGGTGAATGGTCAAGGTAAAGTGGAAAGGCAGGCCTTGAATTCAGGTCTCCTAACCCCTGGTCCTGTACCCCTTTCCTCTGCACATGCTGCTGCCAACACTTGGATCCAAACTTGCACTTCGTAAAGGCAGAGAATATTCTGCTCATTAATGTGAGCTCAGGGCTTGGCATACAAATTCAAGAAATTCTTGTTGAATTTCTTGAACTCTAGCTTGACTAAGGAGAGAGGCTGATCTTTATTAATTTGCTGAAGTAGGAACATAAAAAAGTTAAAACCCTTACAGTGCCTGCAGTGCCATATATGAATCTGGCCCCTGTGATCTCTCTGACCTCACCCCCCTCTACTTCCCTCATTGCTCACTTCCCTCTAGCCACTCCGGCTATCTTGTTGTTCCTTAAACATGCCAGACATACTCGTGCCTTGGGGTCTTTGCACTGGCTGTTCCCTCTCCCTGGAATGACGTTTCCTGGATACCCTCATGGCTAATTTCCTCTTTTCCCTCAAGTTTATGTTCAAACCTTACCTTCTGTATAAGGCCTGCTCCAAACACCCTCCTTGAACATGTAACCCACCCCCGACTTCAGTATTTTCCTTCACTCTTAGGCCGCTCTGTTTTTTCTATGGCATTTTTTTGCTTTCTGTATGCGGTTTTTATTTTTTATGATTGCTATTTATTATCTGTTCATACCTATTGGAATGCAAGTTCTATGATGGCAGGGATTTTTTAATTCATTGATGTACCCTACAGGCCTAGAATAGTGTCTGATATGTAGTAGACTCTCAATAAACGTTACTGAATGAATGGTCTGCAAAGTTACAACATAATTTTATTTCATATAGAAGTTTTCTTTCTGGTCTATCCAAGTGCGAATAAGCTAAACTGTGATAGAACCAAGACTGTCTTTGGTGCTATGGGGTTGTCAGGGAGCAGGGACTCTGTTGCCTTTGTCCAGGGCAGAAGGAACAGCTGTGGCCTGAGTCACTGATCTTTTCCCCCTGGGCCTGGGCCCTTTAACTCTAAATAAGGCTCCTGCAAACAGAAATAGAGAGGCAGATGGAAAAAAAAAAAAAAAAAGAATCACCCAACATGGTTAGATGTTCAGGGCGGCTCTCACATCTCAGGAGCAGTAAGGAATAGCACTGAGCATTCTATACACAGCAATTCCAGATGCTAAGGAAGGGACATGATGTAGCCCCAGGTCTACAAATGCAGCAGCGCAGGAGCCAGGACGGGGCCTCAGGAGCAGTCTGATGCAACAGATATTCAGTTCACTGGGCATGGCTTCTTCTAGTCCTCGGCCAAGTGGACTCTGAGCAGTGGGATAGGGATGTGGGGGGAGGTGGTGGGGGAAGAGAGGGTTGCCCAGAAGTTGTGGAATCTCAGCAAGGATGCCAAGCCAGAGGCTGGCTTCAAGCAGCCAGACGTCTGAATGGAGCAAGCTGGAGTCTTGGCCATTGTGGGGCTGAGGCCCTAGGCTGGCCAGTGGGGGCAGGACGCAGCAGGAACAGGAGCTGCAGCTCAGGAACCAGGCTAGCACTGTGCTCAGTTACCTGAAGAGTGGGACAGGCAGCTCAGGAGACCAAGTCTGGAGACCCTCAGCATCCCCAACTGCAGCTCAGGCCTAGGCTGGGAAATGGGGACAAGCGGAGCCATGGCAGGAGAGGAGCCTGGAGCAGCTCCCGCTGTGGAAGCGGGAGGAACATGGAGCAGGGCAGCTGGGCTGGGCCAGGCCGACCCAGGTGCTGAAAGGCTTCTTACCCAGAGGAATGTCTGGGTCTAGTCCCTCTCCGTTTACCAAGGCACTGTGGGGAGAGGCGGCACGGGCTTTCAGAGTCAGGATCAAACTCCAGCCTCACCACAGAGCTGGGCAAGTTCTTACTATGCCAGGGCTTCCTCACTCTTTCCTCGCAGGAGTGCTGAAATAACTGAAGGAGAGCAGCTCCCAAAGCCTCCCCGGTGTCCTGGGGCTCCTTCGCCAGCGCTCTCTGGATGACCAGGTCTCTGACCTCCTCCTGCCTGACCCAACCACAGCCCAGCCTAGGCAGCCTGGAGGACAGGGGACCGCAGCAGGCCTGGACCTGACAGCTGAGCTCCCTCCCCTCCCCCTTGCCTAGCCAGAGCTGGTTTATTTGAACTAAGAATTTAAATGTAAATATGCAACATCCCTTCCCCTCTGCCTCCGCTCAGCGGGAGGGAGCGTGTGTCCACCTCTGTCAGCTGCAGCAAGAGTGCCCTGTGTGCCCAGATCCTATCCACTTTGAAAAGAGCAGAAATATTAGACACAGCTAAATAAGAAAACACAGATTATTGCTGGAGACCCCTAAGGCCTACTTTGTCTGTGCAATAGTTTGTTTTACTTTTCACAGAATTTATTTTGGCTGCAGCCAGATTGATGGTGATTATATCTGAAATCCTCCCACATATCTGTCACATAAACACTTCGTTTAATTCAGGTTTGTAAAACTCTATGGGCCAACGGGGAGCCAGCTTTTGGATTAATTAGCAGACGCTAATGCTGGGCATCTTGTCACATGGTCCAGCGGCTCAAAGGCTGAGGGCACAAGAGGGGCCGAGCAAGCGGCCCTGGCCCATGTCTCAGGAGTTTGATCCTTTAGGCTGGTAAAGGAAAACCAAGGAAGATGTGGAAGGGGAAGAAGGCCGCTCACTGTCCAGCCTGGCTGGGGAAACAGATTCTGGCCTGCAGAGTGAGCCAAAGTCTCCCATCCGGACCTAGCTAGAGGGGAGATATTCATATGCGTTTTGAAGTCGATACAAAATAAACCCCCAGCTTCCTCAGAGTTTCTGTCGATAGCATCACTGGATCCGACACCTCCTGGGAAGGGGAAAAGCCTTAGGGGCTAGAGCTGGGGAGGGAAGCCCTGCTCAAGTCGCCGGGAGTGAATGCAGGGTCCAGAGCCTTGGCAGCGGTGGCTCTGATTCCCGAGACCCCCGGACCACCCACTCCCCAGTGGTTGCCCGGGCCCTGCCAGTGCTGGGCAGGACTTCCTTCTGTGTGATGGGAGCATGCCCCTAACAGGCTGCATATGCCCACCAGCTGTTGCTCTCTTTTGCCACTGCAGGCCAAGACAAGAAAAGCATTATTTCCTTCCTCCTTCTAATCTCCAGGCCTCACTAACTTCACAGGCCTGCTTTGGGCATTGTTCACTGGGAGTTTCTCTGGGGCGAGTTCCCCTTTGCGCAGAAAAGGCCCTTTTATTCCCCCCATTACATTTACCTTTCCCTTTAATATGGAGTTCTTCCACTAAGGGACTGTATGGAGAGTGTATAGGACTTCAACGGGGATGCTGGATTTGGCTTTCAGAGGTTAATTACATCCTTACTGCTCCAGAAGCTGCTGTTCCATCTGCAGGAATGCTCCCAAGCCTGGGAGAACTCCTGCTAGCCAGAGAATGAACATGTTGCTGAATGCCTAAGCCTCCAGTCTTTAGATGAACTGTCTCGTTTAATTAAAAAAAAAAAAAACCCAGCCTAAGAGGTATTTTTGAACCCATTTTCACGCATGAAGATTCTGAATGGAGAGGTACATTCAGAATGGATTTGCAGGGGGTAAGCCAGCCAAGAAGTGGCTGAAACAGCACTGAGTCTGTGGCTACCTGAGTCCATGTTCTAATACAACCCACAAGGACTGGAAGTGAGGCTTCCTCATGCTTGTCTTTACTATGCCACTAACCAGGATGGCCCAGATCAACTCCCCGGCCTTCACCAGACCTCGGTGTCCTTCTGTGTAAAGGAGGGGCGGGCAGCACCTCCCCAGGCCCTGGCTTCCAGGGCTTCCTGCCTTGATTCCACCTCCAAATAACCACAAGAACTGGACCATCCCCAGCTCCTCAACCTGCAGAGGGACCGGAGGCCAAAACCCAGCTCCAGCCAGATCCAGTTACTAACCAAACACTTGTCTTTCTTTCCGACTGAAACTGACTGAAACTGAACGTGCCTGTCTGTCGCTTAGGGCTCTCGACCAAGAGTGCTCGTTTTTAACCCTTTCACAGCAGCTATGTTTTCTGCAGTGCATAAAACACAAGGCACCGATTTGTCAGACATGACTCAGCTCAGACCTCACCTGGGGATACCCTTTGAAAAGAGAGACCTGCAGGAGCCCAAGAGGGGCACATCATTTTTGGCTTAGCTTGTCCTAATTTTTCACTCCTGTTCCCTTTTGTAAATGGCACTTTGGAAGTGTCGATATTTCACCCTCCTTTTTAAAATAAAGGGTGCCATTGTTTAGAGGGCAGGAAAGGAGAAGCTAGTTTGGAGAGGAGAAGCGGTCTGGGACAGGAATCGGGATCGGGGTCATGTCTTGATACAGGAATGTATGTTCCCCAAAGGGAAGGTGGGCAGGGCCAGGGCTCCCTGTCAAGACCGGGGTAAGAATTTTGTTCTTCTGTACTAATTTTTATAGGCTTCCAAGATTTTTAAAACTCCACCCCCAGCACCAAAAACAAACAAACAAAAAAGCAGCCTCTGGGGACAGTACTGTGGAAACAATGAGAATCCAAATTCCAAAACTCTTGAGTTCACCCCAGAATTAAGGACGTGATAGTCAAAGCCAGGAAGCAGTGGAGCCTGAGGGCTGGCCGCTGGGCTCAGAGGCCTAATTGTCAGACTGTGTTTCCAGATGCAAGCTTTCTGCCTTTGGCACGGACTTTTTCTATAACAAACTCACTTTGGGGTCATTCATCAGTGCATAAATGCACACCTGGGAGGTGGGGGGACAAGCTCCCATTTTTCTGGCTTTATAAATACGGAACTCACATTTCTCCAATTGACATTTGCAGAGGCATGATAGATTAGAGCGCCTTCCACCGCAGAGCAATTTCAAATAAACGCAAGTCTGCTGGTGCAGGCTGCAGCCATCCATACCCTGCAGAGGAAATAAGCCTTCCCTTCCAGCCTCTTCCTTTCAGGTAAGCAAAAGCAAAGAAACAAGCACGCAGAGGAGTTCCAGCTTCAAGCTTCCCACCCAACAAGGTCGGGGGAGGAAGGTGCAAACTCTCAGTTCCATTTGCTACTCAGCAAATGCGGTAAACTGAAGTCCAAAACACAGAACACTGAGGTCTCCAAGACCACCTGGGTACCAAAAAGGTAGAGTCCCCAGTGTCATTAGCAGTAGGAACCAAGGGCAACCTATATATGTTGGCCAAGTCGGTGGTTGTGCAAATGGAGGTTTAAAGCACTAGCAATGCTGCCTGACCCCAAATATTGTCTGCACCTGATACCCGGAATGACACCATTGGAGACGTATTTCTTTGTGTTAGCCATTCTCTTACTTAGGTTTCTCTTAGATTTCTCTTCCTTGAGCAAATGTGCCAAGTGGGAAAATACATTTGGCTCCCTAACTTCTCAGAGTGAATAAGTTCATCAAATCCCTTTTGAAAGAGGACCAGAAGGAGCCCTGACATTCCTTCATTCATTAAACAAAAATTGAGCATCTACTTTGCACCAGCGCTTTGCTAAATGCGCTAGGAAAACAAGGGTAAACAAAAGCAGACACAAGGGCCCAGTGCTGTGGTATGCACCTGTAGTCCCAACTACTTGGGTGGTCAAGGCAAGAGGATTGCTTGAGCCCAGGAGTTTGACGTTACAGTAAGCCAGGATCACACAACTGCACTCTAGCCTGGGCGACAGAGTGAGACTGTATCTTTAAGAAAAAAAAAAAGCAGACATGTCTTTTGCCTCTATGAGCCTACAGCCTACTTCGGAAGACAGTCACACAATCATCCAAAGAACAGGAAACTATGACTGTGACAGGACGAAGAAGATACCCTGAAAGCCCATGATGGGGGTCAGGAAAGCTGTCCTGCCCTGGCAGGGTGATGGATGAACTTCTGAAGGATAACTCCTGGCTCCTCAAGCTGACTCCTGAAGGGTGAACAAAGAGAGGGAAGGCACTCCTGGCAGAGAACAGCACAGGCAAAGGCCCGTGAGCATCCCAAAAACATTGAAAGGGATTGGGGTGGGGATGGGGCAGTGTTGACAGACGCCTGTCTGGGTGGGAAGGAGCACCCAAAACAGAGGGGAGAGACAGAGGCAAGCATTGCCTACTTCATCTCCCTCCTCTGGCTGCAAAAGCCCCTCCTGGCTGCACCATATTCAAGGGGCAAATGTGATGGTGACCTGCGGGCAACGCTCCTGCAAAGGGCTGAGACAGTGAAACAACGTAAGTGTTAACCACTATTAGCGACGAGGAGACTGAGCTTGGATGGAGCAGAGGCCAAGGCCAGCTGCTCTGTTCAGCTGAAGCTGCAGGGGCTGGCCTGTGCTGGTGGGTAGCTGGCATCCTCATCTGCTGAAGGCTCCCGGCTCGGAGCCTTTGCTTACTTCATTTATGATTCTCAGGAACTGACAGAGAAGCGCATACCTGGAATTTCTGTGCTGATAGCAGGCCTGATGCTCCCATCCCTACTCCCCCACCCACCACCTCGGGTGAGCCAGAAGCACACTTAGAATTTGACAGGCTGTCGTGGCCTCCCACTTAATTATATTGTCACAAAAGCTTTCAGGGATTCCAAGGAGAGAACCCTCTTCAGGGAACTTGATTCTCCTTCCGAAGCATGCACTGGCTCTGTATAGCCCTCCCCTTACCACCCTGGGCTTTCCCTCTGAAAGCTCCAGAGACAGTTCAGCAAGTGCTCAGCAAGTGCCAGATTGGTATTGGAAGGGTGTCACAGGAAGTGGGTGGTGAGAGGGAGGCTCCTTCAGCTGTGTTCCCTCACACTCTTCTCTCCCAGTCATTCAAAGCTCAAGTCTTCATTTTCTGGGGCCTGTCAATGATGGAGGTGGAGAAGCCACCATTACTGAAGTTCTAGAGAGAGCCCAAGAAGCGCTGGAGGTTCAGAGAGGTGAAGAGCCCCCTGCAGCTGGCCAGCAAGGCTTAGGTCTGTCCTATCCACTGACTGCAGCATCCTGCTGTTATTAATAATCAGGACCTAAAACTCTTCCATCCATATGGCTCCCTGCTGTTGGGAAGGTATTTTCACATATGGCATATTATGGAAACTGCTCAAGAAGGCTACAGTTCTCCCAAAAAGTCTTCTTAGTTAGCAGTAGGGTTCGTTTTCTCACCTTTTCTTAAATCTCAAATTGTGAAAAAAGAAGGCTCCGCATACGCTGTCTCCATTTCATGACTTGCACATCTCCTTCCACATTGAGTGGAGCTGCTTTCAGTACAATGACCACTAATGTTGCGGTTCTAATCCTGGGACCCTTCCTGAGTCCTCACTGGCTCTGCTGTATTTGTTCCTGTCACCCACCAGCTTCCAATTCACCTCCACCTCCTCCCAGGCCATCTTTTCCTAGTCCACCTCCTCCCAGTTTACCCCCTCCCAATCCACCATCTCCTCCTCCCTGTCCACCTCCACCTCCTCTCAGTTCACCTCTGCCTCCTCCCAGCTCACCTTCTCCTCCTCCCAGTCCACCCTCACCTCTTCCGAGTCCACCTTTTCCTCCTCCTAGTCTACCTCCTCCCAATTCACCTCCTCTCAATCCACCTTCTCCTCCCAATCCACCTCAACCTCCTCCCCGTCCATCTTCTCCTCCCAGTCCACCTCCCACTCTGCCTCATCTTCCTGATCCACCACACCATACAGCTGTTTCAGGGCTCCAACCTGAATCCACCTTCGATTTGAAAACATTGCTGAATAACTGCAGCGGCCCCTTAAACAAATGTCATTATCCAAAGACAACAGACAACAACATACCTATGTAGAGATAAACATATGTGTGTTCTGTCTCCAAATCATTTTCAATAAATGTTGCCACAACACAGCTCAGCTATGTAGACGGTTTTTCAATCAATATTGCCTCAGGCTAGCAAATAAAGAAGGAAATCACTGGGAAATGCATTATTCATGAGCTCACCAGAGCGCTGATGACTGGCAGTGATAAAGGTCCCCGTGTGAGCAAGCAGCAGTCTGATAGCTCTGTATCAAGTCAATCTACCCAGCCTGCTTCCTGTTTTCGGGAGCAGGAGAGGGGAGATCAGTCCTCAACACTTTTCTCTTCCCTTTCATTTAGGAGAGTGGGCCCGTGCACCTGTGGGAACTGAACTTGTCTTTTGCTGAGGTCATGACACGTGGGGAACAGGATGGAGCAGAGGAAGGAGAGAACTGAATTCCCTCAGGGGACACCCTGATGAGAATTAATTAGAGGTCTGTCCTTGGTAGCTCTTCACCTCATACCTTCTAGTGAGCAAGAAAGAATCTCTCTCCACTTTTGAGAATTCTAATCGGCAAAGGGAAGTAATCACAGGACATTCATCCATATAGAGCCTTTTTCTGGTGGAAAGCCTGAGCATAGAGCAAGTTCGGGATGCCCTGCACCCCTTATCAATTAGCTTTCCTAGCAGAGACATGAATGAGGAAGGGGAGAGGGAGGGCTTCTGGGGCAGGGAATCCTGGGCTTACCCATGGATCCTCCACCGGCTCATTAAGTTACCTCGGACAAGGTGCTCCCCTGTACCTGGGCTTCTGAGTGCTCCCCTCCCGTTTTAAGTAAAAAGTCAGGAGCCCACAGCATCCAGAAAAGCGACCCAAATTTCTTTTGAAGTGTTGCATGAGCTAGAGTGGGAGAGAAAGGGAAAACTGAGGGGTAAGAAAAAATTGTCATGTTCAAATTAAATTTCAAATCATTAACAATACACGCTCATGCATAACTCATATGCACCTGAGAAATGCATTATGTAAATGAACCCAAAGTTCCAAAGAGCACCAGTTCACACACTACCACACATGCAGGGGTTGTGAAACCCAGGGCTGTACCCGTAGAAGACACGAAGATTACAGAAAGAATGGTACCATGGGGTCACTTCCAGCCCTGCTAAAACAGCTATGGCCATAAGTTGTTGAGCTTCCAGAGGAAGGTAAGAGCCAGTTGTCTGATGTTATTTGTTGCAGGCCCCCACTCCACTGTCTGCTGGACTCCAGGCGGGTTGTGTGGCTGGTATATCTGGATAGCAGGGCCCATGTCAGAGATCAAGGGATGCAGTTCCAAAGGAAGGGGGTTGGGCAGAACAAGGTCCAAGGGTCCAGTCCCCCACTTCCCAGGTGGAAGGGAGCCAAGGTAATATCATCACCTCTCAGTCCTGGCCAGACAGGGGTCTGTGAAAAGGAAAATAAAATCTCGGGACCCTAAACTCACTATGCCAAAGGGAAGAGTTAAACTTGGGAACTGGGTCATGCAAAAACTGCCTTCCTTGTGTTCCCAAACAGATAGCTGTAATCTCACATGCTACTTTATCGCATGTAAAGCGTAGATTCACTGAGCCAGCGAGGAATGCATAATCGACTTTCCCCCACTCCCTTCTTTTCAGGTGTAAAATGTAGATTCACTGAGCTGATCAGCACCTCACAGGAATGTAACCACTTGCCTCATTGCCTACTCACTCTCCTTTTTTGTTGTCTTTTTTCTTCCCCTTCCACTTGCTCTGTCCCCTTTATATATTGAGGTTCACAAAACCCTCTTTGGAAAAAGCACAGGACACAGACACCAACTACTGTGACTTGTGTTTCTTTTTCTCAGGCGTGTCCCTAACCTTGGCAAAATAAACCTCTAAATCCACTGAGATCTGCCTCCATCACTTTGTGGTTGACAGGTCACAGATGAGCGTGCAGGGTGAGTCAGAAGGTTCATGAGACAGAGCATGGGACAGCAATGCTCGGTCGTCATTCGGCCAAGAGACAGTGAATCTGCACAACCAACAAGGCCCCTCTTCCATAAGTCACACCACTTCTGTGAAAAGTCTGAGTTACAGATGTCTTTCTTTTTCATATTGCTTTGATATTTTCATATACACATAGGGCTTTGAATGAGGTTAACAAAGATTGACAAGTGGAAATCTTGTGGTTCCACTTCCCAAATAGAAAAAGATCATTGCTTATCATTGGCATAGTGGATACATTCAAGCATGTGTTCCTCAAGTGTGTGACAATTGTTCTTTTAATTGAGCTACCTTTCCTCCTGCAATCTTATTCATATGATGGCAGTTGCCTGAAGGAAAGGCTTGCAGCAATCTCAAGCACACAGAACTATGTTAATACCCATTGGGCAGCGACAAGAACAGCTGGGGATGAATACAATCGGCCCTCTGTATCTGGGATTCCACAACCATGGATTCAACCAACCTTGGATGGAAAATGTTTGAAACACAAAAAGGATGCTTGTGTCTGTACTAAACACGGACAGGCTTTTTCTCTTACAATTATTCTCTAAACACCACAGTATAACAACTAGTCACATGGCATTCACATTGTATTAGGTATTGTAAGTAACCTAGAGATGATTTAAAGTATACAGGAAGATGCGTGCAGGTTACATGCAAATATTACCCCATATTATATCAGGAACTTCAGCATCTGTGGATTTTGGTATCTGAAGGGGGTCTTGGAAGCAATCACCCACGGATACTAAGGGACAACTGTAACTTTCTTTTTTTTTTTTTGAGATGGAATCTCACTCTGTCACCCAGGCTGCAGTGCAGTGGTGTGATCTTAGCTCACTGCAACCTCCATCTCCCAGGTTCAAGAGATTCTCCTGCCTCCGCCTCCAAAGTAGCTGGGATTACAGGTGCCCACCATCACTTCCTGCTGATTTTTGTGTTTTTAGTGGAGACGGGGTTTCACCATGTAGGCCGGGCCAGTCTCTAACTCCTGACCTCAAGTGATCCACCGGCTTCGGCCTCCCAAAGTGTTGGGATTACAGGCGTGAGCCACTGCAGACAACTGTAACGTTCACAAAGCTTGTACACTGTACTCTTTGGAAGCCCTTTAGCTTCCTGCACAGATGCCACATCTAAAAGCCAGAGCCAGGCAGCGAGAAGGACTGGCAGCAGTAATACATTGCCAGCCGGCCAAGAAAGTGCTACGGAAGCAGTTCTGCTATCTGTTTTCTTTCTGGGTCATGAATTTGGGTCCATTTAGCATGGGGTGGAAAACAACAATAACACAACAACAATAAAAACCCTCTCCTTCCCTGAATCGTCCCAGGGTGTGTCCTATGTCACAAAAGAGCACCTTAAAAATCATCTGGTCTAGTGCTTCCCAAACTGGGGTTTCCCAGAACACTTTTTCTAAGAGAGGTTAATAGGTAGGCTGTTCTCACGGTTAAATTAGTTTGGGAAACATGCAGTCTACCTCCCATATATTCATAATGCTTATTGTAATATTGAAGATACTGAGAGGTATTGCAGTCAATTAACCTTCACTTTGATTTTTTCAGCATCTAACAAATTTATCCATTTTCTCCTTTTAGCACAGTCAATAAAATACTGTAGAATGAAGTTATTTTGGTTAAATCCATATCTGCTCCCGCCCATCCTCCCTCTTCCCCTAACTTTGTTGTTCCCACCCACACATAACTTTACCAAAATTTTTTTTTTTTTTGAGACAGAGTCTCACTCTGTCACCCAGGCTGGAGTGCAGTGGTGCAATCTCAGTTCACTGCAACCTCCGCCTCCCAGGTTCAAGCGATTCTCGTGGCTCAAAGTTGTGTGCGGTCATGCCCGGCTATTTTTTGTATTTTTAGTTGAGACAGGTTTTCTCCATGTTGGCCAGGCTGGTCTGGAACTCCTGGCCTCAAGTGATCCACCTGCCTCGGCCTCCCAAAGTGCTGGGATTACAGGCATGAGCTACCGCGCCTGGCCACTTTACCAAGATCTTAAAAAGTTTAGGCGAATGTCCAGATGAAGCTCTCAGAACACCTGCTTGAAGAAGGCAGCTTGTTGGATGTGGCTGATGGCTTTACTGACCCTAATCCTTCTCTCTTCCCCATGTCCACGCCCTTTACTGTATACTTTTGCAGTTCCTTTTCCCACACCTTTGACACTGAGTTTGGTCATGTGACTTGGTTTGACCAATAGAAATGACAGTGCACCAGTTCCCAGTCAGGTTCTCAAGGGGCCTCTGTGATTCCTCCTGCTGTCCTCCGCCTGTGCTATTGCTGTGAGAACATGCCCAGTTAGCCTGCTGAAGGATGAGAGACATGTGGAGCAGATCCGAGCCACGCCCATCACCCCAGACAAGGCCAGCCCAGATCAGCCATGGCCAGCCAACCACCAGACGCGTTGAGTGAGTCCAGCCAAGCCAAAGTGCCTAGCCAACTCCCCACTGACCCCAGAGGCGTGAGCAGTAAACCTTGATTGTTGCATGCCCTTCAGGTTTTGTGTTTGCTTTTCATGCATCATGCGGCATTATTGAGGCAGTAGATCACTGGGTAAGAGAAAGAACATGGGCTTTGCAGCTGGTTATGTTAGATTCAAATCCTAGCTCCACTCTCTGTCAGCTGTGTGTACCTGAGCAAGTGATGCAACTTCTCTTAGCTTTAGCTTCCTCATCTTGAACAAAGATAACCTTAGAGCATGATTATCAGGATTAACGGAGATCATGTAGGAAAGCTCCTAAAATAGTGCCTGGCACGTGGTAGGTAATCAGTGAATGTTACTTCTTTTGTGTGGAATCCTTTAACTGAGTGCACAGAATTTTTACCTAAGGCTAAGTACTTTGGCATCTTCATTCATAGATTTGAATGGTCTGGAGTCAGAGCTCACCAAGATTTCCCAGGCATAGGGGCCATCCTGATGTACACACTATTTAGCAGCCTGCTTATATCACTTAGTGATACCGCACAAACTTCTTTCCACAGTTCCAATTTCTGTATCAACAGTCTCCTACCTCATTTTCAAAGGCCACAAAGTAGCCCTTGGCGGAAACATGCTATCATTTATTTTACCATTTGGGATGTTTCCATCAATTTTTTTCCCAGCCAAATAAGGAGTAAATATATATGAAACACCAAGATAGATAAAACAATGTAACTGTAAAATAGCACGTAATGAACAAAAGAAGAGCAGAGAAAGACATTCAAAAGAATGTGTAATCAGTGAACATTTGTCTCTGCAACAATTCTCTTAAAGAGGCACAAGTAATTTATTTTTTTCAAACTGTCTATCCTGAATGAATAAAATAAAAGCTTTGTTGTCTAAAGGAAAAAGCATCAGTGTTCTGAGAAATTTTACTTCTGAGGTGCATCAAAGCCATATAATTCAAATTTGCCTGCAATCTCTTAAAAAAGAGAGGACAAAGATAAAGCCCAACATTTCCAGACGTCAAGGATTCGAATTCGCGAGATTGATGGTCATAATCCCCACCCCTCTGAACCTAGTTCTATTTCTGGTCCTCTCGATGTATAAGACAAACAACTGGGAACTTTCCACGCTGGGCTCCAGAGAAAAGTATCTGCCTTTCTCCAAAGCCCTATGTGAGCTCACAGTCCCCTCAAAATGCCATTTTCCCCATTTCAGGTCCTTCCAGTGGAAAAAGTGGGTAAGTCTGACACAGCCACTGCCAGCTAGTCCTCGGGGCAGCCATACACCATTAGCAGATCCCTCGCTCCTAAAGGAAGTCATGCCGGCCTACAGTGGAACTCCATTTCCAGTTATTACTGCTAGACAAATGGCTTTTAAATTACATCCTAAAAGGCTCACAGGCCATTTGTCTTTGTAAGTAATGGCACAGAAATGCTGCATTACTGCCATCCTCACCCTGCAAAGGGGGTCTGCCTTACTAGGGGGATTGTAGGAAGGTGGATAAGAAAGAGACCCAGGAGGCAGAAATACCCAAGGTAGGGGCAGAAACACCCAAGATTTGATGCAGAAAAGTTGCCAGCTTTTCTGGAGCTGATGGGAGCACGCACACTGGCAAGACCTCTGAGAAGAAAATAGAGGTGGCTTTTCCTGGAAGCTGCCTACATCAACAGAGAGAACTGGGGTGGAACTTCCTGGGTGGGAAAGGGGAGCAGGTATAGAGCAGCACCAGAGTGTTATCCAGAGATAAAGCTGGATGGTGGCCATGACCCAGCCTTGACCACCAGGCTAGAGAGTCTGGATTTCACCCTAAAAGATGGAAACTTATGAGCAATTGGACTTCCCAAGGAAGTGGCCAGATGCCTGGCCCATGGCCAGAGACTGGCTGTGACTCTGAGCTCAGCCCCTGGAGCTCCAGGACTCTCTCCTCACCTTCCTTGGGAGATCTTAAAAGCCAGGAGCTGCTACTTCTACGGGGCTAGGCGTTAGCTCTGTGACATGTTATGAATAGAAAGACATTAAAGGAAAAATTCCAGCATTCCTCCTCCATGCTCTAAAGCCTTTGTTTACCTTATTATTAGAGGCCTGTCAGTACTCCTGAGAGCTGACAGGTCTGGAGGGTGAAGGAAGCTGTCACCGCATGGTTTCCACGCTGACAGTCTGTCTGGACTCCGTTTCACCACACAGCCAGCCTCGAGGCACCAAGTCACGCTACATCTTTCAGATCTGTGGCCTCCCTAAGGCATAGTGGGACCAGAGCCCCCAGTCTGGAGCCCAGAGAGTCATAGAGAGGGGCCTCTAAGTCTGCCAAAAACAAAAAGCTGCCAACATTCAGGGATGAAGTTATCATCATCTTGCATTGCTGGCCGTGTCTCGCTCCCAGAAGGAGGTGCTGCTTGTGTGTAACCTTCCCCTTCTGCTTCCTGTAAGAGATCTGAAGTCCTGTCCTTCATGGAAACAGTCCTCAGCCTGGCTATTTAAGATACTCCATACACTAACTTCACATCCCTCAAACCAGAGTTGCTCACAGACATGCACATCATGGAGTGCGCAGCCATCGTTTACGTCCAGGAGAGTTGATTTTATAAAGATAAAGGGCTTGAAGAGAAACCACTATTTTGATATTAGAACAAACACAGATCTATTGAAAAATAGAATGCAAAAAGGTCATGCATTTTTTAAGATAACACAAATGCCCAAGGTGTCTGTCATGATGTGGAACTAAGCCCCTAGATTCCTTGGGTTTATGTTTCTGCTCTTCTCTGATATTAGAAATACTCTGGTGAAAAGTTTAAGAATCACTTTACTAACATGACAAGTTACAAAATAGTTCCCAGTATCCAGTTTCCAGCAAATCTACAGAATAGGGTCGGTGTTTCAAGTTCTTCATTTATAGCAATAATAAAAAGATATTTATTCACCAGGTCCATCCTAAGCACTTTATATGCATCACATTCTTTAAACATGGCTTCTGTCCAATGAAACAAGGATGTTTATTATCACTGTGCAAAGAGTATAAGTGACAAGCCCAAGGTCACGCAGCTACAAAGCAGTGGCACCAAGATTTAAACCCAGTAAATATGGCGCCAGACCCTTCTTTCTTAGCCGTCCATCTACACTGACTGTAAAATGAAAGGGGCTGGATCAAATGACTTCAAAACTCTCGAGCCATGTACTCCCTGGGCAAAGGCACATGGAATGTGATCAGATAAACAGAACTCCTTTCTTATAAAGACAAATCAGAGATGGTCAGGTCATCCTTAGTTCATTCTCCTCCAGTTTTTGGTAGATAAGAATTTTGAGCTGGGTTTCTGATTAGTGTCAAGTTGAGCAAAATTGAATCCAGGAAGGATTCCTGGAGAAAAACCCTTGGAGTGGGCTCAGAGAACATGGATCCCAGGGGCTTTCCAAAGCTTCCAGAGTGCTGTGGTAGGATGGGAGTGGCTTCTCAATAGCCACAACCACCTGGAAAGTGAATAGAGAAGATGACAATCAGGAGACAAACGTGATTTGAAAAAAGGCAGCACAACTAAGTAGTGGACCCAAGAGGAATGCCTGTCTCCCTGTCGGCTCCTTAGGGGCTCTTGGCAAAGTGGCTCCAAAGGACAGGGGCATCTGATACAGGGCATTTGATACCTGGAATAGACCCTGGCTAGTGAGGTTGTGCCAAAATTCTTGCCTGAACATATTGGATTATAAAATATGTGGATATGACAAGCATATCTGTTTCCCCTTCCAAAAGCTACTTCTTGGTCTAGGATGCTGGCCCCAAGACCCAGCCCTCTGGGACTATTTTTATACAAAGCACAATCAAGGCAGGTTTGAGCCACAGAATCAAGGCAGGGAGCAGACAACCATGCAGGGAATCCAGGGGAAGAGAGCAAAGGGGAGGGGGTGTGACACAAGATCACTTGGCCTCAGTAAAGAGACATGTGCACAGGAGGAGAGACCCCACAGATCCCACGGTCCCTCAGCTGCTGTTGCTGGTGGCAGGAGGGGAACGGAGCCACAGGCTGAGAACATGGGCCCTTTAAAAAAAATCATTGACTTGAAGCCTTTCTCCAGCCACTTCTACCAGAAGTCACCGAGCTTTAGCCACCTCCTCCCTGCAGAAGCACAGGATTCCCCAAAATGCACAACTCAAGATAATGCCCCCAAAGTACATGGCACCACTTGGCCAAGGATGTGATGCTGGGAAGATCTTTAAAATATTTAACAATTGGTATGACGTGGGCACCAACCCATAAGAACAGCATTCTCACCAAAGGCATCTTCATGTTGGGTCCCTTCTGCCTTTTCATTTTAACCTTCAGTGATGTCCTCCCATGCAGAGCAGGCAGTCACTCTTACGCCTATCTGCTGAGAATTTTCTCTGTCGGCAGCATCAGCCTCTCTGTCCCAAATCCCTCCTCGTATCTAACACACTTCCCCCAGTGCCTAAGCTTTCTCCTTCAAAGGCCACCAAAGCATGTGACCCAGGCATCCCTCATTCCAACCTCCCGTTGTCACTCGAGCTTTTTCCTTGAAGTGCCTGCTCCTTTCCTTTGCTGGCCACATCTCCCCATCCTGAGCTCTGCCTTTGACTTCCTGACTCCAGTAATACTTCCCATGTTGTTGGCATCTCTTCCAGGACACTGTAGTCTGGATTTGGCACTTGATGTTATGAAACTCAGCCCCTGACTAGACAGTGCCCTGTGGTGTTCTTTTGACTGCTTCATCCATCAGTTCTGCCACCCCACCGAGGCTGTGCACGCCTGAGGGCAGGGAGCAAGCTTCAGGTTCTTCTTGTAATCCCCATTGTGTCCCAGGCAGGACTGGGCACTCTGCAGGTGTTCAATGACCATGAAGCAACCAAGTTGACTCGTGCCTGGATACGATTCCTGGTATAGACACTGATACTCACCTCCATCTTGGGGCTTCGGTTTCCTCATCTGTAAAATTAAAGGTTGTACTGTGGTCCTCAACCCTAGCATCACATTAGAATCACCTGGAAACTTAGAAGCAGTCTCACTAGCCAGGGCCTATTCCAGGGATTCTTTTTGACAAGTGTTGGGTAGGACTGGACATCAGTTTTTGTCCTTTTTTTAAGTACTGCAGGTGATTCCAATGCACAGCCAAGACTGAGCACACCTGAATTAAATCATCAAACAGTCCCATGCAACTCTGTGATTCCATGAGCTGAACTGAATGGGATGGTGTTCCAAGTGAGCTCATTTGTAACAGAGGGTTTGGTTTCAAGGTCATCCTGATGCACAGGTTGGGGAGAGGCCACAGGTGGGGGCTGTGGCAATAGCCACTGTCAGAGCTCAAGCCTTGTCATCATCTGTGCCTGTGACAGGTCCTCCCCTGGGTGCTGCTCTTAGGCGATGCATATTTCCAAAGGACTCCCAGATGCTGAATGAAAGGGTTAAGGACTCCCCAAAACCCACCTCCCCCCAACATATTATGTGCTCTTTAAAATGTCAGGAAAAGTTCAGAATTGCTGTTGGCAGGTCGTGCCAAAATTCTTGCCTGAACATATTGGATTATAAAATATGTGGATATGACAAGCCTATCTGACAGATCAGTTTACCTTATACTAAGATGATGTTTAAAAGAAAGACATGGTTTTTTTCCCTGTTGTGGTTTAAGGGTTTTGTGGTTGTTTTGTGTGTTTCCTCAGTGTTTTCTTTCTTTTCTCCTTCTTAAAATATTGTCCTGACTTTGAGTTTTGACATCAATTAAAAACTCAGCTAATGAAAAAGCTAAACCCTTGGGAACACATTAAAGACCACTTAGGAAAGTTGATTCCGGCTCCTTTTTCAAAGCCAAATCTTAGACACCAAACTAAGTTCAATTACAGACGTTCATTATTCCTTGGGTATAAAAGTCTTTTTATAACCCTCCCTCATTGTAGGGCTGCATAAATGGAGCATATTCATATTTTCCCTCTCTCTCTTTCTCTTTCTTCCCTTTCCTTCTCTCTCTCCCTCCCTCCCTCTCTCTCTCACTTGTTGAAACAAGCACAGTAATTGCATTACCAGATTTCTAGGATTAACTTTTGGTTCAAGGAAAAGTGCTGAGTTTGAGCGTGTATCTGTAATTAGAGGTGGTAGGGTAATTAGCTGCACACAGCTAGACGGTCTGCAAGGGGCCTAGAAGACAGGTCTATTTGTTCTGTTTCATCACATGATTTAATCAAACAGTGAGTGCCTTGCTCACAGGCCTCACAAAACAAATATTTGCTGATTGATTGGTTCATCAAACAACTGGTCAATTCAGTTAAACCAGCTCTTTGCTGTCCAGTAAGCCAAGGAAAGAAAAATAATTGACCTAAGTCTTTCACTTTCCAAATGGCTGCTTTGCTGCCTTACAGAAACAACTGCAGAACAGCACATGGTGGAGGTGTTGAAATCCACTCCTTTCTTTCCCTTTAATGGCTTTCCAAAATAAATAGCATTAAAAATCAATAGGCTACAAAATGAAGCCCAAAATGAAAATCTACAAAAGATATTCATCACTTTGTCTACATGAAGGCCTGCTCTCAAGCAGCCTGCCTCCTTGGGTTCAAGGTATGTCACATCACTGAGAGATGTTTAAGTCAGTGTATCCCAGGAGCAGAGCTATGTTATCCTAGGGAGGCACCCTCTCCACCACCAGCTCTCCAGAAGCAAATGCGAAGATGCAGTCAAATCTCTGGGTATTTTGATGTGGACCTGATCACATCTAGATGCAAAGGAGACATGAAGGCCAGATGCTGGTGTCCTGCCAGCTTCCCAGAGAAACCTTTGCTTTCTGTGCCACCTGTTCATTAGCAGGCTGCAAAAAACTGGCTGGAAGCCCCACTCTGCCCATTGGTAGAAATCCCCAGTGGGGAGTGCCTATGAGCAAGGCATTCACTTTATTTTCCATTCTGGAGCCGCTGTTCAGAGGATATTTGTCTCTGTTGGGCCCAGAAGAAAGAAGTTCGCCCCATAGTAAGGCAGGGTTCCAGCTGTGCACAGAAATGCCTGCCCGGAGGCTCTCTGCTGAGGCTGAAGAATGGCAGGGAGGCAGCTTTCCATGAAAAGCAATTTAAAGTGACATGATGTTAAAGGCCGGCAGTCCAAAAAAAAAGGCAAACATCCCATCACCTGTGAGTGATCCCCTGAGCCCGGGGAACATTTTTTAAAAATCTGTCTCACAATCACCCAGTGTTTAACTTGAAGTCCATTTGTTAATTTAGTAAACACAGACATGATATTGACAATATGCCTCTAATCCAGGCAGGAAGGAAGTATCCGGTGTCAGGCAACTCCAGGCCCTCTCTAGTGCCCCTCACCTGAAGGGCTGCATGAGGCGAGACAGCTCAGACAGCAGGTGGAAGGGCAATGGGGTCAGGGGTTCCTTAACCCTCTGAGGGCCAGGACACTCTCTCTTGGGAGTCGGGGAGGAATCTGTAAAGATCCTCTCTTCCCATCACCCTTAGCAGTACAAAGTGGTTTACAATTTACAAAACACCCTTCATATTTTCTGACTAAAGCTTTCAGGCCTGTCCTATGAGACAAGTTGTGATAGTTAATTTCTTACGTCAATTTGGCTGTGCTATAGTGCCCAGATATTTGGTCAAACATCATTCTATATGTTTCTGTGAAAGTATTTTTTAGATGAGATTAACATTTAAATCAAGTTAAACGGGCTTTGAGGAAAGCAGATTACACTCCATAATGTGGGTGGGCTTCATCTAAACAGCTGAAGGCCTTAACAGAACAAAGAGTTGCCTCCCAGAGCAAGAAGCAATGCTGCCGGCAACCTGCCTTTGGACTCAGCCCATGACTTGCCCCTGAGTCTTCAGCCTCATGGTCTACCCTGCAGATTTTGGACTTGAACCTCTACAATCATGTGAGCCAATTATTTAAATCTTTTTCTCTGTCTTCCCTCTCTTGCTCTCTGTCTACTATCTCTCTCTCTCTCACACACACACACACACACACACACAAACACACCCCTTGTTGGTTCTGTTTCTCTGGAGAACTCTGAATAATACACTGAAAGTGTTTTCAGTCCTGTTTTATGACGAGGAAATGGGCTTAGTGAGACTAGGAACTAACATTGGGCTACTGTGGTATAAACTGGTCACTCAGAATCAGTGCACTGGGGCAGGTTCACACACGATGACTTCATCATTCAGAAATGTAAAAGTCCAGGGCTGGTAAAGAACCCAAGAGGACAGGGCTGTGGCCCCTGATGTCAGACAAATATATGTCTTGATCATGTCACTTCTGTTCTTGAAGATTTCTGGGGCTTGTGCCCCCACCTCCTACCCCCTTCACCCATTGCTTCTTTCCACGCTGCTGATTAAATCTACCTTCTTTCTTAATTTAACCCCATTTTTTTTGGTGGTGTCATCCACACAAGGAAACATGCCTGATTGTAAAGTTTCTGGCAGGAGGCTTCTCCTTTAAATGACAATTTTAAATAGCATATACACAATGCTCAGAGCACAGGAGATACACTGCATGAGCAGTCATGTTAGTGGCATCCTACGAATGTAACCTGGGCTTTGTAAACCATAAGGCATTCAACATTCAACAAAGGTAAGGAGTCAACATTATTGTTCTAGGTTGCAGGACTGAGTGAGGTTGAGAGAACACACAATTCTTAGGTATGAGAAGCAGCTCATAAAATCTTCAAGTCCAAGGTTGAGGCTACTCCATGCTGAAATTTTGTTTAAGTAAGATGGTATGAGACAAAAGACCCTGAACTTAAGTAAGTAAATTCTGAACCCCTGGTTCAATCACCTTTCTTTTCCAAACCCTCTCACTTCTTTATGGTAAAATAAATAGGGTCCCCTTCTTTATTAAGGAGAATTGTTTTGATTGCAAGAAACAGAAACCAACTCAAGCCAACTTCAACATGCAAGTGCAGTTCTCACAGAACCCAAGGGCCAGAACAGCTGAGCCTAAGGCAGGCTCTGGAATCAGAAAATGGAAGGCCATGGGGGAACCCAGGAGACTCTTTTTCTTCCCCCTCCAATGACTTCTTTCTTGTCTCTCTGTAAACTCAGTCCACAAAGTAGAAAGAAGCCTACTCACTGGTCCTAAATTTGTATTTTTCCTTTGTTCAAAAGTTTAGTCAAGAATGGAATCTTGGCTGGACGCAGGGGCTCATGCCTCTAATCCTAGCACTCTGGGAGGTTAAGGTGGGAGGATCACTTGAGTCCAGGAGTTTGAGACCAGCCTGGGCAACATCACACCAGGCTAATTTTTAAATTTATTGTAGAGATAGGGGTCTCTACAAAAAAATTAAAAATTAGCCTGGTGTGATGGCACATTTCTGTTGTCCCAGCTACTAGGGAGGCTGAGGTGGGAGGATCACTCAAGCCTGGGAGGTAGAGGTAAGTGTTATCAGTCCTGTTTTATGGATGAGGACACTTTTTTAAAAAGAGAAAAAAGAGGAGGAGGAAGAGGAGGAGGAGGAGAACACGAAATATAATCTCTTGTTCCTTATTCCAGATTTTAGGCTAAGAAATTCTGATGGCCAACGTTTAAGCTAGATGTCCACTCCTCGTCCAGTTAGCTGGTGGGGGATGGTATCAGTTCCACCACCATGGCTGGCAGACGCCTATTCTCATGACTCATGGCTGTAGAATGTGGACCATGGCCCCCAAATTGGCAACCATACCAGCATTTCTCAGACCTGTCTCTGCATCAGAATCATCTGGAAAACTTGGGGAAAAAAATACAGATTCCCTAAGCCTATCTGGCACAGAGACCTTGGACTAGTGGCTGCAAGCAGTCTTGTCTACTTTTCCTAGAACATTCCAGGAATAGAAGAGAATAATCAGTACATTTAGCAGTACTGATTAGTACAGTCCTCCCTACTCTTCCATCCCTACTTCCTCTTACCCCATCCAAATGATTCTATGCAACTGTTTGAAGACCTGTTTTGGGGAACCACTGTAAAATATCATCAGACAATGCAGAATAAGAGATGCAGAATAATAAGCTAATGACCTTGTACACACTTTTCACTGTGTATCAAGAGCTTTCCCACTTACCAAGTTCTTCCTGCCCAGCTGGGCATTGTGCTAGGCTGTTTAATACGTATCACCTCATTGCATCCTCACAACCCCATAAGGTACATGCTTTTCATTTTCATTTGACAGACAAAGAAAACAAAGCTCAGAGACGTTAAGTGACTTGCGCAAGCCTTCTTAGTAAGCGACAAAACCACTTACTTATATATCTGTCTCCTTTGGTTGACCCTTTAGTGCCATGAGGTCATGGGTCAGAGGTGCCTGCTTTTGCCCATCCCAGGATCCCCAACACTAAGCGTGATGCCTGACATAGGAGAGGTGCTCAATAATGTCTGTGGGTGAATGTCAAGTAAATGAATGGCAGCCTGATGGTCTTTAGGCTGAGCCACTCCGCGTATCCCAGGGAGAGAGCTTCCCAACCAGCTGGCTGTGACACCTTCCCAAGTCCTGTGGGCTTCTCGGCGGACTGAGCTCCATATCCTTTCAGCGGCTGGGGCAGCCAGAGCCCTCAGACCTGGAACGTCCTCTGGCTGTTAGCACCTCATCTACTTTCCCTAGAATGTCAAACTATTATGTTCTGCGTGTGTTATGTTTTGTGAAAGTGGGAAGTATAGCACAATCTCATTTAAAGAGTAAAGATTCGTCCTGCTCATCAAAGATTTGTAAGGTGGGCTGTACCCCCAACACAGCTCTTTTTGGTTATCCAAAAGCCATTCTGAGATCTTCAGAAAATTGTTCTGCATTCCCCATGACGGGAGAGTAACTGAATGACAGTCCTTCTGAGCCAGCAGCCACCTCCCTTGCAGCTAGAGCACCCCAAGGCTTCCTTCACCTGGTCCAGACTTAAACTCAGACCCTAGTGGCAGGGTGCGGACAGGGACAGAGATGTTGACCGAGGCCAAGGTTGACAGTATCTGGCATTCCTCATATGAAACCCAGAATCTCTAAGGCCGATGCCAGGACGCCAAAATGCCTTTCCTGCCAGGGGATTATGTTCATTTGCACAGGATCTGAGATAGAAATTCCAAAGAGATGATACTGGAAACCAAAGGCCTATATCATATTAATAATACAGACAGGAAGGCTCCCCCAGCAGCTGGTAGCAAACATCTATTAAATAAAGAAAGGGACCTGGCCCCAGCCCAAAGCCCAGCAATCCAGCCAGGTCATTTCAGATTACAAATAGAAACAATTAAACCATATTATAGACCTTGTCTCTTGTTGGCTATTAGGTTTCTGCACTTACATGCTAATTTCTGAGTCAAGGAATCAGAGATCTCCCCAGATTAGGTATCTACCACCGCTCAGCAGGCTACAAAAGTCAAGCTGTATTTGCACTTCACTTGGATCCTCTGTGTCCACGACGGCTGCAGAGAGAGCTGGAAGCCAAAGTCAGCTGAGAGCTGCGTTACAAGGCATCAGCTCTGCCTTCAGAGGGCTTGGACCAGAGGCCTGGCTTGGCCACTCACCAGCTGAGTGACTGTGGGAGAGGCAGAACCCACATTTGAACACTTCTAACTTCAGTCTGCGCAAGCACCCGAGCCCTCACCTTCTCAAAACCCCAATTCTAGTTCCTACCACTTCTTCAGCCGGAGAGCAGCTAGCTGGCTAAGCTGATGTCAAGAGTGGACAATGACATCTTTAAATAGTATGGGTTCAAATGTAGATGAATAAAACTTCAGCCTTCTTATCTATGAAACGAAAATATAATAACCCCTGCCTGGATTCTGGACTATCTGGGTTCATATTCTTGCTCAGGTCACTAGTTGTATAACTTTAATTACTTAAATTCTTGTGGTCTCAATTTCCTCATCCATAAAATGGGAACTGCCTTCTAGAAAAAGGTAATGAGATTGTTGTATTTCTTCTTCTGCAAACCTCTAATTCTTGTCCTTTGTCCATTTTTCTTTTGGGACATACCTTTTATTGATTTTTAAAGCTCTTTCTATGTGATAAACTTTAACCTTCATAGATGCCATATTTTTTTCTTAGTTTGTCATTTGTTTATGGTATATAAAATGCTTAGCATGGTGACTAACACATTGGCAGTAATTTTGTTATTGAGAAGTGGTTTTTAAGTGGGAAAGTTCCATACAAAAAATGAGCCATCATTATTTTAATATTACCAACAAGAATACGGCCGGACCCAAAGAAAAGGAGCTCCACCTTCCTGGAAAACTGAAAGAAATGAGAACTGTCTGGAAGGAGACAGTGGTGTGAAGACAGACAAGGCTGGCTGTGGCTTTTCCAGAGAGACCTTGAAAATGAAGGACTCTCCTTGAACAAGAATATATCCCACCCCATCTATGTCGCCGTCCCTCCCTCCCTTCCTCTCTTCCACACACACACACACACACTCTCGAGAGAGCAATAGAAAGGCTCACATTCAAGACTATTCTATATCACACTGTTGGAGAAAACCTAACAGAACAGCTTCCCTAAAGAGTCGGCACCGGCTATCATAGAAACCAGTCTACGAAAGGGCAGATACATTTGTGTGAACAAAGGTCATGACTGGTTATTAAAAGGAGGCCTCTGAAAACAAGAGGAATATGTTAACATGAGCGCCTATACTTTTACATCCACTCTCTCACTTGATCCTCAAAGCAGACCCTCAGAGGTGTCCAGGACAGATTTCCCAGGCCATTTCACAGAAGCTGAAACTGAGGCTCAGGAGTTCCACATTTAGTTGGTAAATGACAGAACCAGGACTAGGATCTGATTCTCTTGATTCCTATTCAAAGTTATTCATTCAACAAATATTTATTGAGACCCTACCTTGCTCCTGGCTCTGCATTGTGGGTTTGTTCTAACTCCTGGTTACAGATGTTTCCAGGATTGCTGAAGCCACTCCATGCTGGCCGCGTGCACTCTGGGATTCCCACAATCAGAGTCTCAGGCTGGACGGACTTTTCGAAAGGACCCTGGCTAGATAGCACGTCTCAAGGTTTCGCAAATGTTCCTCCATCATAGGCCTAAGAAAACAGAACTTGTTCTGTGGGCAACTCTTTGCCAAACAGCTGGACGATGGCACCTCTAATAACGATGGAGCTTGTGCACCAAGCAGAATCTTCCAGTTTATTTGATAGCATAAGAGGTTTACGAGCCTAGGAAATACCTTTGGTTTCACTGCCCCAGTTGAAATCCCTTTTACGTTTTAGTTCCTGCTAAATCAGCAAGACGAACATGGCTTGGGTTAGGGCTGACGGGGAAGAAGATACCTCTGGTCCCTAAACCCAGTTCACTGCCAAGCCCAAACAGCCCCCAGTGGGCTCCATCTCATTTCACTCCTACAGTACACAACCTGCCCCCGCCTCCCCCGACAACCACCACCACCACCACCAGGAGGGATCTGCACAGTGGTGAAGCCACGGAGACCCAAAGCACGCCCAGAACCCAGCCTCCACACGAGGCTTACAGCTCTCTCGCCCCGCTCCCTCCTCCCCGGCATCCTCTCCCTGGAGAACCTCTCTCCTTTCAGGAAAGGCGAATCAGCCAGCGGCCAGAGCCGTGGTAATGGAGCTCAGACACGGGATCGGGTGTCTGGAGGGCCCCACTATAAACTGCGGGTCACATCCTTCAACTTGATTCCTCGCTCCATCTTACACTTTGTGTGTTTCTGGGGGACGCGGCGGCTGATGGTGAGAGAGACAAGTCCCTGGCATGGGGCTGTGGAATGAGGGATTGTTCTAAAATGGAAAAATTACTTCAGGTCCAAAGTGGAGCGACTGATTTCAGACCGTGGAGGAGAGGTGAGGGAGTGCCACCCTGGGGGGCTCTATCACAAGTCTCCATTTCCCCCTGTGAGCCCCAGGAAGAGGACCCAGCCCTTCTCTCTGCTCGTGCTCCAGGAAGCCTCCTCAGAACTGTGTCTGGAGGTTCTGGGCTCCCTGTTTTCTCAAGTATAACATGGAAATCTCTGAGAAAATGAGATAACATATCAGTGCACGTCAGTCTTGGGAGGAAGAATCCTTGAAATGTGCAGGAAGGTTATTTTCCATTCTGGTGACCACGTAACTGCAGAGAAAATGCTGCCTTTCCTTCCCTAGCAGTGACGATGTTGAATGGGAATGATGGTGGCACCTGAGGACTTTTCACCAACGACGCATATGGTGGGTATCTAAGGAGACAAAGTCCCCCACAGAGCTGCCATAAACCTCACTCCTGTTTTCGTGGGAGGAGTTGGAGGGGCCTCTCACCCTAACCCAGGGCCCCTGGTCCCTGGACACCAGGAAAAAAGGGGCAAGCCTGCCCAGGCCCACCCACCTCCATCTGCTCACACCCTCAGGAATCAGAGAGGAGGCCCATTCTCCTAGCAGAGGCCTCCCCTCTAGGGCTGCTCTGTGCCCCAACGCACCATTTGTGGGTCACACTTGAGTCTGGGCTTTTCGGTTGAACAAATCTCTCTCCCCCACAACAGTCGTGGCCTGACAGGCTGATGGTGGGACTGCTGCACGACAATATTTAGACACACTGCTAACTATTTCCAGCTGCCTGGAGGACCCCGGTACTAGATGAGGTGAGACTCTTCAAGGTTTCACTGCAGAGGCGAGGACAGCCAGAGGGCATTCCCTAAACTTTTTTCTACTGTCCTCCATTTGATGAAAGACTTGTGGTTAAACCTTTATCTTCCATAAACATTTAAAATGTGGTTACCTTGATTTCCATGTCTCATTTTCGTTTTATTAAAAAAATGGGTTCCTTGCAGTAAAACATCTGATACTGTGGATGTTCTGCAGAAAACAGATGTTTCTCCATGTAATAGACGTCGGCAGGCCTCTGTGCGCCCACCAGGCCTCACTAGCACTCACACACACGCATGCACACGTGTGTCTCATGAAAGGCCAGGGCAGGGCTGGCCCTGTGAGGAACGCTGAGGCTGAACAGCCACTAGGCCATAGGGCTTGAGTCCCTGTGGACTCAAGCCATGAGACCTTTGGGCCAAGAGGCCAGAGACCACGCAAATGCACCACCGAGAGAGGTAACGAGGCCTGGAACCGTAATTGGGGGGTTTCATCACTTCTGAGGTCTCACTATAAACACTTCCCTCCATAGTTCCCTGTTTTCACTCTCTAGGGCCTCCTCACACTCTGCCCGCAGCGGGGCTAAGGGCAGAGTTAAAACCCAGCAGGTACAATCTTTCTCGAGGGTGCACAGAAACACCTGAGGACCCTGCCAGGTCAGCCTTTGGCAAAGCTATAGGTAGTCCTTTTTTCCATCTTCCTTCTCCTCTTTCCACATCCCAGTCCTAGGCTGAAGGGAGGCCCATAGGGGCCCAGGGCCTTAGGAAAAGCCACTGTTTTTGCCTCCTCCACCCAGGACACACACGCACCTTTGCCAACCTTATGACTCAACCACTGGGACAGCCTGGCTCACTCATTTTCCCAGGAAGTTTGCTTCCCATCCCTCCTGGGGATTCCGCTGGAGCTACCTGAGACACCTGAGGCCTGCTCCCTGCCCAGAGACATTTGGATTTTTGTGGAGACCCTGAAAAATGAAGAGTTATCAAGACCCAAAAGAATTAATCCCTGGCTGTTGAATGCCTCCAGTGCTAAGGAAGCTGTTTCTGGGCAGGAGGGGACTCTGCCATGCTGAAGATGGCCCCTGGCCACTCACACTGCCCAGCCCAGAGGGCAGCATCACAAAACACACCCTGCCTCAGGATAGCCAGGTACCCTCTCAGCCTGCCTCCCTCTGTTCCGGGAACCCAGAAGCACCATTTCCCCTGTCGATACTTCAGGATCACTTGAGGAGGGCTGGCTTTTGCTCAAAGTCCTGTAGTTCCTACAAGCTGAAACTTAGAGGCAGCAATTTTGTGAAATTATTTCCCTAGAATTATCTTTATTCATGTCCATTTCACCTCATTCCAAAAAGGATTTGTGAAGCTTTTAGAAATACAAATAACGTTTTTTGTAAAAGGTGGTATTATAGCAAATGACTGAAAAACGAGGGGAGAAACATAAGATGAATTTCAGTGGCTGCAGAACATTTTTGCTAGGAGGAACTGCAAATTTGGCTCTGGGCTTCCCAGTTGCTACAGCAGAGAGGATATATGATTAGTTACAAGAATCACAGTGTCACTAAGGTAAAAGCAAACCGTCACTCACAAGAATCACAGATATTCCTGGGAGTGAGACTTAAAGCAAATTCTCACATGGGCTCACAAAGGGAGTGTTCAGGTATGTAGTAAACCATTTGTTTTCATCTTGAAAAACAAAATAAACTTTAAAAACTGGATAAATCTTTTCCAAATTTAATTTCATAAAAAATGTAAAGAAATTTCAATAGACAGAAAAATTGTTCTGGCTGCAGGGGACAAGGGCTCCATGCTATGTTCAGGATGCCAAAGTATCCCATAACCTCACTCCCGAAACAGCTCAGTCAGACTGACTTGGTACTGCATGAGTCACTGTTTCCAAACCTGCGAGAGGGTGTAAGTCCCCTGGAGGGCTTGTTAAGCACAGGGAGCCCAAGGCCCCACGGCAAACTGACTGCATCAGAATCTTGGAGAGGGGGAACGGGCATGGTCTGTAGCCCCAGGTGACCCAAGGCCAGCTTTGGCAAACCTGCCACAGACAAACATCTCAATCGTCTGGCTGAACTAGATGGTAAAAACCCATTGAAATTACCAAACTCTGTCCTGGGTGTGTGGCATTCATCATAAGGTAGGGCCCCTGAGGAGGTCTCTGCCAAGAGAAACACTCTGGGAAAGACAGCATTGAGTAAGCTCTGAGGGCCATGGGCGGGCTGCAGTGATTCGGGAGAGGGGTAGAGAATTTTCCTGCCCCCTCCCTGGCAGCATCTCCCCCGCCTCCACACCAGCTACCCCTTCCCCTCCTGCCCTCCCTGTTCCCAAGGCGAAGCAGCTCTTGCTGTCCTTTCCTCTGAAACATGCAAATACCACCAGGCAGGGTGAGTAACAGGTCTGCCCCTCCATGTGGCAGATGTGGGAGAAAGACAACACCTTGGGTGAACTGACTGCTCTGGGCGTTGCTCTGTCTCCTTAGTCTAGCTCACCCCTCACACACAAGCCAGGGCAGGCTTCTGCAAACCCTATGGTCATCAGGTTACTTCCAGTTTGAAAAGTCCTTCAATGACTTCCCAGTGGCCATGACTTTTGTCTAATCATATCATGGTTAAGAGCTTGGGCTCTGGAACCACACGTGGGTTCAGACCCTGGTGTTCCCACTTAGGCTCTGTGTGCCCTTGGCAAGTTTTTAACCTATTCAGAGCCCTAATTTCCTCATCTATAAAATAATGATTCTGCCTATCCACTAGGCAGAATATGCTAGGTTTTGCTGCAATAACAAACAACCCTGAAATCTCAGTGGATTACAACAACAAAGTTGCATTTCTTATTCAAGTAAAGTTGGCTGGAGGTTGAGGGATCTCCCCAAGGCTATTGTCCTCTACATGGAAGCTCAGAGATCCAGGCTGTCTCAACTATGTGTCACCCCTGTCTACCATGTGCTTCCAGGATACTGGAGGGCCTCGTGGAGACTATTAAGTGCTTCAGCCTAAAAAAGATGTCCATCACTCCCATTCACCAGTCACTGGTCAAGTTTCTCAAATGGTCTTGCCTCCAACAAGGATGTGGGAAAGAGAAATTATCCTGTGTCTAGAAGAGTCCCAGATATAAGGGAGCACTGAACACAGGTGATAATGTTTAATGTTTAATGGGGTGCTGGTGGTAATGAAAGGAAATAATCCATGTAAGCCTTCAGCACGGTTTCTGCCATATAGGAAAGGTTTAAAAAATTTTCATCTTTTGCCTCCTCTGCCATTCTGGTTCTGAACAGTGTTCTGAAAAGCAGTTGCCCATTTCCTAGCTTGTGATTTGACCCTCCAGGCTCGGGTCTTTGTAGCCTCTCATTTCCCTTGAGCCCAGTGTTCATCATGAGATTTGCATCAGCCATTGTGAGAACCCTTGATGCTACAGTGGCAAGAGGCCAAGGTTGATTTCTCATCTAATATTCAATCACGCACACTACACACACTTACATGTGTTAAAGAGTGCGTATTCCAGAGGTCATGAATTAATGTTTCATCAGCGCTGTCATCATCAGTGAATAAGCTGATCCAAGGTCCAGGAACAGGAGGGGCCACTAAATAGAGGAGAGAGCATTCCTGGGAAAGGAGTGAAGACTCGCCAGAGTCCACATCTGTAAAATGGGGCTGATGCTCCTGCCAAGCTCACTGAGTTGTTGGTAAGACTTGACAAGAGCAGGAAGCCTGGTCCCCTATGACATGCCATCAAATGCAGAGCAGTATTTCTCTGGCAGGTGCCAAATATTATGGAATTTTTCCTGGAGAAAATGCATCAGCAGAATCCTTTGAAGATCTCCAGTGCTTCTCTTCTGTCCCTAGGGGTTTCTCTCCTCAGAGGTCTCTGCTTCCACCCTCACAATCTAATTCTTCTCCCCTGATAACTGACTCACCATACAATTGCATAGCTCAGTATCTCTTCTTTGCAGCCTCACTGGGAGGGGGCGGTCAGATTGCACTGGAGAGAGTGTGCAGCTTTTCCAGAGCTTTGCCCAGTACAGCCCCAAGCTCTGGGGAACAGCTTACTGCTACCCTAATAATAACAAGGCTCACACCACCATTACACAACTTTAATACCAGCTTTTATGCGGGCATCTGGGGATGTGTGTGCTTATGAGCAATTTGTAATGAGAAAAAGACCGACCTGCAGCAGGCTGGGAGGGGAGGGACCCAGAGCACCAGGAAAGACAGGCTCCATCACAGGGGCCGCCCCAGGCTCTGGGGACAGGACTGCTGCCCTGGGATGTTTAAGGCACTATTTGATCTCTTGTTAAGTCCCACATGGCTTCAATTTCCATGTGCTCTGAAAGAGAATGGAATTAGAGTCAACAGATCCATCATGCCTCTCATAAAGATGTGCTCTTACTCAAGAAGAAGAAAAAGAAGAAATGAAAACTCACGTTCACGGAAGACCTACTATGTGCCAGGACCATGTCAAGAGCTTTATTTTCATGCATTATTTTATATGAGCCTCACAATAACCCACTGGGGTAGATTTGTTGCTGTTTTTTGTGGTAGACTAAAAAAAAATAGCCACAATATTTTGCACCTCATCCCATCGAGAAGTAGAGTCTGTTCCCCCATCCGCTCAATTCTGTATTGACCATCCTGCTTTGGCCAGTGGGGCATTAGCAAACACAATGTAAGGGGCTTGAAAAGTGCTTTTGCATCAAGGCTTTCCCTCTCTCAGCTTTGAACCCTTTTGCCACTCTGTGAACAAGCACAGGCTAGCTTCCCGGGGATGAGAGACCATGTGGAGCAAGGCGCCCACCTCTCCAGCCATCCCAGCTGAGGCCACAGGCATAGGAGTGAGGCTGTTCTTGACCATCCAGCCCCAGCTGAGGTTACCCACACCTGAAGAACTTCCCAGCCAACTTACATAATCATGAGAAATATTCAGTGCTTGTTATCTTAAGCCACTATGTTTTCAGAAATTTGTTATTCAGCAAAAGCTATCTGATACATCCCTTTTTTATAGATGAAGAGCCCAAGGCTCCGAAAGCTCAAGTCATTTTGCCAAGAATCCTCAAATAAAATTGGCAGAGCAAGGATTTGATCCCCAGGCTTATATTTAGTGCCCTGAATTACCTGCTTTCCCCTGCAACTTGCTAGCACGTAGAGAGAGATGCCTGAGAGAAAATTTCCTTAAGAAACGCTAACTCCCCCATAGAGCCGTCATCACCCATTCCATTTTGAGGAAAGCTGGAAACTCTCCAGTCCTCTAGAGAATTTCTGCTTGGATAGGCACAGCACAGACCTGAAAGTGTTTCTCTAGATGGCATTTTCGTAAGTGGAAGCTCACTTTTCCATTGCCTCTTGTTAATGAACTGCTGCATCCTTACCTCTGAAGATTCTTCTAAGGGCACAGGCAACTGCTGCTGGGGTCTTGGTCCCTCTGGCTAAGAGACCCTCAGCACTGGTCAGGTGATCAATGTACCTTCAAGTACAACTGGAAATCTCCTTGGTCAGCAATTGTACTAAGAAGAATCACTTTGGATGTGTGAATTTAAACTACCTTTTTTTTTTTTTCACCCGGGCTGGAGTGCAGTGGCATGATAGCTTACTGTAACCTTGAATTCCTGGGCTCAGGCGATCCTCCCCTCCCTCCTCAGTCTCCCAAGTAGCTGGGAATACAGGCACTTGCCACCACACCAGGTTAATTTTAAATTTTTTGTAGAGATGGCATCTCACTATGTTGCCCAGGAAGCAACCCTCCTGCCTCAGCCTCCCAAAGGGCTGGAATTACAAGCATGAGCTACCAAACCCGGCTGAAACTACCTTCTTATCCTGACATTATATTTCAAGAAGGGCCTGCCTGAATATTGTCATACCCGCCTCAGGGAGGCCTAGTGACAGTTTCATGTCCCAGCAATCAGTTCATGAGAACAAATCTCCCTGGCAAAGCCCTGTGGTGCTTGCTGGTATACTCTCAGGCCAGTCTATTCCCATGACATAGGCAAAAGGGAGCTTATGAGTTCTGGGTCCTGGACACAGGGTAGCCCTCTGTCTTGATGCAGGATTGGCTTTAAGCGGACTTTTGAAATAATCACTGTTATATTCTAGCACTTCTGCGCTCTTTTTCAGGCCCCTGGCTTCTCTGCTTCTCCATTTTGGAATGAACCCTATCCTTCCACTCACCTCCCCTGCCACCAAAGCACTCCATGCTTTAGAATTATTTCTCCTCTCCCTTCTATCTCCCTTGACTCTTCTGCTCTCCTTACCACCTAGATGGGCTGGACCTACATAGTGGCTTTCCTTTCGCTGTCCTCAGTTTGTTTCTTTTTTTTCTTTTTCTTTTGTTTTTGTTTTTGTTTTTGTTTTAGACAGAGTCTTGTGCTATCACCCAGGCTAGAATGCAGTGGCACGATCTCAGCTCACTGCAACCTCCACTTCCTGGGTTCAAGCAAGTCTCATGTTTCAGCCTCCCAAGTAGCTGGGATTACAGGTGTGCACAACCACACCTGGCTAATTTTTTTTTATTTTTAGTGAAGGCAGGGTTTCACCATGTTGGCCAGGCTGGTCTTGAACTCCTGGCTTCAAGTGATCTGCCCACCTCATCCTCCCAAGGTTCTGGGATTACAGGCATGAGCCACTGCACTTGGCCAGTTTGTTTCATTTTAACTACTTTTCATCCTCCATTTAGAATCGATGCATTACTTAGAAGCACCAAATATTTTTCACCTCTCTGTCACCCGGAAATGACAGCAGTGAGTCTGCTGGTAGCAGCCCTGACTCATCCATCAAAAATATTAAATTGGATTTTAATCACATCTGGAATTTCAGATATAAACTTTCACACATATGGTGAGGAGGGAGTTTGTACTTCAGTATCCTTCCGTTCTTAAAGGTAAAAATCTGAGTCTGTTTAAGAATAAAATACCTAAGAAGAAAGAAATCTTCTGATATGATTTATGGGATACCATATGGAACCTGGAATTTATTCTTGAAAGCAATTGTGTGCAAAGAAATTAGCAGATACTAATTGCTTTTGGGAGAAAATTGCCTCTCATTACAAACTATTGGATTTTTAAAAATGAGCTCCTTCCCAGCAGTGTGAACATCTGGATTCCCAGGGGCTATGGGCAATGCCAGAGCCCCCTTTCAAGCCCAAGACAGAAGAGAGGTATTGCAGACTGCTGAGGAGATTTGCATGAGGAAGGTGGCAGGATGTGGACGTGTCAAATGCTGCTTTTTGGCTCACAAGGTCAATCAGTATGGGGCCATCAGAAGCACTCGACTGTTTAAAATCTCAGCTTCAATGTTGAACTCAGCTTGGCATTCACGGCTCTCTAAAATCTGGGCCTTGCCAGCTCCTTTTCCCTCTACCTTTTCTCTCCCTCTATCCCCCAAAACCTATGCCCAGTCCACAAAGACCTCCTCCACCCTGGAACAATGGTCTCCCCTTTCTTCATGAATCCAAACCCCTAGCCTTCAAGGCCCATCGCAAAGCAACTTCCTCCCCACTGGAGGCCCTGGAGCAGGCCAGGCCTCTCCCCAGTACCACCGTGGAAAAGCTGTGCTCCAGCCTGCCTCCTGCCGACTCAACTTCTAACAGAGGGGAGAAGGCAAGGCTGGAAGTCTCCTACCCACAAGGTCCTTCTCAGGGCTCATGCGCCAGATCCTTACAGTTCAGACCCCTTTCCTCCCACACAGTGCCATGTTTTGGGGTGAACAGTCAGGCAACTTTGTGCCCCAATCTATAATGATCAATAAACTGAGCAATACTGTATCAAGATGAGAAAACTGCATTCCCAGAACTGCCCCCAGGGCTCTTTGGCTGGAAGGAATACTTTGATAGTAGAAGGGAGTGAGGCAGGACCCTCCAGGGGTCATTCTCAAGTAACAGTAGAGGGTCTCTAAACTGCACTTAAGGGCCCAGTTAACTCCATGGCCTGGGGCTCACTGACCAGCTTTCTGGTTCATAGATGATGCCTTCCCATTATTTCCTCCCATGGTGGAAGGCCTGAACAAGCTCCCTTGGGCCTTTCCAGTGGGTTCTTTTTAACTGTATGCTCCCTTTTTATGTTGAGGAAAGGTGGAGTGCTGCATGGGGAGGGCACACAGAAGGAGGACCTTCCATTGTAGCTGCAGCTTCTCCTCTGGTCTTGAGCAATTAATTCTGCTCTGGCTCCAGCTTATGTTCCCTTCTCAGTGAGCCTTGGAAATCCCCAGTTTATGTGTGATTTGACACACACTTTTGTTTTTAGTTGGCTGTTTCACTGAAGATGGAAGGCCACTTACTGTGTATATTGTGGGGAGCAATGGTTTTCCCAAACTGTTTTAGCCATGGAACTCTTTCTTCAAATTGAAATCTCATGTGGAAGCCAAATACTTAAAACCTCAGGCCCACGGAATAGGCCCCTTCCTTTTTGATCCCTTAGGGTTTTCTCTTTAGCTCCATCTCGGAATGAAAGTGATGAGCTCTGTCTTACTGTTTCTGCAAACAGACACTCCACATGACCTGCTAGATGAGAGAGGGTCCTCCACACACATGCCATGGAAAAATGAGCTGCCGCCAACCCATGCTGGAACGCCCTCACCTACTTTCCGCTGGCTGACTCCACACTGACTCTTTTGAAAATTTAAAGCTGTTCTTTTTCCTGATGAAATCAGGTAATTGTTCCAAAATTCTAAAACAATAGGTAATGCAGCAGGTGTTGGGGTGGCAATTCGCACAATTTTGAGCACCATGTTTTGTACTTGGCTTCTCTGCATTGCACAAGGGACTATACCTCTCTGCCTAGGCCTTCAGAAAAAGAGTGAAAAGAATGCTTTCTTGGCCAAGCATGGTCGCTCACACCTGTAATCCTAGCACTTTGGGAGGCCAAGGCAGGTAGATCACTTGAGCCAGGAGCTCAAGACCAGTCTGGGCAACATAGCAAAACCCCATCTCTATAAAAATAAATAAACAAGTAAATACATAAATAAAGTTAAAAAACGCATTCTCATTTGCTAACTCTCCCCTTCTCCCCTCACTTCCCTTTAACCCTTTCATCCCTGGTGGGGTGGGGACCCTAACCATCTCCACACTTTCCCCTGGAGGCTCTCCCTCTCTTCACTGAAGTATCAATTCCTAACTCCTGAGGTCCCTTTCCATCCCTGGCAAATGGGATAGACTCCAGCAGCCTCCTGTGAACATCCTGGGGCCTCTTTCCAGCCTGGCATCTGATGCTTTAGGAAGTGAGGGAGGGTACACCCTGGTCTCAAGGTCTTTGGACATCTTGAGGGCAGGGAGAGAGAGAAGTGTCCCTTTCTGAATGCAGTTGTCTTTTTCTCAACCTTAACTCACCATCATGAGAATCTATCCCTTAAAACAACAATAACAGAATTCCTTGGCTGGTCATCAGAAGAGATTTATATTCTTCCCTTAACATGGCTTTGACCTATCTGATACTGGGGGAAATGAGTAACCCTTGTTCATGAATGGTACTATGTCCAAATCTCTTCTCTATAATACTGTCTAGGATTCTTCCTTGGTCAGTGATACGGTTTGGCTGTATCTCCACCCAAATCTCAACTTGAATTGTATCTCCCAAATTCCCACGTGCTGTGGGAGGGACCCAGGGGAGGTAATTGAATCATGGGGGCTGGTCTTTCCTGTGCTATTCTCGTAATAGTGAATAAATTTCATGAGACCTGATGGGTTTATCAAGCGTTTCCAGTTTTGCTTCTCCCTAATTTTTCTTTTGTCGCTGCCAAGTAAGAAGTGCCTTTCACCTCCTCCCATAATTCTGAGGCCTCCCCAGCCATGTGGAACTGTTAAGTCCAAATAAATCTCTTTTTCTTCCCAGTTTCAGGTATGTCTTTATCAGCAGCACAAAAATGGACTAACACAGTAAATTGATACCAGTAGAGTGGGGCATTGCTGAAAAGATACCCAAAAATATGGGGGCACTGCTGAAAAGATACCCAAAAATGTGGAAGCGACTTTGGAACTGGGTAACAGGCAGAGATTGGAACAGTTTGGAGGGCTCAGAAGAAGACAGACCTACCCTTAACCTGGTGGGCACAATCTAATCAGCTGCCAGTTAATATAAAGCAGGCAAAAAAATGTGAAAAGCTGAGATGGGCCTAGGCTCCCAGCCTACATCTTTCTCCTATGATAGTTGCCTCCTTCCCTCAAACATCGGACTCCAAGTTCTTCAGTTTTGAGACTCGGGCTGGCTCTCCTTGCTCCTCAAGCTTGCAGACAGCCTATTGTGGGACCTTGAGTTCATGTAAGTTAATACTTAATAAACTCCCCTTTATATATATATATACGTTCTATTAGTTCTGTCCCTCTAGGGAACCCTGACTGATACAATCAGAGACCATGAAAGGGGAGGGATTTGTTTTGTTTGTTAGTTTTAACTACCACTGTCAGATAAAAGTAGAGCTGGTCTCATTAAAATGGTGGGTGGGTAGTGGAATTCCCCGCCCTCTGAGCCCTCTACTCCGCTCCTGGCAAACTCCCTGAATAGAGTTGCTACATTTTGCAAGTAAAAACACAGGACAACCAATTAAATTGGAATTTTAGATAAACAATGAATAATATTTTAGTATACAGTAATTATGTCCCAAATATTGCGTGAGACACCCCTACCCCTGAGACACCCCTGGGAACACCAGGACTCCACAAAGCACTAATTGAACCCACTGTTGCAGGCAATATTGGTATCAATGAAGTAGGGGCTCGGGGTAGCTGATGTCTAAGGTTCCTTCATCTCAAGGACTCTGTGATGCCTTATGTACCAATGCACTGAGGGAGGACACAGAACATGGGTCAAATCATGGTCCCTTCTGGAAAGGGGCCCCCTCCTTCTCAAACCTCAGCTCCTGACTAAGCCCCTGACTGTGGCTCTGAGTGTGCTATTGTCTACTTTGGCTCAGGAGCCTCAAACCCTGACCCTTGCTCCTTCCTCATTCCCATCATGGCCTCCTGGCAGCACTTCCAGGTGACCACCAATACTTGATAGTGGGCTCTGCCTCCAGCATCTCCGTTACCTGCCCTCCAGTCTGGGGCCCCTCCCTAGTTTTCAAGAGCCACCACCTGGCACCTCTAGTGAGTAGTGTGTAGCTAGGGCTTGGTGAGGACATCAGGCTCCCCTCAGAGCAACACAGACCAACCCTGCCTTGCAACAGGAAGCCTCTGGCTCCCAGAATTAAAGTCCATGTCAGGAAAGTAAATGAGGTTTCCCTTCCTAAAAACAATCAGCCAAGATCGCCACATGAGAGAGAGAACAGTTTAGTTTGGCCAAAGTCAGGTCTAACAGAAAGTGTATGTGATAAGCATCTCCTGGCTCAGTGAGGGATACAGGCCAAGGAGGAAGGAGGAGCCGGGTAGGGAACTCATGTAACCAGAAGACAACGAATGAGAGGAAATACAGCCTGAAACACAGGAATGTTTTCTAGCCTTGGTTCACCGGATGTGTTGAAGCAGGCTTGCAGTTAAAAAGATAAAGATGCTGACAAGAATGCTAGAGTCATCCTCCGACCTCATCTTTCTCTCAAACCTAAACACACAAAAAACAAGAAAAGAAATAGAAACATCAAAATTAACCTCTCCATTTCTGCCTCCTCTTAAAATACAAAAGGATCACATCTGGTTAATATCAGCACCAGGCACAGAGCATGGACCTAGGTTAAGTAACAAGCAAATCACAGAGTAAATGGACAAATAAATGAAGGTAGCTGCCCTGTTAGAACTCCTTCTACACTTAGAACCAGAATATCTGAGTTCAAATCCCAGCTCAGCTTCTATTGATGCTATGCCCTCAAGCAAGCGTTTGATCTCCCCAAATCCTCAGGTTCCTTATCTATAAAATGGTGTTCACAACTGTATCAGCTTCGCCAGACAGCAGTAAGGACAGAATGACATGATATAGCAGAAAGGGCATTTAAACTCTAAAGCTCTTTCCAAGTATTAAATATCACAAAATTCAACCCCTACCTTTAAGCAGCTTGCAATCTGGATCTGTGCTGTCCACTATGGGAGCCACTAGCCACATGTGGCTATTGAGCACTTGAAATACGGCTGATGCAAATTGACACACACTGTAAGTATAAAATGCACACTAGGGAGTGTGTGTATTTTAACATTAAAAACTGTAAAACTATATTGTTAATATGTTTTATAGGGAACACATGGTGAAATGATAATATTTTGATATATTGGGTCAAATAAAATACACTATTAAAATGTCTCCTGTTTCTTTTTACTTTTTTAGTGTGGCTACTAGAAAATTTAAAATTGCATTTGTGGCTCATATTGTATTTCTATTGGACAGTGTTGGTCTAGATGGACCACAAGACATGGGCACACATGAAGTCAATGATAATACAGCAACCAAACAATAAGATGTCGAGAAGCACAGGTCAAGAGAGGTTCTCAACACTATCAGTGCTCAATGATTGGCTGACGATGGCAGTAATTTATTGATACGCAAATACTGGCCAATCAGTGTGCCTTGAAATGCAAACTGATTATGTGTATGTGTCTTTCAGTCTCCACAGGTCGGAAGAGCAAATATAAACATTCTGAACTTAAGCAGGCTTCAGGATCATCCAATCCAACATCTCATTTTTTTTAAATGAGTAACCTCAGGTCCAGAGAAGACTGGGACTTAACCAAGATCACACAGCCCACAAATGACCCAGAGTATTTTCCATTAGACCACAGTGGGGTTTTTAGAGCTTTTCAAAGCTTTTTTATGAAGACTGCCAAAATAATATCTCATGATAATTCTGAGACATGACAACCGTGTCCATGTTTGGCAGGTGAGAAAACTGAGGCCCTCAATGAGTAACCACATACAATTAGTTGCCTCTTTGAGGCCAGAGCCTTAACCCTTTGCCCCATGCTCTGCCTCCCACCCTAGGCTTCCTCTCCAGATCCACAGGATGGTCCAGTAACACATAGCATCCCCCTTCCCTGATACCCCCACCTCCTCTTGCTCAGTACACGCCTCTGAGCATTCTTCAGCCTAATTAAATAATGGAACCACACTGATCCTTCCCTCCAAGGTCTGGGGGCACTGTTTCCTCTCCACTCCAGTTCTGCTTGGGAATGTTGACTTTGGAAAACGGCACTAAAAAAACTCCGGCTGCAATTTCCAAATCAGAAACAGCCTCTAAATCCTTATTCAGCAAAGGGTCAGAGACATTGGCAGGGCTGAGCCCATTTAGGCCATAGGAGCCTAGAACCTCTTCTCCCTACAAAGCCTCCAGAGACAAAAGAGTTATCAAAAGTCAGCTCAAATCTGGAAATAGGAATCCACTGGGTGTCCCAGGATTTGGAAATGAATCAAATAAAAGTCTCACCTCCTAGTCATTCCTGGTCCAATAGAGGAGATTTCCACAAGCAGCTGATGGGAACATGAAACAGAAGGACATAGGTATCACACTACGGGGGCCCAGAATAAGGAGCCTCAAATCCAGATGGGCTTCCTGGAGAAGTGGGGTCTGTCCAAGGTCTTACAGGATAGGAAGAACATCGTAGGCAGAGAAAGGAGGGTTAGACCCTCCAGGCAGAGAGAACAGAGATCCAAGGAAACCTCAGTCTTTGTGGACATGTGACACTGGCTTAGCTGCTCCTTTCTGGTGCAAGGTCTTGCCCCAGACCTTTCAAGGTCTTGCTGGGCCAAGTTTTTCAGCAGCAACATTAATTACTATTACTTTTTTTTTTTTTTTTTGAGACAGAGTCTCACTCCATCACCCAGACTGGAGTGCAGTGGCTCACTGCAACCTCTGCCTCCCGGGTTCAAGCAATTCTCCTCTCTCAGCCCCCCGAGTAGCTGGGACTACAAGAGCCTGCCACCACGCCCAGCTAATTTTTGTATTTTTAGTAGAGACAGGGTTTTACCTTGTTGGTCAGGCTGGTCTCAAATGCCTGACCTCAGGTGATCCACTCATCTCAGCCTCCCAAAGTGCTGGGATTACAGGCGTGGGCCACCACGCCCAGCCTACTGTTACTATTAATTACTCCTTACCTCTCGGTGAGACTTCATTCCCATGCCCAATCTCACTGGATCCTCACAGGCACCCTGGGAGAAAGGCTGGGCAAATGTCATTCTCTGGATCAGGAAAAAGAAACTGAGGCAAGCTAGTGCCGTGACTGGCATCACACAGCCATATTAAGAAGCAGAGCCCAGGCATCACCAAGGGTTTTCTGGCCCTTCCACCTCTGCCCTTTCCTTTCCATACAGTTCAGCAGCTGGGAATTCCAAGGCTCCACGGCTTTCCCTCTCCTCTCTTGTCTTGATGGAAACTCAGTCACTGCCAAGTACTGCCTATGGGGCATTTGCACATGGGGCTTTTCCCTATGGCTGTTTTCTCAAAGTCTCTATCTTATCTCTTAAGGTGCTTCTTTTATCTCTCACAACACCTAAAACAGTGCTGGGCACACAGTAGGTATCAGTGGGCTTGTGGGCTCATTGATGGGTAGACCAGTGCAGAAGCAGTGTCACTAGGGAAAGGATAGGCTAGAAAAGGATTTTGGGTATGATCATCACTACCTCAATTCATAGACACTTGCTTTGGAAGTCTTTAAGAAACAGGACTAGCTCCTGTCATCTCCTCACTTATGTCCTTACCCTGCCTACAGACATCTTCCTACTGTCTATCCATGTCTTTTATTCCACTCAACCCACTTACCTCCCAGATATTTTTCTTTTTCTTTCTTTTTTCTTTGAGATGGAGTCTTACTCTGTTGCCCAGGCTGGAGTGCAGTGGCATGATCTTGGCTCACTGCAACCTCCACCTCTTAGGTTCAAGCTATTCTCCTGCCTCAGCCTCCTGAGTAGCTGGGGATACAACTGCCGGCCACCACACTGGCTATCTTTTGTATTTTAAGTAGAGACAGGGTTTCACCATGTTGGCCAGGCTGGTCTCAAACTCCTGACCTCAAGTGATCTGCCCGCCTCGGCCTCCCAAACTGCTGGGATTACAGGCGTGAGCCACCATGCTGGCCCCAGATATTTTGACTTTTGGGCTGGTGCAAAAACACCAGTCCACTTGGGCACTGGGGCACAGGAGATGTGTGTGTATGGAAGCTGTGAGTGTGTTGTGACAGGGACATGCACTGTCCACTAAGGCACAGGTGGCTAGTGAACACTTGGACCATAGTAGTCTGAATTGAGATGTGAGGTAAGGGTAAAATACACACTGGATTTCAAAGACTTCGTTCAGAGAAAACAAAAAGAATGTAAAATAGCTGGTTAAAATTGAAGGCATGTTGAAATGATAATGTTTTAGACATACTGTGTAAAATAAAACATTATTAAAATTAATTGCACCTGTTTCTTTTTACTTTTGTTAATGTGGCTACTAGAAAACATGAATACACACATGTGGCTCATTATATTTCTATTAGACAGTGCTGACCCATAGAGGGGTCTAACCTGGAAAGCAGACAGACTTGGGGACAACCCATTCAAGTGGACCTGGAGTGGCAGGGGTGGTATCTCCCTCTAAGCCTTAGTCTCATGTGTCTTTCTCCATTGTCTGTACATTTGGTCCTTTAATCTGTCCAACCCAATAATGAACTATTTCTATCTCTCCTCTGCCAACCAATCCAAATCCAGTCACTTCAGAATGCAACTCAAGGGCACCCTTCCCCACACCTTCCTGTCCATGCATGCCTCTGAGTCTCTCTTCTGCTCACTGCTTATTTTGCTCAATTTCTGCCTTATTAGCCACAGCACAAAGCACCTGCCATAGGTCCCTCAACAATGACATGAGTAAATTGGTTGCAAAAAAGTGGGCAAATGAATGAGTAAAAAGTGTATGATGCAGATACAACCCCCCACCCGAGAGAGAGAGAGAGAGAGAGAGAGAGAGAGAGAGAGAGAGAGAGAGAGAGAGAGAGAGAGAGAGAGAGTCCTGTTTGCCTATTTTGTGTTTCTTTTTCATAGATACATGTCTTGTGTGTTTAACCAGCTATAAGACTTCTGCCTTACTACTTTAGTTAAGACCTGGCCACATGGTTTTTATGTCAAATACACAATACATTCTTGCAAGCTGATTAATTCCCTCTTTTTTCAAGGTTAAGCCAGAGTCTCAACTTCTTCATAAAGTCTTTGATGTCTCATTCCACACAGCTCTTCCTCCTGACTCCCATGGCCAGCAAGTTCTATGCTGTGTGACAAGTATGTCTTTGGTTTTCTTTTTAGTTGTTTCATGGGTGCGAATCCTGCGTTTCCTTTGACCCTGCTCCCACCCACATCCCTCGTGGACTGTAAACTTCTTTGAGGCCTGAAACTATCTTCACTTCAAGCTCTAGCACAGAGCCTAGCACACAGTCATTGTTCACTAAAGACCTGCTGGTTGGTTGCCTGGAGGACAGAGGGATCTACCCATAAGGGTCTTCAAAAGAGATGTTTTGGGGAAGTTTGGTGCCTGGATTTCTGGCCCCTTCTTTCCACCTTCAACATTCAACTACGTCTCGTTAAACATAAAAATCAGCCAAATAAAAATAACTTCAAAGGGTGGCCCACTGGGGCTCCATGCACTGCCTGGCAATGGATTTCTCCCCAAGAATAAATCAATTGGTCTGCACAGTGAGGCCCTTCAGTCTGGGGCTTCAGAAAGGAGGCTCTGGCCAGGAATTTCAGCAGAAGCAGGCACTGATTTAGACCTCCCTAATCTATATCAGCTCTTACACTAATAAGAATGGCTGTGAGAGCAGCTGTGAGAGGGCCCAGCAAGGGCTGGGGAGCCAGGCGGATCTCAGGTGGTACACTCCCAAACTCAGGCAAAACAAGACAAAGAGGTTAGGAAACTTCAGAACAATCACAACACCTCTCTCTCTACCTACACAGAGCTCCACTAGGAAAAGCCCATAAGTGCTGAAGGTTTGGTCCTTCTTGTCCACCAAGCCATCAGGCCAAAGCATAAACTCACAGGACTCTACCTCTTGGGCCCTGCCCTCTGGCTTCCCGGAGGAGCCTCCTAGAGCTGGAGAGCCTCGGTGGCAGTCAACACCAAGAACAGTGGGTGTGGGCTGCTTGGAAGGGGAGAAGAGATTGTTTCTTTTGCAGTTGTGTCTGGTTTATTCACCCTCTTTACCACAAGACCATCCTGTTGAACATTCTTGAGGCAGAAACAAGAGAACACCTTGATATTTTGACTCTCTTGAATTTCCATGAGTACGCTATGGGTACTTTGCCCACAGCGTCACAGCCCCAGGCATTGACAACAATGTATATTTCATATATTCAAATCCTAGGTGAGAGACCTAGGATTTGACCCACAGGTGCTCCCTGCACCTTCAGTGACCATTGTTGGAAACTGTTCAGTGAAGCCTAGGATCCTCTGACCTTCCTTGAGGGAGCATTAGGTCCCCTGCCCCTGGTCACAGATCCTACAGGGCCTGGCCTGGACCCCAAGGACCCTATAGAGTAGTTCTTATTCCAAGCTAAGCACCCCTTGTCTCTAGGACACCTCTCTCTTCGCCCAAGTAATCTCTTCCAGCCAGAACCTAAATAACCAGTTTGTTTCACCAAATGTCACTGGGATAAGCCTTAGCAGCTGTCTCTAAGAGTTCTCTGTAGTGCAGCCTCTGAAGCAATTTTTGAGGGCTCATCCCTGACTCATTTTTCATTTTACCCAGGCCCTTAGAAGACTGCACAGCGTTAAGTACCCACCTCCTCACCAGTTTGGAAACTCAAAGGCCGTGGCAGCCTCCAGACTTTGCCAGCGTGTGGAGGTGGTGCTCTGGCTGTCCTAGCAGCCACCATAGCAGCCAGGTACCTGCAACTGACACATTCTGCCTGACAGTCCGCTCACCATTCTCACTCCCCTCCCCTCCGTGCCATCAGGGATCTGAGTCCTTGAGATTCCCAAGGAAGGCCAAGGTCCCAAAGCTGCTGGGACGTTGGGATCCTTAGCCTTTCCTAGGGGCCATCTCTCTTCACTGTTGCCAGGGTCTTAGAAAGCCCTGGCGTGTGAGAGAAGGCTCTGCACTCAGAGAAAGGAACCTGGGGCTTTCACCTTGAACTGAGCCCCATTCCTAGGAGCTAAGCAGAGGAAAGGGAGAGAACGAGCATCTCCCAAGCTCCAGGAACCCTGCTTGGTGACTACACCTGTTATACTCTTGGCAGCACACAAGAGCTATCTGTCCTCTCTGTAAAGCCCTTGCTTCCAGATGCCCCACTGACTTTCTGGCAACATCTGTGGGTGTGCTGTGTACACAGTGTGTAAGCTGTAGTGGAAGAGGCGGGTTTGAGCTTACAGCCTCCATTCAAAGGGCTGCCCGCCTTCCCAGTTTGGCAAGACTCCAAATGGACTTCTGAATGGTTTCTGGGGCAACTAAGGTTGAGGAATTATTCATGTACCCTGAAAACTTGATTGACCTGGAAAGTTTCTGACTTCACTTGACCTTGCTCAGGCCTTTGCTCAGTGTCTAGGCACTATGGAGCTTCAGAGTTTCTTACCAAGAGCTCTGTGCTTTAGTTCCTCTTGGAGCTAAAGTGAGGCTTAGATCCCAGGAACGGCACATGACTGGTGGGTACATGCATCTGCTATGAACATCATCTGCCACATGCAAAAGCTGAGCATCATTAGGCTTGACTGCACATCCTGCTTTAGAGCAGGAGTGTGTCTGCAAGTCTTGTATCCACCATCCTTCATAGGGCCAGGGATACTGTAAGTGCTTACAAAGGACCTGCTGATTGACAATATATCAGCCTCTAAATGAATTTAGAGGTACAAGGGCACCCACATACAGCCTCTGTTGGCCATGAGATGTGCTGCACTGGGGCCCCCAGATGCTCATGGGGGCCAAACCAATAGGCAGCGTGGGCAACAAGGCTTCCCATGTAGGTGTCAGGAGAGCAAGAATGGGGGCTGTCAGGAGGTCCAGATGCAGGCATCCAGCACGATCTGGAAGGCGCTGAGCCCCGGAGCAGATCCAGGCAGCTATGGATCCAGCATCAGAAAGGCCTGTCTGACAAAACAGGCATGTAAACTCACCCAAGAGTGCTGCTCTGATCCCAGGGACCACTACATAGGGAGTCCGAGGCTCCAGATGAATCAGGTCCTCCATGAGGGGAGCAGGGCAGAGACTGAAGCTCAGCAGATCATCCAGGCCCAAGTCCTGAGCAGAATCTCAGAAGAGATGGCCTGATGATGAAGGGCTCGTCCAGAGCCTCTGAGCTGCAGCAGCTGAGTCCAAGCATCCAGGTACAGCTGAGCTCAAGGCATCGTTCATGGCCACAACAGGAAGGTGACAGGAACATGGTGTCAGGGCCTCAGCTTATCACTGCAACAGCAAAGTAGAAGCCACAGAATAATGTCTAACTCTAAGGGAGGCAAGAAACTAAATGCATCACCCATGATGTGCCTTCATTGATAACCCCGAGAAAGACAAGCCCAGGCCAGCCATCCCACTAACAGCCTTACTTTCTAATGCATGCAAAAGCCCTGCGTGCCTACAGCCTGATCCTCCTCAAGCCCAATTTCTTGAATGCCCAAACCACTTCAGCTCATGCTATTTGCCTGTGTGTGCTCACCTACTTCAAGCATTAGGAGGCGTGTGTTTATGTTCCCTATTGTCCTCATAGGCATTTCCATTGAAGTTATATTTTTCTAAAATTTTATTGCCGGTGAAAGAAAGGCATAAATGTGCAGAGTGGAATTACTGACACATTCAGGATATACGAGGGACATTAAAGGCACTGTTAGGATTTGATGACAGCTGCCAAGAATCTTTTCTATAATCATAAATGAGATAAGCACGAAGCAATGAAGACAACATAAAAAAACCTGGCAGCAGCCAGGGGCAGGTGTTTCCCCTGCTGCAGTTAATGACTCTGTGGGAGCCTGCTGCAGACTGGAAACACGTGCAGGAGCCCCCGAGGCCCAGGGTTCAGGGGGCTGGGGAACCGAGGGGTAGCTCACTCATTCTCCATGTCCATTCTTACCTACACACATTTTCCCGGCTGACCCCCCGGCATGGAGAGCATCCCCTCCTGTGCTTTCATCTCCCGGAATCCCTGCCAGCCTTCCCAGCATCAGCTGGAGCCCTCTTGCTCCCAAGCGACTGACTTAACTTCTCCACTCCAAGTCTGCACTTGGCTCACCTTGCCTCCGGCTGCGCTCACAGTCTCGGTGGGTCTTGAGTGCTTGGATAGCTGGGGCATTCCGTGGCCCTGAGGCGGGGCGTACTCTGCTCATTCAGGAAAATATTTTACTAGGCTCTTATGAGCTGCACATGGGAGATCACTCAGTGAGCAAGACAGGCCACACTACCTGTACTGTGGTCTATCTTCCAACTACCTGTCCTTTCCTTCCAAAAGTATTCAATTTCAAAACCTTCAAGCAAATTCTTATTAATGACACACCCCGCTCTGTTATTCTCTCAGTGGAGACACTCAAGGGAGCAGCCTGGGGCTAAGACATCTTCATCTTCCTCTCCAGACAGCTTGCAGCTCTGCAGAGGGAACTCTAGCTTCATGGCACTCATGAACATGCAGATCAATCCAAGAGTCAGGGGAAATGACACCCCAAGTTATAAGCCTCTTGTTTTACCGTGGATTCATGAGCTGGAGTTTTCCCCCAAGCTCCGAAATAAACATGGTGGAGATCCACAGGCACAAATATTTGGGAGGGAGGGGCTTAATGTGGAAGTCCTTGGGCAACCTAATACCCAGGGGCATTCTGGGAAATCAGTGGGAAGCAGGAAAACCTCCCTGGGGTTTTCCATCAGCTAATGTTACCTGCACTCACCCCAGGACTGCTCTCCTGCTGCCATCATACCCGGCTCAACCCTTCCCACCTGCCCGGATGATTCCTGGTTAACCTCAACCCAACACAACCGTATCTACACCACTCATTTGCTGCCTCCTCTCTAAAAGCTGTAGCCTCTCTATGCCTCCATTTCCTCAACTCTGAAATGGAGATAACAGCAGTGCTTGCTTTTGGACAGTTGTGAGGATTAAATGATCTGAGCTAGTCCATGTGAAGCTTCTGGATCAGTGACTGATACAGAGCGAGTGCCCATTGGACGTCAGCTGTTGCAGTTGGTATTATTATCAGCATCGTTATGCTCCTGCCTGCGAGAGCTCAGGATTTTCTGTGGTCAGTTACCTTTTATGTGCAATCTAGTGTCTTTGTGGGCCCATGGGGAGAGAGAGGGAGCTGGGACCACCCAGAGCCCTATGTATTGGTACCAATGCTCCTGGCTCCCTTACAGGAGCACACATTGTGTGCCAGGGATGTCATCTATACAGGATTTCTCAAACTTTAGTGCATCTAAGAACCTGCTGGAGATGTGGCAAAAGCACAGAACACTGGGCCACACCCTCAGACTTTCTGATTCAGTTTGCATTTCTCCCAGGTTCCCAGGCAATGCTGCTGCTGGTGGTCCAGAGACCACACTTTGCAAACCACTGCTATAGGATGATGCAGGCACGAATTTTTCCACTTTGTCACAGCTGTATCCCCAGCACCCAGCACAGTGCCTGCACAAAGTAGGTCTCCAGTAACCTCTTGATGATGATTTGTGTGTGCCTCACTAATTCTGTGATCCTACAGCATGCTGCCTCCTGGCTCCAGGTAGTCACACCCTAGTTTGACAGGCATGCCATCTGACCTACCCCAGCCTCTGGGGGAAACCACCTCACCCCGAACCACCTTAACATGCATCCAGCAGAGCTAGAGGGCAGTCCACACCTGGCCTGAGTGATGCTTCCAACTTTGCCATGCCCAGCCGGCTCTGCACAGCTGCCTGTCATGATTAACCCGTGACATTTCCAACACTGTTATTGGCCCCAAGACTGGAAGAAGCCAGAGGTGAAAAACAAGTGGAGAGGTTGGGCATGATGGAGCAGCCTGACCACAGAGATAGCCGCTTTTTGCCTTTCAACAACCCACAGACTCTTTCAGCTTCTTGGTTTTTATTCCCCTTTATCCTTCCTTCCTTCTCTCCTTCCTTCCTTCCTTCCTCTCTTTCCTTCTTTCCTTTCTTTACTTCCTTCCTTTCTCTCTCTCCTTTTCTTTCTTTCTTTCCTTTCTTTCTTTACTTCCTTTCTCTCCTTCTTTTCTTTTTCTTTCTTTCTTTCTTTCTTTCCTTCTTCCTCTTTTCTTCTATCCTTTGGCTTGGCTTCCAGGCATTTTCTTTGTTTTTATCTTCTAAAATGTCTTTGACCATGACAAAGCACTCACCCAAAACCAGTGATAAGCTTCAGGAGTTCCTGAGTGAAGGATATGTAGAACTCTCTTCACTATCATATTATTCTAACATAAAGTTTAAAAAATATTTGGTAGAACTTCCTTGGTGCTGGATGCCTAATATGCCTAAATCACTCTTCTTTTCTCTCCCCACTTTCTTTCCCAAGAAAAGAAGATGTGACATAATTCTTTGCTGCTGAAGCAGCATTTCTCCAGGGGACTTTCTCCAACAAAGAGAGTGGTGTAGACCCCGCCCCACCCCCACCCAAAGAGAGAGCACCTCACAAAAATGAGATGAGTCTGTGGGGGGTGCTGTGGGTAGAAGTCCACAGGGTCCTAATTTGGGGTGCAGGATGGAGCCACGTTTCAAAGGGAGATTGGGAGTCTTCTTCCCAGGGCAGGTGCAATGGAGGCTGCAGGCTGGTTCCCCACTCCTTTGGAGCTACATCCTCCTAGGGTGTGCTGGGCCTTTAATTCAAGCAGAGAGGAACCCATGTAGCTGGGTATGTTTGTCAAGACTAAGAAATTAACACTGGTACATTACAATGAATTAAACTTTGTGTTTTATTTGGATTGCGCCAGTTTTTCCACGAAGGTGATTTTTTCTGTTTCACGATCAGCTTGGCAAAATGGATGGTTTTAGTAATTCAGCAAGTTTGTTTGGAGAACTTTAGGTGCTTAAAGTCACCATTAAGGAATCATGTCTTTAAAAAGCAAACACTTTTTGATTTTAAGAAGTCTCAAACATACCACACTTCTGGGATGGGTGATGCCATGAATGTACCATCAAGCAAGAGGATTCCATTTTCTGTCATTTATGGAAATTTGAAGATCACAAGCAGCTATATTTGTGACACAGCATGACAAGAGTCTGTGACCTGCAAGGGAGGCTGGCCGACAGCTGGCACAGTGCGTAGAGGCACAGCCCAGACAGACTCTTGTGTTCCCAGGCGCACGTGGCATTGCTGTGCACCGGAGCACCTGAGGACCTGTGTCCTCATCCTGGCAGTGTCCCTCTCCAGGTAAGGGACTTCGAACTTCAGTGCCCCCTCTCTGCTCCTCAGTATCTTTGCCTGCAAGATAAGGGGGTGGGCTGGGTGGTCTCCAGGCTCCCACCTGCTGCCTACTGCTTGCCATGCAGAATGGCCCAGAATCTGAGACGAGGAGCAAGAACAGACATAGCCTAGGTGACCCCCAGGATGCCAGAAGGTGACTTCAAACCTCATCTCCTGGGCCCCTACCAAGAGGTCTAGTATCAGGAGTCAAGTTCAGAGACAGGAAGCATGAGGACAATTCCACAATTAGGAGTTTTAAAGACACCTAGCTCCCTGTAGCCAGTATGACTTCCCTGCCTCCCTTTCCCCAAGCCCTTCCTCAGGTTATACCCAAGGCCACCAACAGCCACCACAGGTTGGCTTTTCTGTGGACATGGGGAGGAAAAGTGGTTGGGGTGGGGGCATGTCTCAACACACAAGGCTGCCTGCTTTCTGCCTGTTAGGAGGATGTACCTCATATGCCCATCTCCCTCATACCCCTAGACCTGGCAGAGGATGAAGCAGCAGCTTCCCCTGAGGGCTGGAGAGTTGCAAGGCAGAGCCCGGGGTGTGGCTGGAGCGGAACTATTGTGGGAGGCACCTCCAATGAACTTCTGCAGTGTTCTCTGGGTGTGAGTATGAGGCCCAAGGGGCAGGAACTGCATAAAGGGTGCATGGCCCAAAATTCTACCACCAGAATGAACCAAGAGGACAGGACTGCACTGGGCTTAGAGCCCATTCACGGTGGGGTGTGTTAGTCCCTTCTCTCTTAATTCTGGGGCTGGGCTCCTGGGCCTCCACAGGGAAAAGGCTCTTCTAGAGCAGTACATGGAGTATCCTGGGAATGAGCAGAAGGTCATCCAAGGGTAAGCTTTGAAGGACAACACCATGAGAATTTGTGAGTTCTAAAGGTTTTTTGTTGTTGTTGTTATTGTTCTTTTCTTAAACATAGTACATACAGCCCAACTGCCTGCTGCATTTCTCTGATTTTTGTTACCATAATTTAAAAGGCTTGGGGCTTCCTGGGTATACAGGAAAAGCAAACAGTTTTTCTCTATATTCTCAACATTTCTGACACCAAATATGTAAGTGATTTCCCACACCAAGCACTTCTCCAATTCTCTGCAGACAACAAATGTGTGTCCCACAATTCCATTCAGCTCTAACACTATCTACTTGGAGTTAGTGAGGGATCCACAAGTTAAGAACTCATAAGATGCCCCCACTTCAGATGCCAACTGCAGGCCCCAACTTGCCACCTGTACTTCTGACCCACGACTGGCTATAAACTGGGGTTCCCACAACCCCTTTTGCTTGATAATTTCTTACAACAGCTCGCAGAACACAGGGGAACACATTTACCAGTTTATTCTATCCTAGAGGATAGATAAAAACACAGATGAGCTGCCGGAAGGGGAGATGCATAGGGCGAGGGCTGGAGGGTCCCCAGCACAGGAGCTTCTGTTCCAGTGGAGTTGGGGGGCACCACCCTCCTGGTTCATGGATGTGTTCACCTGCACAGAATCCCTCCACACCCTGTGCTTGAGGGATTTTTATGGCGGCTTCATCACAAAGGCAGAATCAATTATTAATTTAATATCCAACTCCTCTCCCCTCCCTGGGGATGGGGGTGGGGCTGAATGTTCCGAGCCTCTGATCATGCTGAGGTCTTTCTAGTGAGCAGCCCCCATCCAGGGGCCCACCAAGAGTCACCTCATTAGAACAAAAGATGCACCTATTATCCAGGAAATTCCAAGGGATTTAGGAGCTCTGTGTCAGGAACCAAGGTCAAAGACTAAATATTAGAACAAAAGATGCTCCTAGCACGACTATCACTTAGGAAAGTACAAGGGTTTCAGGAGCACGGTGCCAGGAACTAGGGGCAGAGACCAAAGGTTTATTCTTTATTATATCACACAGGGCCACACTGACTCCTGTGGTTAACGAGAACCACAGGTGTATATTTATCAGCTTGTGTGGAAATCTTCTGTGGGCTATTTCATTCTTCTTTTGCATCTCCCCACTACACTTCTCACCGTGCATTTGAATGAATGGTGCTCACCAATTTACTCCTGTGTGTTCAAAGGACAGCAGTGGAGAGTGAGAGGTTAAGTCCCAGGAAGAAGAGGCTGAAACTCAGAGCTGTTGGGCACCACCGCAGCGCCACAGGCATCTGTTCTATGGGTAAGATTTGGCAGGGCATGCTGAACTGAAAGAAGGACAATCAACTTAGTGACTCGACAGTGCTCTTTCAGATCAAGAAAAAGCATTCGTGTGTGTGTTTGTGTGTGTGTGTTTGTGCGCGCGCGTGCGCACCTGTGGCCTGTGCCTGTGTGTGTTTTCTAATCCTCCTTCAAGGAAAATGAGAAAGAGAAGGAAAAAAAGGAAAAAACAAAAACAAAAAAACTCCAACGTTCTCTTAAGCTTGAGTGGCCAACTGCATTCCTCAATCGCAAGTGTATGAAATGTTTCTGTTTGGGTGGTTTCCTTGAGGAGAAAAGAAGAAACAGCTTCTCTCCATCTATTTATAGTGTCTCTGGGATTGTCCACAATCATGGGACCCTTGACATTAATCCACTCTTGTCCCTGGCTCCCAGCAGGAAGAGCCTCAGCCTGAAATCACTGCAGGTTTCAGACAACATGCTCCTGGAAGTCTGCACCCACACAGCATCAACTTTTGCATCAAACATCCCCAAAATGAGTAGGAAGAGTCCTGCAAGCTGGCAGTAGAGGCAGAGAAAACCTAGGGCTGAAACCAATTGGGATCCCAGGAGTCCTTGGCCAAGATGCAACATGATTCACTAAGGACAATTCTTAAAGGATGCAAGCCTAGGCCCCACTCCCATGGTTCCTTTTGATAGGACCCAAGGCATCTGCACTTTACAGAAGTGTCTCAGTGATTCCAGTGTGTTACCAGCGTCACCATACACGACTGAACAGTACTAGGCAGCCTCATGGCCCTCTCTAGTTAGAACCACTGGTTTTGACCCAGCAAGGCAAGTAGCTTCTATGCAGAAACGTATTTGTATAGGATGGATAAGGGTATGATGACCCTTTACCAGCAATGGGAATAGTCATTGTCATTTCTATCTAAGGGCATGGAGAGGGTGGTAAGGAGAGCTTGGGGGCGGGTATGTGCAGGCCACACCACCCAGGAACAACTCAAAATATTAACCTGTGGCATATCAACCAGTCAGCAGGGTTCTGCCCAGGATTGACGGACCCAGAGAATCTGAGACTCTTGAACTCTTTAGAGGAGTGTCAGATTTTCTTTTCTCTCTTTTTTTTCCCGTAAGTACAAGCCTCAAAATATAATCTACCAAAATTTAGGAGGAATGATCAAGAAGACATACTGCTTATTATCAATAACCAGCTAAACTCTTCAGCCAACTAGACAAATTGGTGATTAAGAATGTGGATGCTGGGCCAGGTGCGGTGGCTCATGCCTGTAATCCCAGCACTTTTGGAGGCCAAGGCGGGCAGATCATGAGGTCAGGAGATCGAGACCATCCTGGTTAACACGGTGAAACCCCGTCTCTACTAAAAATACCAAAAAAAAATTAGCCAGGCGTGGTGGCAGGTGCCTGTAGTCCCAGCTACTCAGGAGGCTGAGGCAGGGGAATGGCATGAGCCCAGGAAGCAGAGCTTGCAGTGAGCTGAGATCGCGCCACTGCACTCCAGCCCAGGCGACAAAGCGAGACTCCATCTCAAAAAAGAAAGAAAGAAAGAAAGAAGGAGTGTGGATGCTGGTGCCAGACTGCCTGGTTCAAATCCCAGCACAACCATTTACTGTGTTATCTTGCACAAGTTAATCTCTCTCAGCCTCAGTTTCCCTATTTATAAAAAAGAGATAAAAGTAGTACCTCCCTCAGAAGGTTGTTGTTGTGAAGAGTCACTTAGATAATATGTACAAAGTGCTTAGAACAGTGCCTGGCCCAGAGTACTGAAAACAATGTTAATTATTGTTATTACTGGGGGCACAGTTCTCAAAATTTCTGTCAGTTATTCTCAGGTATCAAGCCCTGAAAAATCAGGATCCAAGGGGACTCTCCCAAGACCCCTGATGGCAGCAGCAAAATAAAGATGCTCCCTCTTCCAGCCCTTTGGAGGGCCTTAGAAAGAGATTGGGTTAAGAAGCTTCTGGATGGGGCTGGTTGAGAAAATTATGATACATTAAAATGATGCAATGTGATGTGGTTATGAAAAATAATGGTGAGCATATATGAATATACATGGAAGCTGTCACTCTCCAGTGACTCCAGGCTGTTTATCAGATGGGTGCTCAGGTGTTCATGGGCGGTCGCCTGGGGACAGTCATTCTCCTCAAGTCTCCTTTCCCCTCTTCAGGTGCCGCGAGGACAGGTCCAGGTTGCCTGCAACTAGGGGCTCACCAGCCACCATTCCTGGCCAGGGCTGGGGCAGGGTCTTGTCCGCTCTCCCAGCCGTCAAAGACAGGTACATCTGACATAATGTGCAACTTTGGGAACCAGGATTTTCCTGAGATACACCTCTTTCTTCTTCCTCTAACAAAGCTCTTCCAGGCGACCCATGCTTAAAATCCAGGGATGGAACTTGCACCAGCTAATAGCGTGGGAAAAGGCTTGGCTGCATGTACACATGTGTGCATGGGGTGACTCCAACGGAGTGTTTGCTAAAATGTGGTTATCTCTGATAGAGTAGTGGGAGACTATTCATGAGTCTCCTCAGTTCATCCTTCCCAGAGCGCCCTCAGTGCATCCTCCCCAGAGTATCCTCAATCCATCCTCTCCGAGTCCCCTCAGTCCATTCTTCCCCGAGTCCTCTCAGTCCATCCTCTCCAAGTATCCTCAGTGCATCCTCCCCGAGTATCTTCAGCCCATCCTCCCTGAGTCTTCTCAGTCCATCCTCCACGAGTATCCTCAGTGCATCGTCCCCCGAGTCTTCTCAGTCCGTCCTCCGCGAGTATCCTCAGTCCACTCTTCCCCGAGTCTTCTCAGTCCATCTTCCGCTAGTATCCTCAGTCCATCCTGCCCTGAGTCCCCTCAGTCCATCCTCTCTCAGTATCCTGAGTCCATCCTCCCCCAAGTCCCCTCAGTCCATCCTCTCCGAGTATCCTCAGTCCATCCTCCCCTGAGTCCCCTCAGTCCATCCTCTCTGAGTATCCTGAGTCCATCCTCCCCCGAGTCCCCTCAGTCCATCCTGAGTATCCTGAGTCCATCCTCCCCCAAGTCCCCTCAGTCCATCCTCTCCGAGTATCCTGAGTCCATCCTCCCCCGAGTCCCCTCAGTCCATCCTCTCCGAGTATCCTCAGTCCATCCTCCCCCGAGTCCCCTCAGTCCATCCTCTCTGAGTATCCTCAGTCCATCCTCCCCCGAGTCCCCTCAGTCCATCCTCTGCGAGTATCCTCAGTCCATCCTCCCCCGAGTCCCCTCAATCCATCCTCTCCGAGTATCCTCAGTCCAACCTCTCCCGAGTCCCCTCAGTCCATCCTCTCCGAATATCCTCAGTCCATCCTCTCCCAAGTATCCTCAGTCCATCCTCCCCTGAGTCCCCTCAGTCCATCCTCTCTGCGTATCCTGAGTCCATCCTCCCCCGAGCCCCCTCAGTCCATCCTCTCTGAGTATCCTGAATCCATCCTCCCCCGAGTCCCCTCAGTCCATCCTCTCTGAGTATCCTGAGTCTATCCTCCCCCGGGTCCCCTCAGTCCATTTTCCCCCGAGTATCCTCAGTCCATCCTCCGCGAGTATCCTCAGTCCATCCTCCGCGAGTATCCTCAGTTCATCCTCCGCGAGTCCCCTCAGTCCATTTTCCCCCGAGTATCCTCAGTCCATTTTCCCCCGAGTCCCCTCAGTCCATTTTCCCCCGAGTATCCTCAGTCCATCCTCCGCGAGTATCCTCAGTCCATCCTCCGCGAGTAACCTCAGTCCATCCTCCGCGAGTATCCTCAGTGCATCCTCCGCGAGTATCCTCAGTGCATCCTCCGCGAGTCCCCTCAGTCCATTTTCCCTCGAGTCCCCTCAGTCCATTTTCCCCCAAGTCCCCTCAGTCCATTCTCCCCGAATCCCCTCAGTCCGTCCTCCCCCGAGTATCCTCAGTGCATCCTCCGCGAGTATCCTCAGTTCATCCTCCGAGAGTATCCTCAGTCCATTTTCCCCTGAGTCCCCTCAGTCCATTTTCCCCCGAGTCCCCTCAGTCCATTTTCCCCCAAGTCCCCTCAGTCCATTCTCCCCGAGTCCCCTCAGTCCATCCTCCCCCGAGTTTCCTCAGTCCATCCTCCCCCGAGTCCCCTCAGCCCATTCTCCCTCAAGCCCCCTCAGTCCATTCTTCACCTGAACCACCTCAGTCCTTTCTTCTTTGATGCCCCTCAGCTGACCCCTCTCTTTGTCCCCTCTGTACCTCCTGCCCTGAGATGCAGCAGTACCTCCAGATGTGTTTTTATGTGTCACCACCTCCTCTGCCTCACAATCCTTTACTGGGTCACAAAGAGGATAAGCAAGACGGTCTGAGCCTTGCTCAATCTGCCCTGCCCTGGGCAGGAGACCTGGTTTACTTGTTTTGGTGAGCTGGCCAGCTGTGAGCTGTTTGTTTGTGGGCTGTGGGATTAGGACTGGACTGTTTTCCTTACTGAGTTGGTGGAGTGGGTTGAGCGGAAGGATTCCAGGCTTAGGATGCCCAGGGCCTGGCCTGGCCTTTGCTGTCACCTCTCACTGCTGCTTGGGGTCTTAGCTCCAATGAGAAATGTTGAGGATGCTGTTTTTCAGGGCAGGGCAGCTCTCTGGACACAGGTAACTAGGTATCCCCCCTGCCCAAGGGGCTAAAACACTCGTAGTCTCTGGGGCTTTTCCCAGGAGTGGGAGTCTTGGAAAACTCAGAGGAAACAGGAAGGAGAACAGCTCCTGTCTCAGCCCTGGGCTCCCAGTTTAGGCTGCTCCTCCCCAAGGCCTGTCAAAAGCCATTTTCCTTCACCTCCCAGCAGATTCTCAGCATCCCCAGGACATGCAGTAAGTGGGGTCCTCAAAGGCTCTTTGATCTCCAATCCACGGGAGTGCCAGGCCATAAATATTATGTTACTACCCCCGTCACCAGCCCTCCAATGCGACAATGTCTGTGCTTTTAATTCGGACTTAGATTAACAATGGTTACGTTCTGTTTAATGATTCCTCTGTCTGGGCTTTTCCTCTTAACTTGATTGAAAGTTCTTTTAGGATAGACACCATTTTCCCACAGGCAAAAACATAGGTTGAAAATTAACCAGGTGTCCAAACACACTTGTTGAATGACTAGGCTGACTGGAAGGACGGACGAATGGACAGATGAATGAATGAACAGATGGCTGGCTGGATGGCAGACATCCTTCGCTGAGGTCTTCCCACAGCAGAAATAGTTTTTCTGTGCAATAATCTAACACGTATTTAACTTATTATTGCCTGCCACTGTTATGCATCCTTGAGATTCATCACAGTGAACAAAAACAAAACAAAACAAAATCCCTCCTTTTTGGAACTAATATTCCATTAAGAGAAAACTGTAAACAATAAATGTTTAAAATAAGTACATTGTAGGCCAGGTGTGGTGGCTCATGCCTGTAATCCCAGCACTTTGGGAGGCCGAGGCAAGCAGATCATTTGAGGTCAGCAGTTCGAGACCAGCCTGGCCAACATGGTGAAACCCGTCTCTACTAAAAAAAAAAAATATATATATATATATATACACACACATGTATATATATATGTGTATATATATGTATATATATATTGTATATATGTGTATATATATGTATATATATATTGTATATATGTGTATATATATATCGTATATATGTATATATATTGTGTATATATGTATATATAGTATATATGTATATATTGTATATATATGTATATATTGTATATATATGTATATATATAGTATATATGTGTGTATGTATATAGTATATATATGTGTGTGTATGTGTGTATATATATATATGTATATACACACACACACACACACACACACACACACACACACACACAAATTAGCCAGGCATGGTGGCAGGCACCTGTAATCCCAGCTACTTGGGAGGCTGAGGCAGGAGAATTGCTTGAACCCAGGAGGTGGAGGTTGCAGTGAGCCGAGATCGTGCCATTGCACTCCAGCCTGGGGGACAAGAGCGAGACTTCGTCTCAAAAATAAATAAATAAATAAGTACATTGTGTAGACTGTCAGCAGGGATAACTACCAAGGAAACAACAATAAATAGTAGAACAGGGTAAGAAGGGTTAGGATTTGGGAGGAGGCAGTTTGTAGCTTATAGAGGAGTCAGAGTGGATCTCACTGAGATGGTAACATCTGAGTAGATTGGAGGGAAGGGAGATGGGGGATCATATGGCTATTTGGGGAAGGAGTGTTCCAGGGAGTGAACAGGCAGTGCAAAGTTTTTAAAGTGGAGCTTGCCTGGTGTGTTTGAGGAACTGACTGCAGTGAGGTTAGTAGGCAGGAGCAGAGTAAACAAGGAGGGGAGAGTAGAAGGGGATGAGCTCTGAGAGGTAGTGCTGGGATGGGCTGGGAGATCCCACAAGGCCTTAGGGAAATAGAAAGCCACGGAAAGGTTTTGAGAAGAGGAGTAATATGATCTGATTTAAATTTTAAAAGCCTCCCTCTAGCTGCTTTGCAGAGGGACAAAGATGGAAGCAGTTAGGAGGGTATTGCAGTAATCCAGGTGAGAAAGGATGGAAGTTCCAACCAGGATGGGAGCCAGGGAGGTGGAGAGCCCAAACTATCGGAAGGAGTTGCCAACAAGTGAGATGGAGATGGCTATGAATGAAGGAGGTTCACTAGGTGGGGGTGGGCATGGGGCAGATCAAGAGCTTAAGGTACCATCCAAGTAGGCATCCAAGTTGAGATCGAAGCCCAGATACATCAATTTAAATTTGGTTGTCCGTGGTGTTTAATACGCAAGGCCACGGGATTGACTGAGATCACCAAAAGAATCAATATAAATAAAGAAGAGAAGAGGACTAAGGACTGAGCCCTAGGGAATATCAACCCTAAATGATCAAGGAGATGAGGAGGAACCAGCAAAGGAGACCAAGAAGGAGCAGCTTGTGAGACAGGAGGGAAACAAAGAGAGCCATGCTGTTCTGGAAGTCAAGTGAAGAATATACATCCTGGAGGAAAAAGGATCAACTGTGTCAAATGAAGCTGTTAGATCAACTAAGTTGAGGACTGAGACCTGACCCCTGGACCCAGCAATGTAAGGGTTGACAAGAGCAGGCTGTGGAGTATAGGGGCAAAAGGCTGGTTAGAGTAGGTCTAAGAGGCCAGGCACAGTGGCTCACGCTATAATTCCAGAACTTAGGAGCCAAGATTATGCCATTGCACTCCAGCCTGGGCAACAAGAGCAAAACTCCGTTTCAAAACTAAATAAATGAATAAACAAACAGTGGGTCTAGGAGAAAATAGGAGGAAACAAACTGCAAGAATGAGCACAGACAACTTTCTGGAGAAGTTTTGCAGCAAGTAAAAAATCAAACAAAAAGTTGAAGGAGAAAACTTTCAAGGAAAGGTTCTTTTAAAATGGGAGAAGTAATCACATGCTTGTGTGCTGGTGGGAATGATTCAGGAGAGAATGAACAATGAAGATGTGGGAGAGAAGCAGGCAATATTGTTGGAGTGATATCCTTGAGTAGGTGAGAAGGGATGAAATCCAGTGTGCAGGTGGAGAGGTTTGCTCTAGAGAGGGGCATGGAAAGTTCATCCCTGTTAGAGTCAAGGAAACAGAAGATACAAGGTCAGATGCTGGCAGGTGGGGAGTTGTGGTCTGAAGAGGAAAGAAGGTCATCTGCCAGGAGTAATATGGGGGGAAGGTGTTAGGGGTGTGAAGAGAGAAGGGATGGTGTGAAGTTGTCATCTAGGATAGTGGATGGACTCTGGGACAGAGTGTACGATGACCTGGCAGCAACTACAGGCCTCCTTGAAAATTGTGGGCCTCAATTTAAAGTGAGATCAGTCACGGGCTTGTATTTTTTTTCCACCAACAAGCATGGAGTAAATGGAGAGTTGGATCTAACCATGGTTATGGTTTTGCCAAAACAGTACAACGAAATGAGAGGGACAAGGGTGTCAAAGGGATACACAAGGGAGTGATTATGATAATTGACCATGGAATTTAAGTTGCATTCTAGTAAGAAGGGTTTCCATTTTAGTAAGTGGGAAAATGTGAGGTGTTTTACTTTGCCAAGAGTGAACTGTAGATGGAAAAAGTCTGAGACTCACTGCCTGGAGCCATCATTAACTCGGTGACTCCCTGATGATTTAACGGAGGTGAACTGTCTCCCAAACTTGCTCTCATAATTGGCCGGCGAAGAGATATGATGTAATAGATAAGTCAGCGGTGGAACAGGGAGATTACGAGCTGTCCTGTTTTACCAAACTTGCTGTTACGCTGCCCATGGAGCACCCCATTCGCCCAAAGACACAGTCCTCCCTGCCCCATCAGCAAGCCTGGCCTCACCGGGAGTAGCTCTAGCAATGTGTCTCAGCCAGGCCTTCAAACTCCTCCAACCTGGGCTGAAGGAGCTCTGCCAGGCAGCTGCCTGTCCCTGTCCTCTGGCCTCCCTTCATATGGTTGGCCTTTCCCCACCCAATCTGTTAGTCCTGGGATGGCAGTGTCCACTCAGTTCACAGCCTTTGATTCCCAGAGATTTCTGATTCTCTTCTTCTGGCTTATAGGACCAAGTCCTTGGCTGCTCTGCCCTACTAGTCTTCCCCATTATTATCCCCCATCCAACATCCAAGCGGGGCCTCACCAGCCGGTCTCATTCCTACATATTCAGCCCTGGAACAGCTGACTCAGCCTTCCCCTACCACTGGCAGAGAGTCACTTCTAGGCCTGTGTCCAGAATCATGATGATGATAATAATAACAGTAGTAACTACTACAATGTAACCACTGAGATGAACCAGATCTACTTTGCTTCCTGCTATGCTCATGTTTCCAGAATGCAGCATAGAACCTTACACGTTGGAGGTATTCAGTAAATGTCTGAGGAATAAAGGAATAGATGAGTACCATCTATCAAGTGTTTACTAAGCCCCAGAAAGGGCACCTAAGTCTTGTTCTCATGTTTCCTAATTTAATCCTCTAAACAAACTTTAGCAAGGGATAATACTGTCCTAATTTTATGGGTGAGGAAATTGAGATGCTAAGGAATCATATAGCCAATAAATAACAGAAACAGATGTAAAACCCAGTTCTAGATGTCTTTCAAACCTACTACCCTATACAAATCTATCCTGTGAGTCCCCAAGGTCAGTCTGGCCCCACTAAGAACAGAACAAGAGATTACAAATCAGAGCCCCCTGGGCCAAAGCCCTAAGCAGTCAAGCTACATCTCATGATGTGTTACATAGAAATGGCAAGCCGCTGGCTCCCAGAAATGTTTTGGTTCCCCCTCAGCTCTGGGAAGCCGGGCTCCAATGCGTGACTGCCCAGTCCCCTCAGATAACTCTGGACAGAGGGTACAAGCTGACCATCCAGAGCTTTGGCCAAGAACTCTAGAAATTCCTCCCGCTGGTGACCACCTTCAGCCCCTCCCCTCCGCAGCTGGACCACTGTGCATTCCAGGCAGATGTCTCAGACATGAGGTGGGACTTCAGTGATTTGGCAGGCTGAGTATCTGAAACAGATGAAAAGACTACTAGTCGTCCCCAAACATCCATTCTCTCTTTAATAATAGAACTTCCAATTTTAGATGGGTAAGTTCTGGGAAACAGAATGACACCAGAAGTCATGTGTACTTTTTCTAGATCCGTGGTCCTTAACTAGGGGTGATTTTGCCTCCCAGGAGATATTTTACAATGTCTAGATATATTTGTCATTGTCACCACTGGTATCTAGTGGATAGTGGCCAGAGATGCTGCTAAACACTGACAGTGCACACTAAAGAGAGTTATCTGGCACAAAATGCCAGCAGTGTCAAGGCTGAGAAATTCAATTCTAGATCTTATCCTTAAAAGGAATGCACACGGCCTCCTCTGGTTTTTTCCTCCTCTCCTCCAGGCTACAAGTTGAGGAAAACTGGAGCAATCTCCTTGGACTTAGAAAATGGAAACTAGGCCAGGCGTGGTGGGTCACGCCTGTAATCCCAGCACTTTGGGAGGCTGAGGAGGGTGGATCACGAGGTTAGGAGATCGAGACCAACCTGACCAACATAGTGAAACCCCATCTCTACTAAAATACAAAAAATGAGCTTGGCGTGGTGACACGCACTTGTAGTCCCAGCTACTCAGGAGGCTGAGGCAGGGGAATCCCTTGAACTCAGGAGGCAGAGGTTGCAGTGAGCCAAGATTGCGCCACCGTACTCCAGTCTGGGTGACAAGAGCAAAACTCTGTCTAAAAAAAAAAAAAAGAAAGAAAGCAAGAAAAGAAAATGGAAACTACCTGCTTGGGGATGTCAGAACCACAATAACAGCCTTGGATGACCTACCTCTACTATTACCATGAAAGAGAAATAATCCGCCTTGTATTTTGGGGTCCTTTTGTTATAGTAGCTTAGCCCATACCCCGATATGAGGGATTTTATGAGGCTAAATAGGATTTCAATTTAGCATAATTTAGTATAATTCCTTTTTTTCTATCCTCTTTCTCTCTTACCCTTGCTTTTGGTAACACCCTGTGATGGGCAGAATAATGGCCCCCTAAAATGCCTCTGTCTTAATCTCTGGAACCTGTGAATATGTTAGGTTACATGGCAAGGGGGAATTAAGGTTACAGATGCAATTAAGGTTGCTAATCAGCTGATCTTAAACTACGGAGGGTATCCCGATTACCCAGAATTGCCCACTGCAATCACAAACATCCTTATAAGTGAAAGGGGGAGGCAAGAGAGGCAGAATCAAAGTGACGCAGCATGAGAAGGACTCAACTGGCCATTGCTGGTTTTGAAGATGAAAGGGAGCCACAAGCCAAGGAATGCAGGGAGCCTCTAGAAGCTGGAAAAGGCAAGAAAACGGCTTCTCCCCTGGAGCCTCCAGAAGGAACCAGTCCTGCAGTCACCTTGACTTTAGCCCAAAGAGACCCCTTTAGGACTTCTAACCTTCAGAACTGAAGGATAATCAAGTTATATCATTTTAAGCACCAAGTAGTGTGGTGATTTGTTACAGCAGCCAGAGAAAAAGAATATTCATTGCCTTCTTTCTTTCTCCTTCCTCTCTCCTCTATCTCTCTTTTCAATCTAGCTTCTGGGGATCTAATCATTTTCTATGAAAGTATGAGCCACTGTGTAGGACAGGCCAAGGCCATAGTTTGCCTATGTCTGGAGTCTCCTGGAAAGCCCTCACCAGCAGGATAGCCTGTGCACCTGCACATGGAAACAGCAGCCATGCTAATCTGGAGCATGAGTTCGGTCCAGCAACTCATGAATTTGACTCTAATTTCTTTCATGATATGTTTTCAGAAACACAGATTTCATCAACATCCAAGATCCTGCAGTAAGGAGCCCAGGCTGCTCTTTATGAATCCCAGGTCATCACTACGTGGTCTGCTTTCCCAAAGGTGCTCTGCCCAAAGCCAAAGGGACCAGTAGGCAACAGCCATGTTAACTGTAGGCGGAATTAGCCAGCCCTGTAATTCCAAAGTGTTTAGCTTTGGAGCACAAAAAGTTAAACACCTTCTTGCAACACATTGTAAACATGTCAGTGTGTTTAACATGTTAACCATGCTCTGTTCTCCTGCCCATGTGTTTAGAAAAGAAACAGGTTATGATGTTTAACTAGTGAATAGATGTATGCGCTCATAGCGGCTAACACTTTCTAAACACTTGTGGATGCTTAAAATTATGATGTGTTTAAGATTCAAACACATTTGCTTTTCTACACTCTTAATCCAATGAGTGCTGGCTGCATTTTTTTTTTTTCTAATTGCGAGGGTTTGTCCACCTTGCAAAGGCCAGTCTGCCATGATGAGTTCCAAGAGCTGTCAATTGGCCTTTTTTTTAAAATTAGCATTTTCTTTGATACACGAATCCCCTTCTCAAGGAAAGGAATAACTAGAAGAGTGTAAATAATGGTCATTCTCTAGAGGATGTTGAGAGTCCTATTCTGTTAGAGAATTTAAAGGGTTTTACTGGCATCAGCTGCAAGGCTTTACCAATTTCACCATATGGTTCAGAAAATGAAAACCAAAGAGGCTCCAAATCCTGCAAAGGCGACACAGAAGTGTATGGAGGAACTGGGGATAATACCAGGCCTCCAGGTGCTGCCCAGGCCTCTGTTTACTTGTCCTCTCTACCCAGTCTCCTCAAACCAGCAGCTGGAAAAGGCATTAAACACTGCCTCCCGCTTCCAAGCGTGGGCTCACCATTTGCAGTCATACAGAGGGTTGTTTGGGGGTGGTTGTCCATCCAGTCCCCTCTGTCGTGCTGTAACCTTTCTACCCTACACCTCCATACTCTTTTGCCTGATGATGCCAGTAATATTCTCTCCAATCTCCTTTATCTACTCTGTGTCTGCCCACTTCTCCATGCCCCCTTCTGACCACAGCCCCTCCTGTAAGTGGCCTCGAAATGGCCTCTCTCTCTGCCATCAGACACCCTCTCTAACCAACCTTATTTCTTGCCAATGTCTCCTTTCCCCTGTAGGTTCCAGCCACCCTGGCCTTCTTTTAAGCTATTTCCTGCCTCAGGGCATTTCAATACGCTGCGAGAAAACCAATCTTTCCTTGGTTCTTGTCAACTAGCTGTTTTAAACAACAATGCCTCAGGAAAGCTTTGCCTGACTATCCCACAACCCCCTCCAGCCCAGGTCATATCCCCATTTTCTATCCCGGCACTTTTTGCTTCTACCCTTAGAGCACTTAATTACCATTTATTTAGGTTTGCCTTCCCCCACTAGGCTAAATTTCCAATGAGGGCAGGGTCTAAGGCAGTCTTGTTCACTGTTGTATCCTGGGCACCCAATGCCTGACACGTAGTTAGCACCTAATGAATGTTTGTTGAATGGCCAATGGGACTTCCAGCTATCCAGTCAATCTTGGGGTAGTGGAAAGAAAGATTGCATTATGAGTTGGGGGCTGTGAGTGTTGTTTCCCACCTGGTGCAAGCTGTTTAATTTCTCTGACTCTCGGTCTCTCTGCATGCCAGATGGGGAACTGGCTCAACTCAGCAAATGTTTATCAAGCTGGCCCCATGTATAAGGATGCTGATAGGCTCTCTCAGTGCCTGCAGAGATGAAAAACACAGTCCTGGCCCTCAAGGGGCTTGTCGTTTAGTGTGTAAGATTAAGGGGCCAGGAGCGGTGGCTCACACCTGTAATCCCAGCACTTCAAGAGGCCGAGGCAAGCTGATCACGAGGTCAGGAGATCGAGACCATCCTGGCTAACGCAGTGAAACCTTGTCTCTACTAAAAATACAAAAATTAGCCAGGTGTGGCGGCAGGTGCCTGTAATACCACCTATTCGGGAGGCTGAGGCAGGAGAATGGCGTGAACCCAGAAGGCAGAGCTTGCAGTGAGCCGAGATTGCGCCACTGCACTCCAGCCTGGGTGACAGAGCAAGACTCTGTCTGAAAAAAAAAAAAAAAAAGAAAAAAGATTAAGGCTTCAACATAAGTAACCACAATACAAGGCAAACTTGTTTTTTGTTTTTAGTATATGTCTTCATTTATTTCATTATGCCATTAATTATCTCCCTGCAATATTTTGTAGTTTTTAGTGTACAGATCTTTTACCTCTTTTTCAGCTTTATTCCTAAGTATTTGATATTTTCTAATGATATTTTAAATTGCACTATTCATAATTCTAATGTCCAATGATTCACTGTAGATACATAAACATACAATTAATTTGTATATGTTGATCTTGCATCCTGCAACCTTGTTAAACTTAGTGATTAGTTGTAAAATTTCTTTCTTTTAACTTTTAGGTTCAGGGGTACACGTGCAGGTCTGTTATGTAGGTAAGCTTGCGTCACAGGGGTTTGTCATACAGATTAGTTCATCACCCAGGTATTAAGCCCAGTACCCATTAGTTATTTTTCCTGATCCTCTCCCTCCTCCCACCTACAGGACAAATTTGACAATGCTCCAAGATCATTTGAAAGGACTAGGGAATGCATAGAAGAAAGAACCTACCTCCAAGTAACATACTGAGAAGGCTTTATAGGGGGAGGGACACCTGGGCAAACTTAGAACAGGCAGGACTTCAGCAAGCCAGAATGAGAGGGAATCCTTTCACTAATGCAGTGACATTAAAGACACAGAGATGGAGAAGCCTGAGAGAGGCTTGAGGAGCACCTAGGACCCAATGTAGCTGCCATGTAGGTTACAGAGGAGGAGATGAAACTGCAAAGGTTGATTGGAGACACATCAGGAGGTTTTGAAATGCCACTCAGGAGTTTGGAATAAACTATGCTGTAGGAGCTACTGGAGGACTGTGGGCAGGAGAGTGACCAATGAGAGCTACGCTTTAGGGTGGTTAATCCAACTTCCAGGACAAGAGGGATGATGTGTTAAGAGGCACCTGCAGTTATTCAGGAGAGAAGGGAGAAAGCAGATGGCAGTGAGAAAAGCAGCAAGACGGGGAGGCTGAGCTCAAGGAGCTATCGAAGACAGAAGCAGCAGGACTGAGGAGCTGGCCAGATGAGCAGGCCAAGGGGAATGCCAGCGAGGATGCCAGCAGGCCAGCGAGGATGCCAAGGGTGCAAGCTTGGACCATCAGGAACAAGATGGGATAACGAACAAAAACACAGGCCACCGGAGTAAGAGAAGCGGGTGGGGAAACACATAGCATATTTCAGACACGCTTACTGCAAGGCCCTGGTGAAGCCGTCAGGTGAAAACACTTGTAGGCAATGGGAAATGCAGGTCTTAAAACCAGAATGTGGATTAACACTTCCCAGCCTGGCCACAGGGCTACTGGGAAAATCAAAGGAGATGGTGAAACAGAAGATACGTTGGGATCTACAAGTCACCATGTACACGTAAGGCATGACAATTTGTATTTTTATTACTGCTCCAAAATACATCTTAAATATCTCAGAAGCTGGGGATTGGTCTCTCTCTAATCTCTAATCTTAGAGATTAGAAACCTGAAGTTATTCCCTGAGTGTTAAAACCAACCCATAAAGGAGTAGAATGGAGGTCCTTGTAAGACAGAATGGCTTCGGGCCCAGCAGATAGTGGCAAAGATGCTGAACCATCCCTGTGGACACGGGAAAGGGAGAAACATGGGGCATGACTGATGCTCACCCGAGTACTGTCTAGGTGCACAGAGGCAGGAGCACTTCCCTCTCTGGAATACCTACCTGTCACCACACAGGTCCTCATACCTAGGTGCAGAGACACACGTACGTACATATTCCCAATGCCTGGATTCTACCCCCTGAGATGCAGGCTGGCCTTCTGGTTTACACAGCAGCCTGTGCCTGTGCGAGTTTGGTTAATGTGAGTTATGCCATTCATGGCAAGCAAGGCTGAGCACTAGACTTCACACCAATGATTTGCCAAGTGAATGCCACTTGGTGGGTGCTTAAGGCACTTTAAGGAGACAAATGATCCTGGGCTTTCAAAACAATATTTTTTAAATACTTAACACCTATTTAGAGAAATAAAGGAGAAACTTATTTTTCAACAGTAATGAACATTCAACATATTTTCATTAACAAAAATAATTCTCATTAATATAAAATAGAATTCCAGACACTGAATGTGCCATTAGCATCTCAGTGCATTTGGAATTGTCTTTCATTTTCCAGTTTCGGCATCACTCATAAATGGATAGCATTAGTCCCCTGCACTCACCGAAGTCTGAGGTAACATCCATGGATAACGTTACAAGGTCATATTGAAAATATGATTTATGATTTTTGTTCCTGGCTTTCCATTTTTCTGTAATTCCTTTGGAATCAGGTGGGGGGACGATTGGTTTCCTGAAGGCGGCCTCCCAGAGAGGGAGCTGGCCTTCTGCTGAGTTCCATGGCTCCTCTGCAGTTTTCTGAACTGGGTATCTTCTTGGGAGGTATATTAAAACGTTTAAATTTTAGATTATAAAATAAATCACTGATTTCCTGAGAACAGCATTACTCCATGCATAATCCACTTTCAGAATTTCAGCTGGCTATGCCTGCTAGCTCTGGGCAACAGTCAGCTGGCTAGTCTCAGGACAGGTGAGGACACCCACAATTCACACCGTGCAAGTCGCAAATGTGAGTTACCTAAGCACTTGACTGATACAGGGTCAGTATAGTAGAGACTGTTTCCCATGACTGTTGAGTGCACTGCCTGTGAGGTCACAGTAGACTTTATTTGTTGTCCTCCTGGCACAGGAAGCCTGTACTCCTCAAGCCCCTTGGAGCAGGGCAGAGCCATATGCTGGGCTCTGGCCACAGGCTGAGAGAGGAAGTGACTCCAAGGCTGAGGTAGCGATGAGCCCATGCACTGCTTTTTCTCTCCTTTCCTGTGCCTCATTGATTAAGAAGGTCATGTATTTTACAAATACAGCTCTCATGGGTCCCTGAGTTGTTATATGGAGGACCTTTGCAGAGTTGCCAGAACTGGTGTAAGAAGTAAACCTGTGTGTAAGAACTTGGTATTTGAAGATTGTGTATGGAAATGTGACCCATGCCAGATTTTTCACTTATTTGGTGACATTTCTGCTCTTAGAATTGATTGGTGACTATATTAATTCTCTATTGCTGCTGTAACAAATTACCACAAACTTGGTGGCTTAAAACAATACAAATTTATTATTTTACAGTTGTAAATAACTGGAGGCCCTACGGGAGAATCCATTTTCTTGCCTTTTCTAACTTCTAGAGGTTGCCCACATTCCTTGGCTTGCGGCCCCTCCTCCATCTTCAAAGTCATTAATGTAGTATCATCAAATCTCTCTGGTTTCTGTTTCTGTCATCACGTCCCCCTCTGTAACTTGGACTCTCTTGCCTCTCTCTTCTAAGGACCATTGTGATTATATTGGGCCCAGCCAGATAACCCAGGAAATCTCACCTGAAAATCCTTAACTGAATCACATCTGCAAAATCCTATTTGCCATGTAGGGAACATATTTACAAGTTCAGGGGATCCCATTGTGGATATCTCTGAGGGGCTACTATTCAGCCTTCCACAGTGACCCATGCATTTGTTTATCCAATTGATCTTTAATTCCATTCTGGTGAGATTTAGCCAGTAGCCAGATGGCCTTTCCCAAGTAATATTCCTCCATATTGCCTACAGTCATATAGCTTTTCTTTTGAAACACATACATTTCCACATATGAGAGCTGATTATAGGGAAATAATCCAAATGAAGATAAGCTTTATGCACAAAGATGGTTATGAAGGATTATGGATTTTGTTATAAGAAAAAAATTGGAAACATCTGAATGTGCAATGGTATAAGGAAATGTGCGAAGAAATTCTAGAACACCCCATGTGCAAATATTATGCAGCCATTATATTTACAACAAATGTTTATAACTCTGAAATGTTCTTTATAATGATTTTAAAGCAAGTTACACATTTATATGATCTCAACACTGACAAAAACATATGTAGAGGAGAAAATTCTGCACATGTATACACCAAAATGTCAATAGTGAGGTTGCTTTTTTTCTGGAGGATATATATAACTTTAGTTTTCTTTTTCATACTTCCATTTTTTAAAATATCGACAAAAAACAAGGGTGACTTTTGTAATCAGAAATCTCTGTTGATGATAATAGCAGGTCACCAGGGTAGATAGGAGTGATCTGGAAGTGCTGGATAATTCTCTTTATTAGGAGAGGTGCTGTATCCTCCATCTGTAAGAACCTAAGGACTGGGTGCTGGATGATTCCCCTTCTATGTGTGCTGGGACCCTAGGGCATCCCTTCTTTCAGGGCATTTGCCCTGAGGGAGCATCTAGGATTTCTCCAGAAGATACAGGAACCCACCACCCATTGGGCCATACTGGACAATGAGGTACAAAGTTGGAAACATCACATGGATGGTTACCCTCAGCCTTCTGTTCAGTTGAGCAAGAAGATAATCGAAGAAAGATCTTCAGCGTGAATATGGAAAAAGTATACCATCCTCCAGGGTGGCCAGAGCCAAGGTTAAAAAAAAAAAAAAAGAAAAGAAAATATTGGGCCATAGCTCTTCACTGCAGAGAAGCAGTGCTGGTCTCAGAACACATCATCCCCAAGGTGAAAATGAGTGGCAGCCGGTGTGGTAGGAGTGGGAAAATGGGGACATTCAAAGACTGCCAGGGGAGGTGCAAACTAGTAAAAACAAAATATGCCTGTGGAGGGTAGTAGGGTCTGAATCAAATCAAATCACAAAAATGTCAGTTCCTGTGGCCCTGCATTTCCACTTGAAGAAATGTATCCTAAAATAAGAAAACTAAAAATCTGAATTCCCAGCTTTATGAGATCCACACAGTAGATTATGCAACCATTAAAAATCAAGCTCGAGTAGAATATTTAATAAAAAGAGATATTTATAATATATTGCTAAGTTTAAAAAGCAGAATATAAAATAGCAAATACAGCATAATCAACTTTCATAGCAAATAAATACGTAAATAGATGTTCCTAGCAAAAAGCCTGCTTATACTAAAATCATCAAATGTGATAGAATAACAGGTAATTTGCAGGGTTTTAGGGGAGGTTGGTGTGGGGAGGTATAGATCTCAGTTCTCTAAGTTTTCGGCATGAAGCGTGTATACCCTTAACATAGGGCTTTTGCTTCCAAAATAATCAGCCTAAAGTTCCTTCCATTGTTGGAACTCCTGTTCTGCTCCCTGGTAGAAACACCTTCATGTCCGTTGTCCTCCTGGGCCACATCTGAGTGGCCATTGGAGAATATGCACTTTGAAGAACTACCTGGCTTTTGCAGGCCCCGTCCTGCTGTTGCAGGACTGGGTACCCAGGAATGGTTTTAAGGATTGAACAAGCTTTTTTAGGCCAAGATTATGGTTCTTTTGATAACATCATTTCTTCAAATACATGTGAAATACTTTTGTTATTCCATATGTAAAAAGCTACCACTAAAGCTCTTGCCCATTCACAATGTTTAAACCTATAAACTGTTCTTTCACATACTGCCTGCTGAGCTCTGCCAGTGCTCATAGTTTTATGGTAACTATGTTGAGACCATCTGAAAGCATAGGTCTGGGTGGAAAGCAGCCCTCATTAAGCCCACCTAGACCAGCAGGCTCCCTATCGCTGTATGGCAGAACACTAATTTTATCCTCTGCTAAGTCTTACCACTTACTCTTTGCTTCAGTTTCAAGTACAGAAACAATTGGCTTTTTCAACCCAGCAAGGCTCCAAATTACTGAACTCTCAGTCAATTTAGACTCCAGGCTGCAGGCAAGAGAGCAGCACAAAGTCCCGTTCCTGCTCATCTGCTCTTGCAATCTAGCTCATGCCACCCTAACTTCACCGCATTCTTACCAGACTTCGTAAAAGCAACAAGGTGCAACCCAACACACACCAAGAATCTGAATCTCTGTCATCATTTCCCTATTGCCACAAACCTCAGGCAGCATATGATCTCTCTTCAATGTTGGGCACAATTTGATCAAATGTTTTACCACACATAACAAGGGTCACTAAGCAATATCTAAAGTCAGTCCTTACTGACTGGCACCTCAAATTCTTTTTGGAACAAGACAGAGTATGTAGCAAAATATGCACATCCCAATGCATAATGACCACTTCGAGGGTATCAGCCTTCATTTGGCTGCGCGCATTCTGTAAACTTCGTTTTTAAATTGCCAGCCTCAGTTTCATATTAGTCATACTTAATAATTTCCTGCTCAATGTCCTTGGAAGGAGATTTTCTCCACATTTAAAAGCCTTTCTCAACAATTAGCAAAAAGTGGACATGGGTTTAGCTTGATTCATCATGTCATGTATTCAGGTGTCTGCACATAGCCGGTAGGTGCAGCAATTCCTCATCAGATTCCAGTGAGATGTCTAAGGCTGATTTGATGACAGATATGGAAGCTCAACACTCAGGATAAAGTAATGTCCCCCAATCTCCAATATAGTTTGGATATTTTTTCCCTCCAAGCCTCATGTTGACATGTGATCCCCAGTGTTGGAGGGGGTGGCTGGTGGGAGATGTTGGATCATGGGGGCAGATCTCTCATGAATAGCTTGGCGCAATCCTCTTGGTAATGAGTGAGTTCTCACTCTATTAGTTCATGAAAGAGCTGGTTGTTTAAAGGAGCCTGGCAGCTCTCTTGCTCTCTCTCTCTTGCCATGTGACATGTCCACTCCCCCTGTACCGTATGCCATGACTAAAAGTTTCCTGAGGGCTCACCAGAAGCTGAGCAGATGCTGGTCCCATCCTTGCACAGCTTGCAGAACCGTAAGCCAAAAAAAAGCCTCTATTCTTCATAAATTACTCAGTCTCAGATATTCCCTTAGAGCAACACAAAACAGACTAATATATCCCCATTTCCCCAGTGCCTGACCAGAATTATGGTGTTTTTCCCTGTGGTTCTAGACAGGACATGGTGAGTTGGGCCCACCAACCCTGGTGGGTGAGACAACAGTTCTCTTTATGTGTCTGACCTGAGTCTACCAGCCCTTCTTCAATCAGCCCTTTTCTTAGTGCTATAGCTGCAGGGAAGAGTCTGCTTTTTCCAAGACAAACAATCATACTAGTGACAACAGCTTTGCAAGTTTGGAGGAGTCAACCTGATCTAGTACTGTCCTCTCCCTGCTGAGGACAATTCTTCATAAAAGACCAACATGGGGGGTGAGGTGGGTGAGGAGGAGGGGAAAATGAGCAGGCTGCCTTTGGAGTGTGACCTGTGTGTGCAGGTACATTACCAAAGCTCCCTGCTCACAAGTCTCTCGTGCCCCCTGCAGACTCCATAGTCCGCCATCAAGGTTCCTGTTCCATCACTGGAAACTTTAACCAGGTTACTCTTATAAGTGTCTCTGCCCAAATGGGACAACTGGTTATGATGCAGGTGAACCCCAACATTGGGGCTTAGCCCAAGAGGGATCTTGGCTTCACTCAGGAAATAATTCAAGCATGAGCCAACAGTGAAAGGAAGCAAGTTGATTTGAGCAACAGCATACAACAAAATGGCTGCTCCACAGACAGGGCAGGGCTATCCCACAGGCAGAGTAGCACTGGTGGATTGCTGGCTAGGTATATTTACCCCTACTCCTAATTAGATGCTAAATAAGAGGTGGGTAATTCATGAACTTTCCGGAAAAGGGGCGAGCAGTTCCCAGAAGCATATAAAGTCATTTCTGGGCATTGCCATGGCATTTATAAACCATCACTGTGCTGGTGGGAGTATCTTGTAACATGCAAATGTATTATAATTCCTAGTCCTTGCTGGTTGTGGACAGTTTCCTTCCTACATCAGCAGGGTCAGGAAAACAAGCCCTGCTGATCTCCTGGCTCAGTTAGGTTAGGGTCTAGGGGAGTGCCGTAGTGAAGACCCCAGGCACTGACCCATTCCCAGAACCTCCTCCTCCAGGCTCATTCCCTACTCATTCATTTGCCCATCTCCTGTGTTTGTTTGGTATCTATTTCAGCTCCTCTTCCTGGTTACAACATCCAGATAATGGCTCTCCCCACTCAGCTCAATCCCTGGGGCTCCTGCTGTTCACCATCCTTGAAGGGAGTGAACCCACCCATCACCAAATGCCTCAGAAGAGATGCATCAGTAGCTGCTTCCCAAGAGGCAGGGAGCGAGTGCTCAGAGAAAACTCTGGGTAGGGGTGAGGATGATGCCAAAGGTCAGCTCTGCTCCCACTGTGCTCATGACTCTCTGGGCAGTCATGGTGCTTGGCCAGGTTCTCTTGGCATCAACTGATCCCCTTTCTTCAGGTCCTGATCCAAAGCCCAGCCTTGAGGATGCTGCCTGTCTCAGATCCTGAGCTCCTTAGAAGGAGAAACGGGGCCATGCCCAGCACTGGGGCAGATGTAAAGAGCAGTTTAAAGACTATAGGAAAAGGGAGGAAGTAGAGGACAAGGGAAAGGGAGAAAGAAGAGGGGGAGGAAGGAGAACAACAGTGCCTCCTTTATTCCAGCCTCCATGCCTTTGCTAATACTGAAACCTAAAGGGCCACCATGTATGATCTCCTCCCCACAACCATTCCCATCCTCATTGCTCTCCCCTGCTGCTGGTCTCACATCTGTCACACAGCCTTGCCTCGCCTGTGCCCTCCCAACCCAGCCTGGGCTCACAGCCTGCAGCGCTGTAGCCGTTAGCTGCATGTGCTTCAGGCTTGGGTCCACACTGCAAGCTGCTCCTCTCGCTTCCCTGTGGTGACTCACGGGCCCTTGCTGCAGCCTGGATTGATTGGGTGACAGGGTAGCCAGGGTCTGAGGCACCCTAGTGGCTCTTTGCAGAAGAAAAAGGAGTCCAGGGCACATTCCAAGCCCTGTCAACACTGGCTTAGCCCCTTAGTGGTGTAAAATCTCACGCCTGGAGTCCTGTAAGCTCCTGCTGCCAGCTGCAATTTTATTGGTGGTCTGTGACTTCAAAGGCCTCTCCTCCTGCATGGCTGAGCCAGGCAGGCTGCAGAGCAGAAGGCCTGTGCCCAGGGCACCAGGGAATTCCCCCAGGACCTGGACCCAGCCTCCTCTCCAACCTACACTGCCTCTTTCTTTGATAGTCACAAAAATCACTTTCCCAGCTCCCTTGGCAGCCAGAGCAGATGGAACTGCAGGCGAGGAACTGGCTTTCCTGGATCAGCTTCTTAGGATACCGCTTTTCTGGATCTGTTTGTCCCAGATTTGCAGGTGAGACACTTCTAACCAAACATCTCTTCAATGTCCCAACTGGATAAGATACTTTTTTTTCCTCTAGAAAGCCCCAGCAGTGGAAAGACAGGAGGCTGGGTTGTGGTCTGGGTCATCCTGAGTACCCACTTGATATCTGTCTGCCTAATCTATCAAGGAGGGTGACACTGAGGCCTGGCCACTGCCTCACAGCTCTTTGGAGGTTAGAAGAGGTCAAGTCTGGGAAAGCAGGCAGTGAAGCTCTCAAAGAGAAGGCACTGCTCAGTCCACACTGCTGGTGCCCCTCGCTGGCCGTCTTGACACTCAATGAAGTGTTTAAGACACAGTGTCTGAATCTCAACTCTGACATTTCCCAGCTGCGTGCCTTTGGGAGAATTACCCAACTCCTCTGGGCCTCCATGCACTCATGCGGATTAGCTCATATTGGTGAAACACTTGAACAGTCCCTGACACCTGGTAGGTGCTATAGAAATATTTGCTATTGGTTTTTTTGTTTGGTTTGGTTTTGAGACAGAGTCTCACTCTGTTGCCCAGGCTGGAGTGCAGCGGCATGATCTCAGCTCATGCAACCTCCACCTCCAGGGTTCAAGCGATTCTCGTGCCTCACCTCCCGAGTAGCTTAGGTTACAGGCGTGCAACGTCCAGCTGATATTTTTTGTATTTTTAGTAGAAACGGGGTTTTACCATGTCGGCCAGGCTGGTCTCAAACCCCTGACCTCAAGCGATCTGCCAGCCTCAGCCTCCCCAAGTGTTGGGATTACAGCTGTGAGCCACTGCACCCAGCCAGAAATGTTTGCTTTTGTTATTATTGCCACACATATGCCTCATCTTGCTCATTTATTCCACATGAATAGGATTTGTGTGCCAATGAGATGACAAGCTTCCTGTACCCTTTCCTCCCCAACACACACAGACACCCAGTCCAGCCTGGTGTGCTCAAGCAAGAGCAGCTCAGACCCTGCTCAGCCTTTTGCTTGTGAAGTAAGCTTGGGCAAATTATTAAACCCCTGCAATCCGGCATGGTCATTTATAAAAGGGAGCTAAGAATAACCTGCTTCACAGAGTGGCATAGAATTTACATGAAATTTAGATAAAGCTACTAGTAAATATCAGCAAAGCTCAGTGCCTGGCCTACTACAGGCACTTAATGAACGTATTAATGAATATTTGTAGTAGGCACTGAATGAATGTTTGTTCTCCCCGGTACTGGGCAAACAACAGCTCAGTAAACACTTGGCAGCTTCAGGTCAGTCCTGAAGAGCATGTGTTAAAGGGGGTGGTGGCATCAAGTGACCAGCCCCACCCTCCACCGCTGGCCACACCTTCCCTAGTGACCACACTGAGAAAACACTTAGATGGACCGATGGGTGTGAATCCCTTGAGAGCAAGGCTGCATCTTCTCTCTTGCACTTGCCAGCATCTGGCACAGCTGGGTATTAATCACACAAGACACAACTCCAGCGGTGGCGGCCCTGGATGTCTGAAATGCTGTCCAGAACATTGAGAGAAAGCCAAAGAAGGAAAGCTGCCCTCAAACATGCCCAGGATCTTGCTGGAGATGGAAACTAACAAGGATGGAAACATGACAGCAGAAAAATACAGACCAGTTTGAAGTCTGCCCACCTGGGAGTCAAGCCACATTGAAAATCAATAAGGCATCAAGGCCGGGAGCTCGGAGAGCCGACTGGATACCTGCGTGGGCCTCCTTTAAAGAGGTGAAAGCTTTGAAGTTGCAGACGACCAATAAAAATACAGCTGGCATTTACAGCTTCAACTCCTCCTGCTTTTGCTTTTCACCGTGTTGCTAAAGCTGCCTACAAAGCTGCTCCAGGCCGGACTCTTGGCCCAGGTTGACAGAGCCCATTCCCATTCCATGGACAATAACAGGGGCTCTTGGTGTCCTCTGGCCAGGGATTGGTGATCAACTTTAGGCACGCTGGCAATTTCCCAGGACAACCCCGTCTTAGGTTCTGAACATCAGAGGCAATGGCTAAGGTCCCCCAAAGCACTTTGGTAAGTTCAGTTAGAAGCAGGCTAAGTGGTGGCCAAGATAAGCCTCAGAGAAGCTCATGCTCTTCTGGGATACCTTCGCTCTATTTAGTGTGTTTTCCGTTCTCCTGCCCATTCAGTGTTCCCTTTTCAATGCCTGTAACACCAGGAGGAGGAAGGGCCTTCTAGAATGAGCCCTTCCCCTCAAAGATGGAGCAATCCAGGTACAACAGGTTAGTCCAAAAGGGAAACAATAGTTACAGTGAGAGGGAGCTGGACCCTGATTCCCAGCCCAATGCCTAGGATTTAAGATGCTGAAGCTGGAGGCTTTTCTTTCTTCTCTCACTTCTCTATTTACCACTCACAGGAAGCTCCAGGACCTTCCTCTTTCTTCAGCAAGCATAGAAAGGGTTCTCAGAACTAGGTGCTCCTGGCCCAGTGAGGGAGACAAGACTTAAAGCATAAAACATCCAGGCAAAAAGCTACAAAGCAGTCTCAGAATGAATGGAAGGTGTTATGCTATGCAACATATATGGGCAATGTCAGGCTTAATGACCAAGCTGAGCTAATGTCAATAAACAGAGAACTATTAGGAAATTCATTAATCAAGGTCTTGTTTATACTCCTATTTGTCAACCAAATTATTTGCTTGACTTGTGACCTCCTTGGTTTATTATGGCCATTTCTGTCATCAGCAGAGCTGGGCTGCTGGAATTTCACACATAGGTAGTCCTGCCTCTGTCTTCAGCATGCTCCTGGTCAGCCTTCTCCCAGAATCACACCTCTGAGCAGGGGCCAAGGTCTGTCTTCAGTTAACAAATAACCATTCTTTATAATCCAGTGGTTTACTGGGCCTTAATTAATTGATTTGCTAATCGCTGTTTCCTGTTTCCAGGAATGAGCCCAGGAAGTTGACCTTTGAAGCACTCTCCTGCTCTTGGGGCCATGTCATCAGGAAGAAACTCCAGGCTGAAAACACAACTGCAAGGCCAACAGGCAGGGGAGCAGCTTTCTCAGGACACCTGAGGTCCTGCCCCACCAGGCTCTGGTCTTTACACACCATCTCTCACTGTCCTCTAGCCCCAACTGCACATTGCCTTCCTCCTTCCTGAGCTCATGCTTGCCCCTCCCTCGGCATCTCCCTAGCCCCAGCCTGAAGGCTGACCTCCTCCAGAAAGCCTCTCCCTCACCACGAGGCCAGAAAGAGTCTGTCCTGTCTCTAGCTTCTGAGTTTCTTAGTCCCAACGACTGTCCCTGCTCCACTGACACCTTCCATACACAGCTTTGTGAGCTGTGCGCATCTGTGGGTACCAGAGGGTAAGTTCGAGGGCCAGCTGACGCCTACTGTCTCTACTGTCTCACAGATCTGCATTGGGTTTCCTTGGTCCCAATCCCCCACAGACACACACACATGTACACACTCACACACACAACGCTGGACCAATAGAGAGAACTTTATCAGTAAAATGTAACTATTTCATTACACCAGAAGCTATCCGTGTTTAAGGCCCTATCCCCAAAGCAAGTAGAGAATGACAATTATCTTGGTAAGGAACAAGGGCCTTCCCACTTCCATCCCCTAAATTACACTAATTTCTGGCGTTTCCACCTTCTCTGAGCCAGTGCTTCCATTTGGGAAATAAATATGAAATGATTTATCCATTCAAAGTGACAGATCACAGGTTTGTAGGTAGCAGGCAGGGGAATCTGCCTCACAAAGGTAGACATCCTTTATGACTTTGAAGGGAAAAGGGTGAAGGGCCCTGTGGGGAGTGGCAGCGAGGATCAGATTTCTCCAGAATCACTCGGAGTAATATCTATCCTCAGCAGCCGCCCTGTGGATTCTGACACATCTCAAAAAAGCAGGGGTCTGGAAAAAGCAGTCAGCATCTCTTACCTTCTGCAAAAAGCTACTGTGCAGACTGTTCCTTTGTAGTTTGGACTTAAAGAAAAAAAAATCAAACCATCTTGGAAAAATCAGAAAGCAGATGCGTCCATAATGGAACTTGGCAAGAGCAATAGAAACCTCGTTATGGGTGTTACAGGCACTCACACCTCAATTAACCTAGGGGGCGTGGGGCTGCTGGTTTCTCTGCACAGATGTCAGGGTGAGAGACCCTCATGGCCAGAAGACTTAGATACCCTGAGACTCCTTCTGAAACTAAGGACCCGGGATCCCCACCCAGCCCTGGCCTAGGATCCTTTTCAGAGCTTCGGAGCCTCATGTCCAGGGTAGTCCGTGGACACGGGGCCACCTCTGGTGCACCCTGGGCTGCCTAGGCCGCCAAGCCCACCCTGGAGTGGCAGGAGCTCAGCCTGTGGCCAGCTCTGCACCCACAGCCACGACCTGGTGCCGAATTTTACTATCTGCCATTTACCATTCTGACGGGGAAAACAAATTTAAAACACCTGGAAATTTATGTCTCTGATGGGTCAGGTTGCACTGTTCCATTATATTAAATAATCCAGGCTGTGCGCTTCAAAGGCCGCCGGCCTCGGGAGGCCGCCAGGGCGCGGGGCCTTTGTTAGCGGTGGGGATGCGGGCAGCCCATGGCCCACCTGCGCCTGGGAGCGCCCCAGGGTGCTTGGGCCTGAAGGCCGGCGTTGGGGGAGAGGGTGGCCTTCAGAATCAGCCCCAGGCACTGGCATGTGCTCTTTCGGAGGCCTGCTTTCCCTTTCCCTGGACTGGGTATGACTCTCATCTGCACTGGCCTGGGTTCAGAAGGTGGAGGTTTCCTTTCTCACCCGGTCACTCACAGGCTCAGTGACGTGGGGCCCCAGTCTCCTCCTCTGTGTAACAGGACCTTAGTGGCAGGCAGCTCTGTTCGCGTGGCTGACGCCCCTCCCCAGCCCCATTCTGTGCCCCAGACTTACCAGGGGGGCTCAATTGGCTCTGTTCAAACTCTCAGAAGCTCTGAAGGTCAAGGTGAGCATGAAGGGTTGAGAAGATTGGAATTTGGAGGAATGATCAAACTGCTTAGACTTGGGTGGCTAGCGGGGTCAGTAGCAGAAGCTGGGAGAACGCTCAGGAGGCTCTTGCTAAGCAAAGCTCTCAAGGCCAGGCTGGCCAAGAGCAGCACTGGTTTTGGGCAAGAAGGAGTTCCGTACCCTGGGACCATCCGGCGAGTGACCCTCACCCAGCACTGACACTGCAGGGGATGTGGGAGGGCCAAGGGGCAGGGGTGAGGACTTGTGTCCCAGAAGCTGGGCAGGAAGGATAGGTGAGTTGTGCCTGGAGTCTGAAACCAACAGACTGGTTTAAGAACTCATATGAGGTCTTGGAAACTTCTAGAAAATGCTAGAGGATGGGATGGGAGTGGGCTCTGAGATGTTATCACCCTATGGTGAGGCCTGTGAAGCTTCTCAACGTTTGTGCTACATCTATAAGATGGAGATGAAGCTTCCTGCTCCCTCTGCCTCACAGCACTGCTGCAAGGACCAGAGCACACGTCTTCTGGAAGCACCTTGTAAACCTAAGATTCTGTAAATGAAGTCTTATTTTTGCAGTTGGGAAAAGGAAACCTGGAGGAGGCTGGGAACATGGCAAAGCCACAGCAGAAAGAGAAGACAGAGCTGGGTGTTCTCACTCCCAGCTCTGTGATGTCCAGCCCCCCATCCTGCCGGTCATCAGGGCTCCCGCCCCCTCCCCCATGTCGCCTCTAATCCTCTAAGTGTATCATGGATCCTTCCCCAGGTCACTGGTGACACCCTGCTCAGCCACAGCACCAGAGAGGAGAGAAAACACCACAACAGTCTTCATAGAACTAAAAGACTTCCTAGAGCGCGCTTGCCCTTTGTTTCTATAGCTGCTGCTACGTGGATAAGAGTCACTAGTTCAGCTCATATTCAGGACCAACAGAACACTTCCAAAGGTGGCTCACCTCAGAGACTGGGACTCCAGAGGTCAGCGTGCCTCTGTCTAGCTGTGCTTTCTAGTGAACACGTTACTTCACCTCCCCTGGGCTCAGTCTTGTCACTTTGGCAATGAGGGCATTTGGCGGCATTCTCTGAAGCCACCCTACCCCCTTCAATGGTCTGGAACCTTAGCAGCACATTTGAATCATCTGAGGAGCTTTTTTAAAATACCACGGCCTGGGCTCTGCCCCGAGAGGTTCTGATCTAATTGGTCTGGGATAGAACCTCAGGTGGTTCTCATGTGCGGGCAAGCTGGAGGACCCCTACACTAGTTGTTATGAGGATTTTATTCAGCAAACATCAAACCCCACATGGAGTGGTCCAGGGGCCAGAACCTAGACATTCAAGAGGGAGTTCCTGTGAGTTTAACTTCCTCTCCTGGAATAAAAATTTTAAGAACTCAAAAAGCACAAAAGTTGATTTTTGGGGGGGGTCTCTTTTCAAATTATGACCCTAAAGTTAGGCCGCCATCAGTCATATATAGGTCAGAAGGGGGCCCAGTCCTGACTTGGATGTTAGATGAGTTTATTGGCCACAGAGAGACTAAATCTTAAAGGACCCCCTTGGCAGAAGGAATCAGCAGCCAGCGTGGCCACTCGACTGCCTGACCCAGACCCCCAAGGTGAAGAGGCCCTTTGAGCCTCCATGCAGCAGCCCTGCCAGGAGGCACCACTGTGATGTATCACTGTGGTCAACCATCCCTCCAAGCCTCAGGGCAGCCTTTGAACTGGGTTGCCCTGCCCACAGTGTGAAGCCAGTGCTCTGAACAGGCATGTCGGAGAATACTGCCAGAAAGTCACTCCTCGGGACCAAGTAGGGAAGGGCCTTAACGAGCAGCAAAAAGTTATCCTTCAATGTGTTTAAAAGAAATCCTGTGTTAACCCTTTTAAGGATACTAAATGGCAGATGTTGGTGCTTGAAGAGGCCTGGCCCAAACCCTCCCCACAAGCAGAATAGGTTCTCTCATCCCCATGTTACCTCTACAGTAAAAACCCAGAGGAAGAGCTGATCATGTGCTGCCCACCTGGTCTACTCCAGTGAAACAGGATCATTTCTAATTAGCCAGACTCTAAACAAATGGGTACAATTGACATGCTGGGAACATTTTTGTTTAAGTGATAATGAAAATATTTTCCCTTTATTACGTGCTTGACTCGGATGTGTGGCACAGGATGGCACTTCATAACCGCTTGAGAAAGTGAGGCAGGTATTCATGTCACTATTTTACAGATTAGGCACCCAGCATAAGTTAATGCCAGGGCAAGACCGTTTGTAAGCCAGGTCTCCTGGCTTATCCCCTCCTCATGTTACTGTAATTCTCTCTCCAGCTGCAATCAAGCTTACATTATCTGTGTGCTCACCAATTTTATTTTTAATTTAAAGGCATATGTTGTGTTCCCAATTATAATTAAAAAATTTAAAAGTATATTATGTTTAAAGTATGAACCCAAGTCTGAAAAAGTGTAAGTTATACTCATATAGAATAAAATAACCAAAATAAAATACATCAAAATATTAACCATGGTTATCTATGGATGGTGAGAATGTGGTTGACTTTCACTGTCTTTATTCTACCTTTCTATATATTTTGAGAACTTTAAAATGAGCATGTGTTAACTTGGAATTTCAAAACAAGATGTTTCAAAAATTGAGTTTTGGTTCAGCAGACTATGCAAGAATAAGCTTCTGTTGGCCCCATCTGCGTCATCATGAATTTCAAAATGGCACTGATCCAGTTGGGAATGGCAATTACCAAGGGAGAGCTTATAGTTTAGCACCCCAAGCAAAGCCCAAAATTCATGGCTGTTAGCCATCACAATGGCCAATTTCTCAGGGATCACTCCAATTAGGATCTTCTCCATGGCTTACAACACTAGCCCTCTGACTTCAGACAAGGCGCATCTGCAGCACAGCTGGAGCAGCTGGGTTGGAAAATCAATCACTGCCCAACAACTGTGCAACTGATGGCCCATCAATCAGAAACATAGGGCGTTCACTCCATTTGTAAAACACATACATTTGCTTGCAAATCTGCAAATGCAATAAGCAGCCCAAGCAGCTCCAGCCCTGGAAAAATGGCAGCACCAGTCAATTTTGCCTGTAGAGAGTCACAGACGGTCAACCCAAATGAAGCACTCCCATTGCAAGAGTCCACAAAGACCTCTAGCCCCACACTCACTGGCCCTCAAAGCCCCTACAAACCCACAGGACAGAGTTCTCCAGATATATTCAAGACCTGACAACAGTCATGCTTTAACTCCATGAGAATCCATCAGTGCTTGAATAATTTCTTTGAGACCTTCTAATTGTTCCTTCCTTCCTTCCTTCTTCCTCCTCATCCCTTTCTCCCTTTCTCCCTTCCTTCCTCTCTTCCTTTCTTTTTTCTAAAATTCAAACATCAAAGGAGAAATGTCTTTTCCCTCGGTCATGGTCAGATGAAGACCTAGTTCGTAGAACTTAAATGCACACCTGCACATGAACCAATTTCTGGGGCAAATTTACTTTCTCGGCATCTAAAAACTTTGTTGCAAGGTCCACAGACAACATCACTCCACACAGCATTTTAGATGCCCTCAGTAAATGTATTCAGAATAAATATATGAACAGAACACTTTATAGCCATAGCCGCCTCTGTTCCCTCCAGGACACCCTAACACTGCCTCGCGATGTCTCCCTCATTTGCCCGTGGAGTAAGGTGAAGAGTCCTTGGCCTTTGGCCTGGCACCAGGGTGGAAAGATAGCCCAGCCAATATCCCTGATACCTACCAAGGCCGCTTAATATGTTCCTCTCCGAATAATAATAATGGTAAGTATAAGCATCATATATCACTTTGTAATTGATAGATAATCTCACTTGATCCTGAAAATCCTGCCAAATAAGCATTATCATCACCAAGAAAGATGAGAAAACTGAAAGGGAACTAAGGGAGAAGAATATTTAATAAGGATCTATCAGTGATGTGTAGCACTGTGCTAAGTAGTTTTCCAATGTGAGATCATCCATTCTTTAGGATACCCCTGAAGAACGTAGCATGTAGATATTATTAGACCCAATTTATAGGTGAGGAATTAAGACTCAAAAAGGAAAAAGAATCACAGAGGTTGTAAGACATAACAAGGTCACATGGTAAGTGATGGAATGAACTTGGATTTAAACCTGAGACTTCTGACTCCAAATTCTCAAAACTTTCTGACTATAGTTTTGTGAATCCAAGTATGTTAGTGGCATAGTTCTTAAAGTCACATGAGCTTTCCTGGTTGGCTGATAACCTGAAGCTCAGGATTTCTTTTTTGGAGCAGAAGACTGGACCAGGAAAACCCCCAAACAGCCCAACCGGAAGTCCAAACTCAATCTTGGGGATAGCCTTCCATGACCCACCCTAGCCCAACTCAGCCCTGAGGCTAGAGCTCAGGATTCTGGAGGCACCATTACATGAATAGCTAGCAAGTCCAGTGTCAGGCCAACTCCCCCATCCCTGTCCTCTCAGCCCAGAACTGCAGGCTCTGTTTGCTCCTGAGGGAATGCTTCTTGAAGCTCCAGGATCCTCCACCTGCACTGGTTTGGGAAAAGAAAGACCGAGCTGCCTCTGCCTATGGCTTTCAGAGCCTTTCCCTCTGTGAGCACGGAGTGCATGCCACTGTGGCGGCAGGAGGGAGTGCTGCAATGGGCTCCACTCCTGTTCTGAGAAACTTAATAGTGGTATTACTAATGCATCAGAAAACTCCAGGCAGCAGAACCAGACTGCCAAACCATATCGTGCTTGAGGGTGAGCTGCAAAATGAAGGGGCAAGCGGTACACAGGGAGCTTGGGTTCATGGGGCTCAGAAATCATACTCATAGACAGCAGTTATTGAGCATTATTTACATGTGCCAGGTGGAAGAGCAATCGAGCTTTTCCATATGGTTCCAAGGAAGGACCACAGGGAAGAAGCTAAAGGGAGACCCACCTCAGGTTGTAAAGGGAAGAACAAGGCTATGTAGAGATACAAAGGCTGCCTTGGTGGATAGTGCATTTCTTGTCACTGGAGGTATTCAGACATAGTGTGGACAAGCCCTTGCTGTGAGGCTGTAGATAGAATTACGGATTAGGGCAGAGGGTAAGATGTGAAGATCTTCAATGTCCCTTTCAACGATGAGGTTTCTGTGATTCTACTTTGGTGCCGCAACCTGGTAGCTCCTCTCTTCCATCCTTCGAACCAGGCATTTGCTGAACAAGGAGCAAGTTTGGCCCCCCATACCAGGAAGGAGAGGAGCTGCGGAGCTGCTCGGCTGCTCAAGGCTGCTGCGCCACCCGTGGAGTCCAGGTGCGGTGCACGGGGAAGAGGCTACGGTGGATTATGGAGAACTATCCCCAAGACTGCATTTGGACTTTAAGGAAAGCTACATCTATCAGGCCCTTCCTGCACTCCCTAATCTCACAAGCTCTTTGTAAAAATTCTCAGAGCCATGGTGCTCTTTTTGGCATTTGCAGTGAACACAGAATCCAAAACTACTTTCTGTTACTGAAATAAACCCTGATTCCCAAAGAAACAGGTCTTTTGGACAGCATCGGATTCCTTCCCTTGCTATTGCCAGTTGCTGTTTTTCTTTACTTTGTAACGTTCAGTTTTTCCCACAGTTTGCCACTCTGGAAAAAATGTGGAAACGGGGCTCTCATATGTTTGAGATGGAGAGCAAACTCCTGCTGGAAAAAATGAAATCTCCAACCTGGAGCCCCAAGCCTGAGTCAAACTTTCCACTGAATCAAGATCTCTACTTACAACCTGAGAGGCAAAATTAAGTTGTAATATTCCAGCAAATAGCTGCAGCCATTCAGAATGCTACTCCTGGCTCCTTGGCTGGATCACAAACCAATGCAGAGGCAAATTTAATTACCTGTCAGGAACTAAATAAAAGGTTTGCTTCATCTAATATTCCCAGTGTGCAGGACAGCTATGAAAACAGTCTGACGCTCAATCGATTTGCTGTTTACAGAGGCCCAAAGAGGCTCTGAGACACACAAGTGGGCTACTTGAAGCTTGCGCTAGTTTAAATATTCTTTAGTGTATTTGCCAACTGCTCCCTATTCCTGAGCTACACTCAAAGCCACTGCCTATCCCCAAGGGCTCTTCCATCTGTTCCTTAAAAATATTCCACGATCTTTCCTTTCAGATGTCAAAAATGGCTGGTAAGGCAAGTCCCACTCCATTAGATTACCCACAGCAGAATGCTCATCTCCTGCAGAGAGAATCTGGCTTTCTGAGGTCCACTGCCAACTCAGCAAGAGTCCAGGCTGCCTTTTACCTCTGGCAGCATCGGCCATCAGGGAGTCAGGGCAGAAAGGATGTTTTTGCACCAGGAAACTTTGATTAACAAGGCTAAGTTCACATCCATTGCTCTAAACCTCAGTTTCCCCAACTGTAACCTGGGGAAACCTGCCCTGCCCACTCACAGGGTTGTAGTGAGCCTAAGTGTGATGATGAGCCCAAAAGACCTGGGCTGATGTAAGGAGGTGTTACTGCTGATTGATACGTGCAATGGCGTTTCATTGTCTGGAGGTGGAGAGCCCAAGGCTGGGGGAGGAGCAATTTCTATCTTCATGGAAGTTGTAAATGGCAGCTGTGAGCAGCACACGGAGAACACAGAGGAAGGGCAGGGCCTGACTGTGATGGGAGATAGGCAGGACACAGCCAGCTCCCAACAGAGCTTCTCCTCCAAGGCTTTGCAGAAAGCAGAGTCAGTCCACAGAATTGCTTGAGAGAGCCCACTCAACTTGTTTAAGGTAAGACCCTGAAGATGCTACAAAAGCAGCAGTTTGTTGGAAATGAAGGGCAAAATCAAGACTGGAGACAGGAGCTTTAATGTTTTAGAATCATTTCTTCCCTGTGCCTAAAGTCAGAAGTATGGGTTTTTAGAGCAAGGACTCCATGTTGCTGTATCACTTGGACACGTTACTTAATGTTACTTAACTTCTCTGAGCCTCAGTTTCCTTACCTATAAAATAGATTTTGAAAAAAGTAAATAATCTTATAAGTGAAAATCATTATGTAAACAATT